>NC_000001.11:66826562-67129592 GCF_000001405.40 Homo sapiens | reverse complement strand
GATCAGCTTTCACAATCCTGGATCTCCCCTTCCCAGTGTGCAACCTGAGGTTGTGTGGTTCGTCACAAGGCAGGCTATCTGCTTGCACCCCCATGGCCCAGAATTTCCTCTGTGTAATTTTTTTTAAAGAAATGGGGTCTTGCTCTGTCACCCAAGCCGGGGTGCAGAAGCATGATCATAGCTCACTGCAGCCTCAAACTCCTGGACTCAAATGATCCTTTTGATTCTCCCACCTCAGCCTCCCCAGCAGCTGGGACTATAGATGCATGCTACTGTGCCTGGCTACTTTTTTTTTTTCTTCATGAGATGAGGTCTTGCTATGTTGCCCAGAGTGGTCTCAAACTCCTAGGGTCAAGCAATCCTCCTGCATCAGCCTCCCAGGTAGCTGGGATTATAGGCACACACCACCACACCCAGCATGTCTGTATACTTTATTTATCACACTGGACTACATCGTGTGATGGAGGGAAAATCTGGATGTAGTGACGTGATAGAGGGCATGCTGGGATGGGATGTCATTCAGTACATGAAGAAATCATACTCAGGGCAATGTATGGTGAAGGAAAAAAGAGTAAAAAAAAAGCTGAAGGAAACCAATTACAAAATAATGTAAACTTTTGGCATCGGATCCTGAATCTTTCTCCTTTCATGAACTGTTGTCTCCATGTGGCATTGCTGGAATAATATACAATATAGGAGAAATATCAGAGATTTTTCTGAGCTGGAAAGAACCTTAGTATTAACATTAATATTCATTGAAAACATTGATGATTCTGTACTTTCTGTGAACGATATCACTTTTACACTTAAATGCCACTGGAGCCCATTTAATTCAGTGAGCAAAAGTATACTGAATGCATGGTCATCTACACAATTTTTTTTTTCTTTTTGAGACAGAGTCTTACTCTGTCACCCAGGCTGGAGCACAGTGGCGTGCCATCTTGGCTCACTGCAACCTCTGCCTCCTGGGTTCAAGCGATCCCTCCTCAGCCTCCCAAATCGCTGGGATTACAAGCATGTGGCACCACGCACAGCTAATTTTTGTATTTTTAGTAGAGACAGGGTTTCAGTATGTTGGCCAGGCTGGTCTTGAACTCCTGACCTCAAGTGATCTGCCCGCCTCGGCCTCCCAAAGTGCTGGGATTACAGGCATAAGCCACTGTGCCTGACCCATCTACTCAATTTTTAAAATAAATAAATAAATAAATAAATAAATAAATAAATAAATAAATAAATAAAGGGAGCTTTGGGTTGATATTCCTGGATTCTTGCCTCCACTCTGCCCTAGCTATTTCTATTACACTAATAGGGTACTCTGTGGCCTTCAGTTTTCTCATCTGAAGATGTAATAAATTAGACCAGGTTCTGATGTCTCATACAGCTCCCTAAGCTTAATATGGACTGCTTGACCTCAGATGAGACGGTTAGCAATATTAATTAACTAGGAAATATGAACCATTATGGCAATGGGACCTAACCAGCTTAGTTGCTGCTACTTATGTGTGACTAATTGCCTGCTACATGCTGTTAACAGTCTTGGATCATTGACCAATTTAATTTGAAGCAATTAATTATATAAATATGAGTTCCCTGTGTTTACTTTCATTAAAATTATATCATGACAAAAAGAAAACAGATATGTCCAAAGTCCTACTCCTGGCCAGGCACGGTGGCTCATACCTGTAATCCCAGCATTTTGGGAGGCTGAGACAGGCGGATCACTTGAGGTCAGGAGTTTGAGACCAGCCTGGCCAACATGATGAACCCCTGTCTCTACTAAAAATACAAAAAGTAGCTGGGCATGGTGGTGCACACCTGTAATCCCAGCTACTCAGGAGGCTTAGGCAGGAAAATCACTTGAACCCAGGAGGTGGAGGTTGCAGTGAGCCAAGATCACACCACTGCACTCCAGCCTGGGTGACAGAGTAAGACTCTGTCTCAACAACAACAACGACAAAATTAAGTCCTACTCCTAGCTTGATATATTTTTAATTAAAAAAATTTAAAAAGAAAATAGATATAAGTCAAGCCACATGGTCTTGCTTCAAGTATAAGTCACATATGGTTCTCATGGTAATCGTGAACTTTCTCCCCCTCACCTTTATCATAAATTTAAAAATTCATGGGGCCTATACATATCTGGGAGTTCTGATCATATAGCCTTCAATTGAAAAAACTTGGGTACATTTACAATTCTATGATTTACTGTATGATTTAAACAATTCTATTATTTACCTAAAACAGTAATGTAAAAGTGAGTCTTTTGAAAACTTATGCCTAGTTTTATGTTTAAATTTGAATTGATTTGTTCTTCTTCCTCCTTATTTTAAAATAGGAATTTAGTGATTGACAATGGCAGAAAAAATCCTAGAGAAGTTGGATGTCCTTGATAAGCAAGCAGAGATAATCTTGGCCAGAAGAACAAAGGTTTGTGACGTATAAGCTACAATTCAGTTTAATCATTAACAGGTTAACATTTCAAATGTGAATAATTTTACTTTTTAGCTAATGATACATTAATATGATATAAACTAATTTGTAAAAAGCAACTAATTATACTAGTTGAAAATGTAATGTATACAAATATAAAAATTTTATTGCTGATGTACAAAGTTTCAACGAATCATCCCATGAAGGGCTTTTGGATTGTTTTGACGATTTTACTAGTAAAAATAAAGCTGCTTAAAAAATAAAATAAAGCTGCTATGGACATTTGCATCCAGGTTTGTATGAACATGAGTTTCCATTTCTCTGAGGTAAATGCGTGAGAGTGTGATTGCTGGTGCGATCTTTCTCTTAACTTTAGCGAGATCAAAGCCGCAAGATTTGGTTTGAGTTCCCCCAATCCAATGGGTTTCTCCTCCCTGCACCTCAGCCCTGAAACCACCTCCAGGAAGTAAGCTGGGCTATTAGAGGGTAGACCTCAGTTATTTCCCTTCTTTCAGCGATCTGTCCTACTCTGTTTTCTAATAGCTGGGGGCAGTTGTTTTCATATATTTTGCCTGAGCTCCTAGTTGTTGAGAGCAGGAGACTAATTCCCATAGTGCTCCATCTATTGGCAGAAGCAGAAGTCCCCCATATCCTTTGATTTTGCTTTCAGGGTTTTCATCTCTTTATTCTTTTGAGCTATGCTCTGAGATAATTTTTTAGAGAAAACTTTCGGCTCCTTTACTCACCTTTTAGCTAGATCCTTTTTCTTCTTCAATCCATTTGTATAAGGATTTTAACAAAGTCCTCTTTTGATTACTTTCTTCACTCTATTTCTGGCTCTCACGACTAGAGGAAGATTGGTGTGATTCATCGTGCGTGTGGCTACAGGAAGAGGAGCAGGCTGGAGGGACATGCCTACTATGGTTCCAAGAACTCTATGTATCTAAATATGTAGATCTTTCCTTAAATTCTGTACTTTAGAATTAGGAGGGAGCCTTAATAATCCTCAAGTCCTACCCCCACATTTTACAGATGGGAAAAGAACAACTCAGGTCACACAGCAAAGGCATAAAAACAGTTGGTGCACTAGACCCCCAATTTTCAGTCTGTACTATTTTTCCATTATTGCCTGCCACCTAAATTCTGTGTGTGTGTGTGTGTAAAGTGAGATTTTTTTTCTTTCCACCTAAGATTTTCCCCATATAAAAAGTACTCTTTTTTTTTTTTTTTTTTTCACTTTGGCATTGCTGCAGATAAACAGGCTTCAGAGTGAAGGAAGAAAAACAACTATGGCTATACCCCTGACATTTGATTTTCAGTTGGAATTTGAAGAAGCTCTTGCTACATCCGCGTCTAAGGCAATATCAAAGATCAAAGAAGACAAGTCATGCAGCATTACAAAATCAAAAATGTAACTATCATAACCACCTTAAATTTTCAGTTCAGAATTTGTTTGTTTGTTTGTGAAACAAGGACTCACTCATTGCCTAGGGTAGAGTGCAGTGGTGCAAACATGGCTCACTGCAGCCTCAACTTCCCAGGTTTAGGTGATTCTCCCACCTTGGCCTCCAGAGTAGCTGGGACTACAGGCATGCACCACCATGCCCAGCTAATTTTTTGTATTTTTTATAGAGATGGGGTTTTCCCATGCTGCCCAGGCTGGTCTTGAACTTCTGGCCTCAAGAGATCCACCCACCTAGGCTTCCCAAAGTACTGGGATTACAGGCATGAGCCACCTCACCTCGTCCAGTTCAGAGTTTTAAAACATTACTTTATATCTGTCTTAGATTATGCAATGTATATTAAATGAAAGTTTTATGGCATATGTTATAAGGGTTATGAGTTAAAATATACTAGATTAGCTTTCTGAATATTTCTAGTTTATAAAATATTTATTATGTATAATATTTTACTAGTGTAGATGGTAATTACAATTGTGAATTTTTAAAGGAAGGCTTTTCTTGAGCTCAATTATATTGCCCCAAATTAATGTCAGGATTTATTGCAAACTTTAACTGATATACTTAAGAAAAAGTCTGCCTAGAAAACTAAGTAAGGCAATTTCTCTGTGCACTTAAAAGGGACAGCCTAAATATGTCATACTTGGTCTTTCACTGGCATTTAGTACTTGCATAATGCTATAAAATTTTTCCAAGCACATCAGAATTGTAAAGGAGAGTTCAGAAAAAAGAAGTACAAAGATGTGGAATCAGTAGAACTTCAAATTAATTGGACATTGGTAGTAGTGTGGATACTGTCCTTATCTCATTTATTCTGGGTAACAAGTTTTCCTCACTTGTTCTGTGCCTAAGTACAAAGCACTACTGTGCACCCAGTTGCCAAGCCCAAAAGCTCACAGTCATCCTATTGAATAGGGTATAGTAATGATGAAGAGAGCACAGGCTCTGAAATCAGACTGCTAAGGTTTAAATCCAGCCTTGCTACTTGTTAGCTATGTGACCTTGATTTTCACACATAGTTTAGACAGGCAGCAGCTATGACACTATGCACTAGGCAGCCCACGTGAGCACTATGACATTTGTGGGCCGGGCATGGTGGCTCACGCCTGTAATCCTAACACATTGGGAGGCTGAGGTGGGCGAATTGCCTGAGGTCAGGAGTTTGAGACCAGCCTGAGCAACATGGTGAAACCCTGTCTCTACTAAAATATATTTTTAAAAAATTATCTGGGCTTGGTGGTGCATGCCTGTAGTCCCAGCTACTTGGGAGGCTGAGGCATGAGAATTGCTTGAACTCGGGAGGCAGAGGTTGCTGTGAGCTGAGATCATGCCACTGCACTCCAGCCTGGGCAACAGAGCAAGACTCCATCTCAAAAAACAAACAAACAAACAAACTATGACATTTGCATCTAAGACCACTCCTACTTACTTACATTTTCATGTAAGTATTCTGATTAAGGCCTACCACCTGATTGTCTCGAAGCAGCTTTCTTCATGTAGCAGTTTTGTACTATTGCTCAGAGTGAAACAAACTTTTGTAGCCCAATGTTTTAGTGCAGTTTTACAGATGAAAAACCTAAGTCTGGGTGAGGTTAAACAATTTGCACAAGGTCATACAGCTAACAAATTGAAAGGCTGGATTTGAACCTTAGAAGTCTGATTTCAGAGCCTGTGTTCTTCATCACTACTGTACCCCATTCAATAGGATGCCTGCAAGCTTTGGGTCTTGGTAACTAGGTGCATTGTAGTGCTTTGTACTTAGGCAGAGACCAAGTGAAGAAAAGGAGATTGGGGTGGATAAGAGGATCAAAGTGAGAAGGGCTGGGATTTATTTCATAGATGTTAAGTTTTAGATGCCCATAGGCATCTAAACATTCAGGTAGAGATATCTGGAAGAAAGCTGCCACCATTGATGAAACCGTGGCAGGCAAACTTGTTAGCTCGTAAGTAGGGTCAAATCTCAGACTCTTAGTGGTTTTTAACACCTACTTCTAGGGAAGCTTAGGAGTAGAATAACTGATACTTGGATCCTCCTTAGAAACTGTGGTAAAAGTAATTGTATCTCAGTCTTCAGTGAGTTATAGAACACCCTTATCCAGGTCCCTGTCAGCCTAGAAGGAAACTTTATATCCATTTTATCTATCCTACAATTCTATCTGCTTCTAGATAGCAGAATTTATAATTTAGTTATACCTCAGCCAAATAAAAAAATTTTATATAATAAAATGGAAACTTCAAAAAATATGACAAGAGACAAATAAACTAGAAAAGAAAGTCAAGATCAGTTGAGGACAGGATTTGTGTATAACTAATCTTATAAATCAAATGTATAATACTTAGTTTTTAATTCAATACATTGCTTATAAACCATGTTAAGTATGCATTTGTTGGAGGACTAAAAAAAAGAAAAGCTGTCAATCTCCCAGTATGTTCACCAAACTTTGGCTTTCCTCTCATAAGCGCACTGAACTTTTATTTTTATTTATTTTTTTTTTTTGAGATAGAGTCTTGCTCTGTTGTCGCCCAGGCTGGAGTGCAGTGGTATGATCTCGGCTCACTGCAACCTCCCTCTCCCGGGTTCAAGCGATTCTTCTGCCTCAGCCTCCCGAGTAGCTGGGACTACAGGCATGTGCCACCACACCCGGCTAATGTTTTGTATTTTTAGTAGAGATGAGGTTTCACCATGTTGGCCAGGCTGGTCTCGAACTCCTGACCTCGGGTGATCCACCCGAGGCCTGACAAAGTGCTGGAATTACAGGAGTGAGCCACTGCATCCAGCCTAGCACACTGAACTTTTAAGAGTACTTGGGAAACTTAGTATGTTTAACACCTCCCAAAAGAATGTTAAAATGACCACAGTTTGCAAAATTGAAGAGAAAACAATGGCAACATAAGGCACAATATTGGTAATCAAGAAGAAACTATAGCCATGGATATGGAAGACATTAAAATAATTATAATGAATGCTTTGTGTAACTACATTGCTTTGACACATGGGTGTAATAATGGATGAACTTTTGGGAAAATATGAAAGGGAAAAATCTCAACAAAAAAGAAAACATAAATAGATCAATAACTGTAGAAAAATTTGAGGAAGCAGTCAAAGAATTCTTTTACAAAAGTACCACTTTGAAGCTGTGTCAAAGGTGAGTTTCTTTGTAGTTTCAAAGAACTATTTAAATAGTTTTGGAACACAGACAAAGGTGGAACAGTTCTCAGTTCTTTTCTGCAAAGGTAGATTTGATCCTTAAGTCTGACCACAAGAATAGAAAGCAAATATAGATTTTTAAAGAAATATAAAATAAAATGTTAGTTTTAACTATTTCATTGCTTATTCTTGATTCAGGGACATAAAAACATAAAGCAGCCCAGCCATGGTGGCTCACACCTGTAATCCCAGCACTTTGGAAGGCCGAGATGGCCTGATCACCTGAGGTCAGGAGTTCAAGACCAGCCTGGCCAACATGGTGAAACCCCATCTCTACTAAAAATACAAAAGTTAGCCAGGCATGGTGGCGGGCTCCTGTAATCCCTGCTACTCGGGAGGCTGAGGCAGGAGAATAGCTTAAACCCTGGAGGTGGAGGTTGCAGTGAGCTGAGATTGCACCATTGCACTCCAGCCTGGGCACCAAGAGTGAAACTCCATCTCAAAAATAGTAATAGTAATAAAGCAGTTTTATATTTCTCTAATTTCATCCTGATCACTTTGGTTATTAAAAGTCTGTCCAACTTAGTATTTTGATCTCACCCCTCGTCATGGCTTTCCCGTCCCTATACAAGCCAGTCTAATGACACAGGGAGCTGAAATGGAGAGGGGTATGGTCAGCAATTTGATTACTCCTGTTCCCTCAACTGAGAGTAGGAGGTTGATATGGCCTTCTTCTAGCACAACTCCTCCTCACTCTTCTTCTAATTTCTTTTTTCTCTTATATGGGTACAGTGGTGTGCTAAAGCCAGCTCCTACCAATTCATTAGAGCTGCTTGTTGAATTTTCAGCAATTTTGTGAGATGTTTATTAAACACTCACCATTAAAAATTAAATTATGTAAACTTAAAATTCAATGGCATACCAAAAATAAAGATAATACTCAAAACTCATCACTTCCTAATTATTGTATATTTTACTATTATTCATGGTTTTGAAGTTATTTACATCTACTATATTCATATGGTAGAAATTTGTATAACAGTATGCTACTACACATCTCTTCCAAATTTCACATTTAATTATATCACATTGGTAGAAATTGACAACGGGAGTATTTACACCACAGCAATTGGCAAACACTACAAATCAAGGCTTGAGTCGTTGTCTGTCTAGATTTAAGAAAGTGAGGAAGAAAATGTTAATGATGAAGATTAAACTTAAAAGTAAGTCTTACCAAAAAAAGTATGCCTTACCTATAGCCATTATGCTTTGAATAGCATGAAAAATAAGGAAATATTCAAAAACTATTATTTGGTTCAGCAAAAAAGTAGCTTACACCATCGATGAATGAGTAAAATTCCACATTAAAACTACACCCAAAGGCAAGGTTATTAAAATTTTACCAGCACATCCTCCTGTATGGGAGTAAAGGAGGAGGGAGAGAGAAGAAGACAAAAGTTCTTATTTCTTTCTGGACACTGTTTCCAACTTTTCCCTTAGTCATCAATCATTTTCTGGCCAACTTTAGTCATAAAGAGCACATATGAGAGATCCTCAGAGGAACACATTCTCCAACCAAGGAGAGCAGCTACAACTCTTCAAATTCTCCATCAACTCCTATACTCTCCAATATACTCCACAATTTCTTCTGCGAAGGATCCCCAGGCTTTCAGTCAGCAATCTGGGTAGAGTATCAGCAAATTGACCCAAACACAGTTACTACCTCAGTATCCATTTGACCCCCTATATTAGTCAGTTCAAGCTGCTATAAAGAATACCATACCCTGGGTGGTTTAAATAAATTTATTTGTCATAGTTCTAAAGGCTAGGAAGTCCAAGATCAGTGTCTGGTGAGGACACTCTTCCTGCTTTGCAGACAGCTGTCTTCTTCTTGTATCTTCACATGGCAGAGAGAAAGAGACAGATAGCACCTCTCTCATGTCTTATAAGGGCACTAATCCCAATCATGAGGCTACACCCTCATGACCTAATTACCTCTTAAAGGCTGCACCTCCCAAAACCATAACTTTGGGCATTTAGACTTCAATATATGAATTTGAAGGGGGGGATGCAAATATTCAGTCTGTAGAATTCCACCCCTGTCCCCCCCAAATTTACATCTTTCTTACATGGAAAATACATTCATCCCATCCCAATAGATCCAAAATTCTTAACTGGTTCAGCATCAACTCTAAAGTCCAAACTCTCAACTAAATATCATCTAAATCAGATATGGATGAAACTTGAGGTAAGAGTACCCTGAGACAAAATTTCTCTCCAGTTGTGAACCTGTGAAGGCAAACAAGTTGTTTGTTTCCAAGCTACGTTGATGGGATAGGTGTAGGATAGACATTCTCATTCCAAAAGGGAGAGATAAAAAAGAAGGGAGAAATGACAGGTCCTGAATAATTCTAAAACCATGCAAGCAAACTCTATGAGATCCTAAGGTTTGAGAATAATCCTCTTTGGTTCAAAGCTCTGCCCTCTAGATTCACTAGACTAGTGGTCCTGCCTCCAGAACCCACTCAGGCAGGGGTCTCACCTCTGAAGCTCTGCCTAGCGGGAGTTGCACACCCATGGCTCCACTGGGCAGGGGTCTTACCCTTTGAAATAGAAGTGGAGGCAGCCCTGTCCCCTGAGCACATGCCCTCTGGGCCTGTTGTGGGAGTGGCATCCCTGATTATCTTTGAATTGCTTTTGAGGTCCTTCTTCCCTTGTCTTGAAAAATAGTGCACAGTTATAGCTGAACAGCTGCATACAGTAGCTCTATGATCTGGTCCTGTAGAATCTAAGAAGTTCAACAGTTTTCTTTCATTTTTTCCCACTTTCTCTGTTTCCCTTAGTCCCAGCTGGCAGTGTTTCTGCTGGTATAATCCCATCTCTATTCCTGGCTTCTGTTGAGATGGCTGATTTGGTCCTTGTTACACATCCACACTGACCTACCTATCAAACAGTCAACTTACTATACCTTTAGTGTTCTCTCCCAAGCATACTTTTTCATTCTTTTGTAATATGAGCAGGCTGAAAATTTTTCAAATCTTTAACTTCTGGTTCCTTTTTCCTTAATAATTTCATCTTCAATTCATTTCTTTCCTCTTGCATTTTACTATAAACATCAGTAGGAACCAAATCACTCCTCAACACTTTGCTTAGAACTAACGTCAGCTAACTATCCAATTTCATTGCCTGCAAGTTCTGCATTCCACAAAATACTAAAACACAAACACAATTAAGCCAAGTTCTTTGACATTTTATAACAAGCACCACCTTTCCTCCAGTTTCCAATAACATGTTATTTACTTCCATCTGAGATCTCATCAGAATGGCCCTTACCATCCATATTTCTACCAACATTTTGTTCATCATTATTTATGGAGTCTCTAAGAAAATGGAAGCTTTTCTCTTTTCTTTTTAAGCCCTCACCAAAGTCACCTTTAAAATCTCCTTCATGGCAATGTCAGCATTTTCTAGCATGCACTTCCAAACTCTTCCAGCCTCTACCCATTAACAAATTCCAAAGCCACTGCCACATATTCAAGTACTTGTTACAGCAGCACCCCACTGCTCATTACTAATTTCTGTCTTAGTATGGGCTGCTACAACAGCACACCATAGCCTGGGTGGCTTAAACAACAGAAATTTGTTTCTCACAATTCTCGAGGCCAGGAAGTCCAAGATCAAAGTTCCAGCAGATTGGGTGTCTGGTGAGGGTATTCTTCCTGGTTTGCAGACAGCTGTTTCTTTGTATCTTCACGTCATGAGGAGATAGAGAGAAAGGCAAATACAGAGACAGGGAGAGAAGGAGTTAGACCAACTCTTCTTAGAAGAACACAAATCCTTTTCATGAGGCTATACCCTCATAACCTAATTATCTCCCAAAGCTCCCACTTCCAAATACCATAACGTTAGAGATTTAAGCTTCAGCATTTGAATTTGAGGGGGATACAAACATTCAGTCCCCAGCATTTCCCCAGAAACTCAAGTATCCTGGCCATGCCAAACAGTGTGGTGCAGGGTGTCTACTTTACTTGCTTATTCCACTCACTCCAAATTTGACATGGGGCAAATCAGCAAGTGTGGTGTCTAACAGATGTGCAACTGAGGAATAAGATGCCAGTCTCTATGAGTGATTCTTTGGGAACTCCCTCATCAGTTTTGTGGAGGAAGCATCCCTGCCCCTCCCACATTGAGAAAAGAGGAAAAAGCCACAGCAGACCCTAACAGGTCAATGACTCACAATTCTGATATTTTTCTTTTTTCCCCCACCAGTTTTCTTTTATTTGAAGGCCTAAAAGAATCTCTTGCTCCAAGTATTGGTGGATCTTTGTAGAATACAGAGTATGTATTGCTCCTTTTTACTCAGCTGTGGAGTAAAAAGTCACCTGGTCACCAATTCTAAGGCAACGGAATAATTGCCACTCAACAACTTATTTTAACAAAATGAAATCCAACACTATATTAAATAAATATTACTCCACTATGACTAAGTGGAGTAAATTTCAGGAATAAGAAAGAGTATCCTCATTTATCTCTATGACATTTTGTTGATCACTTTCTAAACTTTATTTTACTTAATTCTTACAACAATCCCTTGAGATAACTATTAACCTTATTTGACACATGAAGGACTGAGATTCAGAGTATTCAATATTCTATGGAAGTTCACATAGAGTCAAGATGCAAAGTAAGGTCTAACTTCAAAGCCTATGCTCTTTGGTTCACCACAAGGAAATTCATATCTGAATATCTTTATATACTCTGCAAATGAATTTGAAAAACATACTTTAGCAATATAAGTATTTTTAAGATAAGGATAAAATATTACCTCCTTAACAAGACTATATAGCCAGCATCATCCTTAGAAACCCTTGACTCATTCTCATTCAAGTTAGAAACAGAACAATGCCCATTCTCACTAGTATACTACACTCTCCTAGAAGTCCTCCCCAATGATATTAATAAGAACATAAGATACATTTTTTGAAAGGAACAGATAAATTGTTTTACGGAGATTACATAATTATTTTTAAAAGAGAGAACAAACTGAAAACCCATTAAAAAGTACGATGATAAGAAAGTTCAATAAAAATTTACCAAAAATCTTATGCATTCAATAATTTTTTTTTTCTTTCGAGACAGAATCTCTCTCTGTCACCCAGGCTGGAGTGCAGTGGCACGATCTCAGCTCACTGCAACCTCTGCCTCCTGGATTCAAGCAATTCTCCTGCCTCAGCCTCCCGAGTAGCTGGGACTAGAGGCACATGCCACCACACCCAGCTAATTTTTGTATTTTTAGTAGAGATGGGGTTTCGCCATGTTGGCCAGGCTGGTCTTGAACTACTGACCTCAGGTAATCCACCCCCCTCAGCCTCTCAAAGTGTTGGGATTACAGGCATTAGCCACCGCGCCCGGCCTATTAGGCATTCAATGAATATTAAACATGTACTATGTACCAGTCATGCTATAGGTGCTAAAATACCACAGTGAATAAAACACATAAATAGTGTGCCCTCAGAGTTTACAATCTAGGATAAGATGGGGAGAGAGATAATAAACTAAATAAACAAATGAATATATAATATAAATTTACCAGTGATGAATTCTATAAAGGAAAATATAGTAAATTAAGGGAATTAAAATCAACAGGGATTACTATTTTAGATGGGGGAAGTGGGGTGGGCTGGAAAGTTCTTTCTGAAGAGGTGGAAATGTGAGTGGAGACTGAAATGAAAGAGTAGGCCACGTCAACCCCTTGTGGGGAGAATACTACAGGCAGAGGAAAGAGCAAGGTCCTTAAGTGGAGCCTAAATTCCTTTCCCTGAACCAAACAGGTAGAAAATTTGCTCAGCGTTCATGTGGAGCTGAGAGGTGAAGGGGTATGCAGAGAGAGGCCTGGAGTGGCATTCAGTGGAAATTCTGCTACTTAGAAATGAGAACTGGGGGAAAAGTTTCTGTCTGTTAGGGAGCATTTTGAATTTTAATCAAGTCTGATAGGAAACAGTTGAAGGAAATGATAGTCACATTTGTATTTTACAAGTGTTGCTATGGCTGTATTGCGAAGAGAATGTTGAGGACAAGTGTAATAGCAGGGAGAGCAAACAGAAGAAGGCTAGAGACATAGGGAAGGGGTTCAGATGAAAAATAAAGGGGTCTTGGATTTGGTTGGGAGCAATGAGGAAAGAGGTGTTTGGATTTGGAATCTATTTCAAAGAAAGACACAGTATTTGCTGATAGGTTGGGAGTGGAAAAAGAGAGAAAGAGAAATAAAAGATTTCTGCAAACTTTTTGGCCTAACCCTCTGGTTGAATGGAGATGGGGAAACCTGGGTGAGGAGAAGATCAGGAAGGGGATGGTGGAATCAATAATTTGGTTTTGAATATGTTAAGTTCAAGATACTTATAATTAAGCTAAGTGCAGGAGTCATGTGGGCAGTTGGATATATAAATCTGAAGTTCAGAGAAGAGGTTAGAGTCTGGACTATAAATTTGGGACATTGGCCTATAGACAACAGTTACAGTGTGGGACTGGCTTATACCAACTAAGGGTGAGTATCTGAGGTCTGAGGGCTGAGTCATGGGTTGTTCTAGCATTTAGAGGTCAGAAAGAGTATCAATTATGTAATACTATTAATTTTCTAATATACCATCACTAGCCAGTTAAGTAATTTAGAGGAGGATAATTTGTCTTTACAATAAATAAATGCTGTGATCCTTTCTAGTACCTGAATTCCCTAACTCTATGTCCCACCACTTTGATTCAGGTCCAGTAATGTCCTCAATGTCTCACTGAAGTTATTTCCAGCATATTTTTCTGAAAGGGTTAATCAGCTTGTGAATAAGTTTCTTGGAGTGCCCTCAATGCTATCACAGCAGCAAGTAGTTTTCTGTCCCCCTCCACTTTAAACGACTAAAACTAATATTTTCAGCTCCTATTTAATCAGTCCAATGTTTCACACTTGGTACTGTGACAACATTAACATAACATCCAAGTCTGTATAACTAGGACTTCACATTCCTCCAAATTTATTTTTTAGATTTATTTTGTAATTTTTCTCATTATTTTAATTTAAATTAATTTTTATTTCTTCCAGGCATGTCTCTTTCAAATGTGAGCCTGAACCTAGAAAGAGTAATTTTGAAAAGTCAAATTTAAGACCATTCTTTATTCAAACAAATGTAAAAAATAAAGAAAGTGAGTCAACAGGTAATGCTTTGTGTAACATATTTACTTCTTTGATTTATTAATGGGTGCTTTATTTATTTTATTATTTACCGATGTGTGTCTTAAAGGTTCTTGATAATTTGATCTCTGTCAAAAGCATTTCCATGAACTATAAAAAAGAACTTACTAAGAAGAAGAGATGTTAAATATCAGAATGGACAATTTATACAATTCACAAAATAGGAATATATTTTTATGTTTATAGTGTTATGTGTTGTTTTCTTCTAGAAAGAAAATCTCTGAGTTTCCTTTCAGCTCAATGCTGAGAATTTCCTTGTTATTGTTTTTTAGAAGTCAAGTATGAACAGCTTGCTTAATAGAAACTTACTTTCAAGTTAGAAATTTTAGGAATCTGGCTGGGTGGGCACGCTGGCTTACGCCTCTAATCCCAGCACTTTGGGAGGCCGAGGCGGGTGGATCCCCTGAGGTCAGGAGTTCGAGACCAGCCTGGCCAACATGGCGAAACCCCGTCTCTATTAAACGTACAAAAATTAGCCGGGCATGGTGGTGCGTGCCTGTAATCCCAGCTACTCAGGAGACTAGGCAGAAGAATCGCTTGAACCCAGGAGGCAGAGGCTGCAGTGAGCTGAGATCGTGCCACTGCACTCCAGCCTGGGTGACAAGAGCGAGACTCCATCTCAAAATAAAAAAGAAATTTTAGGAGTCCGTGAGCTAGGAATCAGCATTATCAGTTCTCAGAGAATTTGAGCTTTTCGTGTTGCCTTCGTTTTTCTCTTTCTCTCCATTATCAAACAATCATTCAATTGCATAATTCTCATCAACCTTCTTAACTGAGGTTTCTTGACTCCACATCACCCCCTATTGCTTAATTTCTCTATTATGCTTCATAACTTGATTTCTCAAAGGATTTGTTATACACATTGTTATTTTATTTCTCATGATTCACTTTCATAATGTCATATTTCCTTATGTGTCTTATTATCTTTGAATGTGTGCTGGACGGTATTTGGAAAATTATTTATAGGAACAATTTGAGAACTAGGGTGATGATACGTTACTCCAGAAAAGATTTTTTTTTTTTTTATTGTTTATGCCAGGTATATGGAGGCAGTACTTGTCAGAACATACTAAAGCATTCAAGGCTTCACTTTCCCTAAAACATCCAGGTGGCAATCTTAACTATTCTAGTTCACCCTAAGGTTGTAACCCTTTTGGATCCCAGGTAAAATGAATAGGTGTGGGGGTTTTTTGTGTGTGGGGGAAGGGAACTGGAGAACATTTAAATATCAAAACTTTGGACCTTTGGTCAGCTTTTTGTTTTTTTCTATCTCAAGCCATGAAGCTTCCAAAACTTGATCTTACCTTCACATCACAAATACTCTCAGGGAAAAAGTGGCTTGGCATGTTGGGCTTCCCTATCTGAGTTCTTATCTTCTCCTAGATTTAAGACCAGGGATCCCTTATCATCTTTTAAGTCAATGATTCTCTTTAGACTTTAAAAAATATTCAATCTAGCCTTTTAAGGTGTTTTCAGCAGGAGGGCTGTTACTAATCACCTGGCCTTCCATAATGGTAGCAAAAATCTCTAATCCATTTTCTTTCCTTAAATCATATAGTGATCTTTTAAAAGTAGGCTGATCCTGATTAAAGCCTCTTCAGCGGATTCTCATTGTACTTAGTATGAAACTTGTACTTCTTACAAAGACCTGGCCGGGCACGGTGGCTCATGGCTGTAATCCCAGCACTTTGAGATGCCAAGGCAAGTGGATCACTTGAGGTCAAGAGTTTGAGGCCAGCCTGACCAACATGGCGAAACCCTGTCTGTACTAAAAATACAAAATTAGCCGGGCATGGTAGTACACACCTGTCATCCCAGCTACTTGAGAGGCTGAGGCAGGAGAATCCCTTGAACCCAGGAGGCAGAGGTTGCAGTAAGCTGAGATTGCACCATTGCACTCTAGCCTGGGCAACAAGAGTGAAACTCCATCTAAAAAAAAAGAAAGAAAAGAAACAAAGACCTGTATATTGTGAACCTTGTGTGTGTATTCAGCCTCATTCCCTACCTCCCTGGCCTTCATTTAAATTGCATCTTCAACCAGGCAGGGTGGTTCACACCTGTAATCCCAGATCTTTGGGAGGTCAAGGTAGGCAGATCACTTGAGGTCAGGAGCTCAAGACCAGCCTGGCCAACATGGTGAAACCCCATCTCTACTAAAAATACAAAAATTAGCCGGGTGTGGTGGTGCACACTTGTAATCCCAGCTACTTGGGAGGCTGAGGCATGAGAATCACTTGAACCCAGGAGGTGGAGACTGCAGTGAACTGAGATGGTGCCACTGCACTCCAGCCTGGGCGACAGAGCAAGACTCTATCTCAAAATAAATAAACAAATTGCAACTTCATTAGCCTCTTTTCAGTACAACTACCAGATTGCCTGAAAGGAATATATATTTTCCCCTCTGCCTAGACACACCAATACTCTATTCATGCAACTTGTAGCTCATTTGCATATTTTGGTTAATGTCATCTGTTCAGAGAGGCGTCCTCTGACTACGCTATCAACAATATACCTCTTTTATGGTTCTCCCTCACCAAAGTGTGTTTATTTCTGTTACAGAATAAATTTCAATTATTCACCCCTTGGTTTTTTGTTTTTTGGTGGTTTTCTTTTTCTGACACGGTCTCACTCTGTTGCCCAGGCTGGAATGCAGCAGTGTGGTCACGGCTCACTGCAGCTTCGACCTCCCTGGCTCAGTAATCCTCCCACCTCAGTCTCTTGAGTAGCTGAGACTACAGACACACCACCACACTCAGCTAATTTTTGTACTTTTTTTTTAGAGACAGGGTTTCACCATGTTGCCCAGGCTAGTCTCAAACTCCTGGGCTCCAGTGATCCACCTGTCCTGGCCTCCCAAAGTGCTGGGGTTATAGGTGTAAGCCACTGCACAAGTCCAATGTCTTGTTTTTTTGTTTGTTTATTTTCCATATTACCCACTAAAATGTATGCATCATTGGGCAGGAGTCACAATTCCAGAGTCCATCAGTGTCTGGCATATAGTTGATCAACAAATAACTATTGATTGAATGACTACCAGACTCCGTATTAAATTTGTTACATCTATTATTTCATTTAACTCAGAAAGTATTTCTATAAGTGCTATTGTTTCCAGTTAACAAATGAGGAAAGTAAGACTCACAGATGTTAAGTAACTTTCCTATGGCTATGGCTATGTAACCCACACAAAAAGGTGCAATTTGGACCCAGGCTATCTAAGTCCAAAGTCTGTATGCCTGACCCCTGCACCATACTTACTTTAAGAATATCCATTGGATGATAATTCAGATTACTAAAACTCATAACTGAATATGAGAGAAATGCAGGTAGAAGGGACTATTTCTATTTCTCTTTTCAAAGGAATTAGCCAAAATATTTTTTGAATAACACATATGATTCTATTTTATTTAGAAATCCATCATTTTCCAAGACAATATAGCTTTATCATATAATAGTAAATAATTGAAAGTTATAGTCTGTTAATAGAAATTCACTTTAAGGCAAATTATTCTAAAATAGATTTAGCTCTAACCATGTACAAGCAATGCATATGTAAGTAAATAAAATTATTCTTTTACATTTCTTAAAAGTTTACTGCAGTGGAGAAAATGGTTGATTGGGTTTAATTAGAAGTAACTTAATAGCATGGAAATACTTATGTTTGTTTCTTTAGAGCCAGTAGAAGAACATCTAAAATCAAGATCTATTAGACCCTATCTTTATCTTAAGGATACAACTGAGGTAGGTGTAATTTGTATACTCAGTAATTACTTAATAGAAATTCAAATTAGTCCTAATAATTTTATATATGCTCCTACAAATCCAAAATTCAAGTGAATTTTAGGATTCAAAATGATAAAATGTTAAAGTGATTTCATCTCTGATATTATGTAAAACTTTATGTATGGAGACAGTAGAGAAGATAATATATTATTTGTTGGAGATATTTCAATACAGTAGAGATTATTGAACATGGTAAGGACTAGCACTTATAAAGTCAGTTAAGACAGAGCATCATAAAAAACATACATGTAAAACTTAAACATCCAAATTTATTAAATAAAAATATATATCAATTTGTTAATCTTTTAATGTGTAACCAAGACCTTTTTTTGAGTATGCTATGTGTGGTGGTTAATTAAATTACATAATTGCAATAGCAACTACCAGAAAGAGGTTTGGAACCAACACTATTGACTCTTGATAATCACTTCAGCAGAAGTTCATGGGCATGCTGAAGAGTGACTAGCTCTGAGCATTGAGTGTGCCTTGGACATCATTCAGTAGTTTTTATATAGGGAACTATAGAGATAAATTAAACCAGAGAATTAGCAAGGGAAAGTCACTTTAGAGAGTCTCTTAAGTATTAATTTTTGTATTTTATATATATATAATATATATATAAAGAAATATGGAGAAATACAGACTTAGGGCCATAATTAATAACAAATTTTTGTTGCATATTCCTATATTTTATAATTTAAAAAATATTAAAAGGATTATCAGTTTTATCTTCATCTACATGGTTTATTTAATTTCATGTTTTATTTAGGTTCATGGTTAATAAAAGTCCCCCAAGCTATGTATTACAACATAACGTCACAATCAGGTTACTTATCATAATACATTTACTAGCATCTTATGTAAAAATTATAAAATTTTAGTTTTTTAAAAATAGAAATATCCATGTGATATTTTAAATGCAAATAGTAGAGAAACACTAATAAGCACACACAGCCCTTTCATTCTCTGCTTCCTCTTCTAATTTCCTCTTTTCAGAAGCAACCAAGTTTAACCTTTTTGGGTTTCAGTACCTTATAAGATTAACTCCATATTTCTAAAGAATGAGTTTCTACTGCTGATTTTAATTTATCAACTTTAAACATTATCTAGTGAAAATCAATAACAAAGATTGTTTATACCACCGTGCATCCTGCCTCTCCCCACTTTCCTCTTCTGGATCTTTGATAGTTACTTTTTTCCTTTCTTCTATTGTTAATTTTTGCAACTTGAAATAATATATCTAACTTTTTTCCCATCATTTTTAATCACTAACTCCTGATTCCCCTTTATATATGATGAAGATCTTAACAGTTTTATCCTGTCTTCCAACTATCTTCCACACTTCTTCCCTAGGTCAAGTATATATTTATTTACTTTCACATTTTTTAAGTCAACTATTATATTCAGCTTTGAACTCTGATTAAGTTGTTTGTAGGTTAATTCTAAAACTCAAAATACTATTAACAGCATTTATATTATTATTTATAAATAATCATTTCATTTACATTATAGTAATGTCTCTGTAATAATCATTACCGAACAAAGTAATGTGCTTGGATTACCTTTCTTCTCAGTGGGTACAATTTAACAACAATGGACTCTTTTTTCTCTATCTATTACTAAAAAAATGCCATGTTTTAGTTTCCCTCATATTTAGACCTTAACTGTTCAGTACACTTTTATGTTTTTTCTTGGACTTTCTAATGGCCTTTCTTTTTTCTTGTGGGAAATGATGATAATAATATCAAACATGTAATTGCATATGTGCCTCAAGCACTATTCAAAGAAAAATTACATCCTCAACAACCCAATGACGTAAATACTATTATCCCTGAGAAAAAAGAGGCACAAGGAAGATAAGCAACTTGCCTGGGATCAAATAGTATATGACAGAACCAGGAAGAACCCAGCAGTTTGATTCATGCTCATTGTCACTAAGATCTGCAGCCTCCAAAAAAGAAGCATGTAACTTTCTTATCATATGTGAAAATGATCAAGTTTTTTATTCATTCTCTCTATTGTGTGTAATCCATTCCAATGTTCTTGGAGGAATTGTTCATGAAGCCCAGTGACTTCTTGTTCTAAATTTGACCTGTTACCTATAAGCCTACTTTTACATTGTCATTCCATTCCTTTGCTCAGTTCCTCAGATTCTAGTATCCCATGTCTCCTTATTCCTTTTTTTTTTTTTTTTTTTTTTTTTTTTTTGAGACGGAGTCTCGCTCTGTCGCCCAGGCTGGAGTGCAGTGGCGCCATCTCGGCTCACTGCAAGCTCTGCCTCCTGCGTTCAGGCCATTCTCCTGCCTCAGCCTCCCGAGTAGCTGGGACTACAGGCGTCAGCCACCATGCTGGCTAATTTTTTTGTATTTTTAGTAGAGACGGGGTTTCACCGTGTTAGCCAGGATGGTCTCGATCTCCCGACCTCGTGATCCGCCTGCCTCGGCCTCACAAAGTGCTGGGATTACAGGCATGAGCCACCGCACCGGCCTACTTTTAATTCTTTAAGGTATTTTCATACTGTTTTCCATAGTGTTTATACTAGTTTACATTCCCACCAACAGTGTAAAAGTGTTCCCTTTTTACCACATCCATGCCAAGGTCTATTTTTTAAAAAATTTTTAAATTATGGCCATTCTTTCAGGAATAAGGCAGTATCTCATTGTGGTTTTAATTTGCATTTCCCTGATAATTAGTGATGTTGAGCATTTTTTCATTTGTATATCTTATTTTGAAAATTATCTATTCATATCCTTTGCCTACTTTTTGATGGGATTATTTGTTGGTTTTTGTTGTTTGTTTGTTTTTTTGAGACAGAGTCTTGCTCCATCACCTAGGCTGGAGTGCAGTGGCACGATTTCTGCTCACTGCAACCTTCACCTCCTGGGTTCCAGTGATTCTACTGCCTCAGCTTCCTGAATAGCTGGGACTACAGGTATGCACCACCATGCCCAGCTGATTTTTGTATTTTTAGTAGAGATGGGGTCCATGTTGGCCAGGCTGGTCTTGAACTCCTGACCTCAGGTGATTGCTGATTTTTATCATATGTGGTTGCTATGGTCTGAATGTGTACCCTCAAAATTCATATGTTGAAACTTAATAGCCAATGTGATGGTATTAAGGAGTGATGCCTTTAGGAGGTGATTAGGTCATGGGGCAGAGCCCTCACGAATGGGATTAGTGACCTTATAAAAGAGATTCTAGAGAGCTGTTTGCCCCTTCTCCCATGTGAGGACACAGCAATAAGGCACCACCTATGAATCCGAGAGCGAGCCCTTACTAAACACTAAATCTGCTGATGACTTGATCTTGGACTTCCCAGCCTGAAAATTGTGAGAAGTAAATTTTTATTATTTCTATTACCCTGTTTAAGGGATTTTATTATAGCAGCTTGAATAAAATAAGACATTGGTACATTTTTATTTGTGATATTTAAGAATGAAGATGGGGTTAATTTTTCCAGGAAGCTGCCACTAATTTTACAAGTAAGTCTATCCCCAGAATGAAAACCTAACTGTTCTGTGTATATGGCAGAGTTCTCAACCACCTTACTTTAGGATATGAGGGCAGGGAGTAGGCAGTTTGACTGGTAGCCTTTTTTGCAGATGCTACCATAAAGAGAATTTTGCTCTCAGGAGCCAAAACCCACACTAGCAGGAAGTTTATTAAGAGAAGGACACTCTTTGTTTTAGTGATCTCGGCTCACTGCAACCTCCACCTCCTGGGTTCAAGCGATTCTCCTGCCTCAGCCTGCCGAGTAGCTGGGATTACAGGCATGCGCCACCACGCCCGGCTAATTGTTTGAATTTTTAGTAGAGACAGGGTTTCTCCACGTTGGTCAGGCTGGTCTCGAACTCCCCACCTCAGGTGATCCACTCACCTCAGCCTCCCAAAGTGCGGGGATTACAGGCGTGAGCCACTATGCCAGGCCAGATGTCTATCTTACCTGATATTTATAGAACCACTGCAGCCTTCTTATGCATCCCGTTTACATAGCATATATTTTTCCATCAGTTTACTTTCAACTTATATTTATAGTACATTTTTTATATACAGCATATACTTGAGTCTTGCTTTTTAAAAAATCTATTCTGACAATTTCTTTTCATTGAAATGTTTATTTTATTAATGTTTAATGTAATTGGTGATATGGGTGAAATTAAGTCTATCATTTTATTCTTTTTTGTTTGCCCCTGTGCTTTTTGTTTCTCTGTTCCTTCTTTCCTGCCTTTCTTTGGATTATTTGAATATTTATCAAAATTTCACTTTAATATATCTGTTGGATTTTAGTTATCTCTCTTTTTATTTGTTTGGGATTTTTAGTGGTTTCCGTATAGATTAAAGTATACATCATCAACTTGTCACAGTCTACTTAGAGTAAAATTGTACTACTTCACATAAAGATGTAGAAATCTTTAAATTGTATAGTTCCATTTACTTCCCCAAACCTTTGCACTATAGTTTCTGTATGTAATACTATAAACCCTACAGGACAGTATTATAATTTTTGCTTTCAGCAATTTGCTGTGTTTTAAAGAAAGTAAAGGGGACAAGAGTCTCCCTCTGAGGCTCTTATTAAACATGTCAGACTTTTCATTATTGTCCTACAGGTTCCTGAATCTCTATTTTTTCATATTAAGTAATTTCTATTGATCTATCTTTAAGTTCTCAGATTCTCCCCTCAGATATTTTCACTTTGTTTTAAGCTCAACCAGTTAACAGATATTACATGTTTTAATTCTATAATTTCCATTTTAAAAAATAGTTTCTGTTTCTCCGGTAAGATTCCCTATGTTTTTCCTTTACTTTGAACATATTTTACTTTTTTCATGAAGCATAGTTTTTGTTTGTTTGTTTGGCTGGTTTCTGTTTTTGTTTGTTAGATGAAGTCGTGCTCTGTCACCCAGGCTGGAGTGCAGTGGCGCAATCTCAGCTTGCTGCAACCTCTGCCTCCCAGGTTCAAGCGATTCTCCTGTCTCAACCTCCTGAGTAGCTGGACTACAGACGTGTGCCACCACTCTCAGCTAATTTTTTTTTCTTTTTTTGTATTTTTAGTAGAGACAGGGTTTCACCATGTTGGCCAGGCTGGTCTCGAACTCCTGGCCTCAAGTGATCCACCCGCCTCAGCCTCTTAAAGGGCTGGGATAACAGGCATGAGCTGCCGTGCCTGACCCATCAAGCATAGTTATAATAGCTGCTATAAAATCTATTAATTCCAATATCTGGGTCATTTCAGGCTTGGTCTTGTTGGGTTATCTTTTATGTTAACACTAGGTCTCACTTTCTTGGTTCTTTTAGGTCAAGTTGGATTGATCTTGGGCATTGTGACTATTGTATTGTGAAGACTCTGCACTCTCTTGTCCTACAAAAATTATTGATGTTTTTGTTCTAGCAGTCAATTATCTTGATTGTACTCAGAATACAAAATGACTCGTGAACAGCAGCTCAAATTTTAATTCAGTTGTTTTATCCTTAGCTGTCTGCTTGCAGGAGTTTCTAAACATGCATGGTTTAGGGGTTAACCAGAGACTTGAACAGGTAGTCCCTTACACATAGGAGTCTCTCATGCAGGGAATGGAGCTGCCATCTTTGGCTCTCTTCTTTCTAGCATTCCTTTCTCACTTTCCAGCAGCTCTGTTTGTCCTAACTTTGTCTTCTGGTTCTTCTGGCCAGAAACAACGTGGTTTTTCTAGCAGAATTTTAGATGCTCCATACAATGCCAACTTCAGTCTGCCTTCAAGCTAAAAGCTATACAAATAGCAGCTCCACCCCATGCAAGTCAGTTATACCAAGTGTCAATACTTTTTCTTTGCCACCTGCTTTTGTTTATTCTCCAGGACCTTAAGGTCATGTGTGTGCATGCATGTGTGTGTGTGTGTCTGTGTGTGTGTCTGTGTGTGTGTCTGTGTGTATTTTGTCTAGAGCATTTTGTCTAGAGTCTATGGTTTTCATCTGTGGGAGGGTAGGTCTGATAGAGGATTACTCAGCTACGTTGAATCAGAATTCCCCAGTCTTTACTATTTTTATTATATTTTCCTGTTGCATTATTGGGCACTCCCTAAAAATTTATAAATAATTGTGGTGATAGATGTTACTGTTGCCATGTCATAGACTAATATATTACCATTAATGATGATGTTGGCTGTTACTTTTACACATATATAGAATTTTTTAAATTATGTTTAAATATTCTTTTTTTTTTTTTTTTTTTTGAGAAATAGTCTCGCTCTGTTGCTCAGGCTGGAGTGCAGTGGCTTGATCTCAGTGCAATGCAACCTCTGCCTCCCAGATTCCAGCAATTCTCCTGCCGCAGCTTCCCGAGTAGTTGGGACTATAGGCGTACACCACCACACCCGGCTTATTTTGGATTTTTAGTAGAGACGGGGTTTCACCACGTTGGCCGGGCTGGTCTTGAACTCCTGACCTCAGGTGATCCACCCGCCTCGGCCTCCCAAAGTGCTGGGATTACAGGCACGAGCCACCGTACCTGGCCAATATTCTTTATCACATTAAGAAAATATTATCTTTATGTAGTTTTATTATAGTTCTTATCAATAATAGTTGTTAAATTTATCAGATTTATCAGTATTGCAGCTGTTAAAATAATTACAACATTTTAATCCTTTTTGACCTATGGGTAATGAGTTATAATAACATATAGAAACCTTTAATTTCTTGATGGTTTTATTTGGCTGTTGTAAACTTGTACTAGTCTAGTGTTGATTGGTATTTTATTTTAAATTTGTGAAAAATCCTGAAGTCATAGGTAAGATTAGCTTGTAAGCTTCTTTATTTTTCCAGACTTTGGCTTTTAAGACTATGCCAGCTTATAAAAAGAACTGAAAAGCTGTTTACTTTTTAATTTAATTGATATTATATTGCATGAGAACAATTTGTTCCATGAAAGCTTAAAACAACTTATTTGTAAATCTATCCGGGGCTGGTTACTCTTTTAAACTATGTTTTAAAGGTAGTTATTAGAAACTCCCTTACATTCCTTTTAAGAATTATTGATATGCTCCAATTTTCTATTCCTCATGACAATTTTGTTAATTTTTCTTTAGGATAAATTTGCTTTATTTGTCTTTCAAGACATCTGTGGTCTATCCCTCTCACAACTCGTCTTCTTACCTATTTGAACTTATCTTTTAATCCCAATAAATAATAAATGCCTTCCTGCTATAAATATGCTATTTTTCTGCCTGTCTTATGAACATTCCAGGCTTATGCTGTTGACCTCGCCTGCAATGCCCTCATCTTTTAAATCTTAGCATTTTCTTCTTCCTCTATGAAATCTTTCCTGTCTATTCTAGTCTTTATTGATATCCCTCCCTTTTTAAACTCTTCCTCATTTGTAGATTGTATTGATTGGTTTGCTTTTTAGTAATATTACTCTATTTTATTTACTACTGTTTTGTGTATGCAAATCCTATCTATACCATAAAAATGTGAGGTCTTTGTGGCCTAGACTTTTGTCATATACCTTATTTTTATTTCATATTATCCAGAACTAAATATATTCTGTGCCTAGTGTGAAAAACATATGGGTTCTAAACATTTATTTGTTTAGCTTGTTAACAGAGAATCACAAAGTATTCAGTTTATATTAACATGTGCATATGTATATTTTGAGCGCCTAGATATGTACATTTTAATAAAAAATATATGGACCCAATCTGCCAATCTGATACTCTAGCTTAGGAAAAGCCAGATCATTGTTTTTCAGTTTCTTCTCTACTCAGAACTGATCTGCTGTACCTACTCTATGTTAGAGAGAGTAATAGTTTGTCAAAACAGAGAAGGCTTTATTTCCCAGCATTTGAACTTTAGACTTCCCCTGAACTTAGAGAGATAAATTTTATGTGACTATAAAGGCTAAGTTTTATAGACAAAGAAAATAAAAATTAGTAAAAAATGTGAGCATAAGCAGATCTTTTAACTTGTGAAGGTTTGTTTTTTTATTGATAATGCCCATCTCATAGTAGGTTTTTTTGAGAATTAAATAAATCACATTTTAAAATATTTAAAGAACCAGACAGCTGTTAGTTATCATAATTCAATATTGCAAATGTGAATACTCAAGCATAAATTATTTATTAATATACACGGAAAGAAATAGTTTCTAAGATAATTTTCCATTTTTCCTGATGTTTAGATGGAAAATGCAGGGCCTTTGAATGTTCTATATTCACAGCATAGACAAGCATGTAGAAGATCACTGGGTTCTACAGACTTTTCTCCTATGTTCAACATTCAGTCTAATGCTCATAAAAAGGAAAAAGACTCTACTTTATTTACAGGTATACAAATTGCATGTTTACATTGAAATAACTGAAAGTTATCTGCACCTAAAATTAGTGTGTAAGCATTAAGAAAATCTTTATCCAAGGAATATTCGTCTTTGATCATACTACCATAACGATCTTTCTCCAGCCTTCTTTTCTTACTCTTAAACCTATCCACACCACACTGATTCTAGTCATATTTAATAGGCTGTTTTACTTAGTTAACCAAATTACTGTGTGATTTGATTCATTGTCTGTTGTCTATGCTTAAAACATATGTTTTCACCTGATGGATTCCTGATTGTCTTTAATAGTTAAGAGATTTTAGCCCTAAGTAAAAGAAAATCCAACTGCCTGTAGCTTAAACAGTAAAGATATTTATTATCTAAAAAAAAAACAAGAAGTCCATCAGAAAGGCTTTTGCAGGGTTGACTCATTCAGGGGCTTTATAATGTCATCAGATATTCAGTTCCATGCATCTATTTGACAGACCTGGAGTAGTTACTGTCTGCTGCTAAGGTTTCCACTACAGATGCAAGAAAAAAAATATTCTCGAGTTTTCTGTCTGTCTGATTGTGGCCTCTGAGATTGAATAGAGGAATACAGTGGGGGAAAAAATGTCCAGTTCCTCTCTCTTTCGTCAATGGTCTTAGCAGGTAGCTTGTCCTCCTATCCTTGCTGTACAATATGATGACAACTATTCAAGATAGGTTGTGTGACTGGAAATGCTTTTTATGCCTTGGTAAGAATGAAAAAAAAATGTTTTCCCAACGCCAACTCCCCCGTATGTTTCTTTGTCTCAAATAGCCTCATGCATCCACATCTAAACCAATAAATCATCATTGGCTTAGATCACTTTTTCCAACTTTTAACATGGCCACAGTAAGAAATGCTTTTTATATTACACACACACACACACACACACACACACACACACACACACACGGAGCAGAAGATTCATCTTCCTAGAGTCCTAATTATCTCTCTTTCTCTCTGTCAGTTGAATTTGATTGTAGTATTTCTGTATTTTGTACAGTAACTACTAAGGATCCAGATGATACATTCTGTTATACTCTATTCTACTTCATTTTTTAAAATGCTGTTCAGGATACACTAAATTGATTTCGCAAGACATGAATGGTTTGTAGCTCACCATTTTGAAAAACACAGCTTAGATTACTCAGGATTTACTCTATTGAGCCAGGAAAGATCCCAGCCTTCTTTGAAGGACGCGGTTGCTTGGAAGGAGGTAAGATTGGAGTGCTGTTAGTAAAGAAGGGTAAAAAAGAACTGTGAAGTAGGCAACCCTCTGTTTACTACATTATCCCTTAAGGTTCCATTAAGATGCCACATCTTCTCTGAAGTGTTCCCTCAAAGCAGCGACAGGATGTTCTATTAGTTCAGCAAAGCAATCTCCCTTTAGAAAAGTTCTTAAGCCTCTCTGAAGAAGCATTTTATCCTTTTTATCAAAGTCTCAAAGTAAGACTTCTGGGAAAGTTGTCAACATAAATACAAGTTCAGTTCATCCTGGCCAAAATGAATAACACAAAAAGAAAATAGGGAAGAAAAATTTATTAAATTGAAAGTGGGACATTTTATCCCTAACTCAAAGAAAATCTGCCTCATATTATAATATGAAGCAGTTTGAAAGAATCTTCCAGAAGTCAGTGCACAATTCCATTTCTTAGGAGAAAGGAATAACCATTGAAAGAGCCAGTAGAGAATATTCTGAAAAAAATCCCCTGTTATAACCACCTACTCCATCACACACACACACACACACACACACACACACACACACACTCTTACATTCAACATAAAGAAATGGAGTTTGTTACCAATGATAGGTCAGAGAAAGATGCAAAATTGTCCCCCTTGGGATTCCTTTCCTTATTGTAAGTCAGCAGCATTCAAAGTCTGTGTTAGCAATATTTGGAGAGAAATGTAACGATCATAACTTGTCACTTTTTTTCTCTGGCTTCCTCGTATTGCTTTAGATGTACTCAAAGCTAGGGTAAAAACCTCCTAACTTGAAGGAGCAGGGACTTGAAAGGAGGGTTGATAACAGAAGAGACAAAATACAGTTTTCTAGAAATGATTTTTGGACTGTGACCAACGATAACTGTGCAAAGAAAAAACATGATTCCATCAAGTAGCCTGTGAGCCATGAGGCCCTTACTTGACTAAATTCCTCCCCCAACTACCAAACTAAGTTGCTTACCCAAAGAGAGAGATAAAAAAATGAAACCCAAGTGACACCTCACACATAAACAGAGTACTCACCGCCACCACCACCACCCTGGGGTCATGAAAAGGTTTCACAAAATATACAGTGCCCAGAAATAAACTTCTCCACGATCTTCCAGGGCTCCAGCTTCCTTAGCAGCCTACTGAGGTAGCTAAGTGCCTGAACTCATAATATAAGGTAACGACATCTGGATTTACATATTAATTTCTAAGGGGAGAGTTTAACAGTGCCCAAGTAAACAGGGAGAACATCAAAAAAATGTACATCTATTGTTTTTGGACAAATAATAAGCCCAGATTTAAGTGATCTGATTCAAAGTTGAGCAGAAAGAAAAATAAGAACAAATCATGGGAC
This sequence comes from Homo sapiens, assembly GCF_000001405.40. Classification (NCBI taxonomy): domain Eukaryota; kingdom Metazoa; phylum Chordata; class Mammalia; order Primates; family Hominidae; genus Homo; species Homo sapiens. The sequence continues at coordinate 67,100,650 of NC_000001.11, read as the reverse complement.
CTATGAAAAAATTCCTTAGCAAAGAGAGGTCATAATTTAAAAGATAGCTGATGGTCACATTTTGGCAGAATTTGTACCCCATGAACCAGGAAAAAACTTAAACAATAATTGCTCTATATGCTGAAGGAGTTAAAGAAAAACAGAATTCTATGAAATAAGATTTGGAAATGTAAAAGATAATCATCAAGGATGAAATGATGCTACCAGAATTTAAAAATATTTTTAAAGAAACAAGTAATGCTACTAGGTAACTTAAAATTATATTAAAAGCAGCAAAGAGTAAAATAAACATTGAAGTAAACCAAATTGAAATCTGAAAAGCAGGTGTAGGAATATATACAACGTGCAGTGTAAGGGGACAAAAATATGACCACATTAGACAAGATAGTATTTTGAGGGAAGAAAACAGGTATCCAACACTGAGATAACCAGTGTGTCTGAAGGAAAGAACAGAACAAATCAAATAAATTGACTAAAAGGGGGCAGGGGAAAACGATCTGAGAATAATGGAAATACTCTATATCTTGATTTTACTTACATGAGTGCATATATTTATCAATGTTTATCAAACTGTGCATTACATTAAAATATGTGTATTTTATTGTACGTAAATTATACCTCAGTAAAGCAAAGTTAAAGAAAAAAACAAAAGGCTGACATGACAGAAGTCTAAAACACCAAAAATACAATAGATTAAAATAACTGCAAAAAGCTTATACAAGTGCAGCAAATATTCACAATATTTCATTTAAAATACAAAATACTGTTCGTTTTTAAAGACAATGCCAATTAAATACATAGTAGTTTATCAAATTCTGTGCTCATCATTGACTCCTGTATCCTGCCATTTGTGGTTTACTTATTTATTTCTTTTGAGACAGAGTTTCACTTTTGTTGCCCAGGCTGGAGTGCAATGGCGCAACCCTGGCTTACTGCAACCTCTGCCTCCTGGGTTCAAGCGATTCTCCTGCCTCCTCCCAAGTAGCTGGGATTACAGGTGTGCACCACCACGCCTGGCTAATTTTGTATTTTTAGTAGAGATGGGGTTTCACCATATTGGTCAGGCTGCTCTCAAACTCCTGTCCTCAGGTGATCCACCTGTCTTGGGCTCCCAGAGTGCTGGGATTACAGGCGTGAGCCACCACACTCAGCCCCATCTGTGTTCTATTACATTTTTCCTGAAGAGCATGTGTTAGTCATTCTTTCAATGGTGACCTGTTGGCTATTAACTCTTTTCATCCTTGTATATCTGAAGTGCCTTTATTTTGCTGTCACTCTTGAGAATGACAGTTGAATTTATGTAAATGTCTACACTGTAAATTATTTTTTCTCAGCATTTTACAGATAATTTTATTATCTTCTTGAATCATTCATAGATTAGAATTCTGTTCATGGTCCAATTGTCATTCCTCTACAGACAAACTTTTTAACTTTTTGGTAGTTTTAGGATTTTTCTCTTTATTCTTTACAATCTGCTTTTTTAGTACAAAGTATCTGGATATAGATGTATTCTGTCTGTCATCTTCAATCCTTGAAATACACTTCTATCAGTTAGAATTATTGGTTATTATCTCTTCAAATATAGATTCTTTACAATTTCCTCTATTTTCTTCTTCCAAAGCTATTGGGTAAATGTCCAAGACTTGCAGTCTGTTTTTCATGATTTTGAACTGTTCTTTCAGGTTTTTATTTATCTTTCTATGCATTCTTGGCAAATCCCTCAACATTTTCTCTCAATTCATTAATTCTCCCTTTGTCCATGTAATCTAGATTTATATTTCTTACTTCCAAGATTTCCAGTTTTTAAAATATTGACCTGTTTTTATTTTTACCTTAGTCTGTTTTTACTGAATACTAGCTTATTCTCTAATGTGAGTATTTTTTATTTATACCCTTGAAATTTCTAAACATATTTCATCAAATCTAAGATGTCATCAATTGACACTGTTAATTAAACTATGACGCATGCTAATATACATCTTAAAATTGAGGTGTATATCTTAAGATGGCAAAGGTTTTCAGGTTATTTTTAGATTCTTCTATTTAATTGTAGTGCTGACCCTCTTGTAGATTTTGTTGGCTGCCTTTCTAAAATTTATATTTTTCATTTTTTTATTATAATATTTTTTTTGAAACTGAGTCTCACCCTGTCGCCTAGGCTGGAGTGTGGTGGCACGATCTCCACTCACTGCCACCTCCGACTCTGGTTCAAGCGATTCTCCTGCCTTAGTCTCCCAAGTAGCTGAGACTATAAGGCGTTCGCCACAATGCCCAGCTGATTTTTGTACTTTTAGTAGAGATGGGGTTTCACCATGTTGGCCAGGCTGGTCTCAAACTCCTGACCTCAAGTGATCCACCCACCTCAGCCTCTTAAAGCGCTGGGATTATAGGTGTGAGCCACTGCACCTGGCAATATTTTTCATAGGTTTTAGAATTTTAGAAGGCTCTCTGTCTCTTATTCACCACTCACTATATGTCACTCTTTCCTTTCCAGAAGTTTTGCAGTTGCCATTACTCAGACCTCGTGACCCTCAGGCCAGACCAGATTTTAGAGTTGTGAATGGAATTCGTCTGCCAGGGTGACAATTGGGATATGGTAGATTGGCAGATTCAGTCATCCATCTCTGGTGTGGTTTGACTTAGTTCCAGGTTAGCCAATTGGCAATGGAAAGGAGTGATTTTTATTCTCCTTTCACAAGTCAGGGATCCTTAACCCAGCACCTTGTTTCAGTCAGTGGGCCTGTTTTTCTCTTACCTATCCCATTCCTGCAAATGGGAAAAAGTTGGATCTCCCTCTAAGTAGAAACTGAAGCCAACGATTTCCCACCACTTACACTGCTACAATCCTTATCGAGTCCACCAACATGTTCATCTAGACAACAACAACAGCCTCCTAATTGGTTACTCCATTGCTGCTCTTGCCACCCACATTCCCCCTTCTCCCCACAGACCATCCATCACTGAGCAAGCAGAGTGATCTTTCTAAAGCATAAATGAAACTGCATTATTGTTCTGTTGAAAACCCTCCTAAGGATCTCTATTGTAACCAGAATAATATCTTAACTCTTCACCATGGCTTATGTGACCCTAGATGACTTTGCCCTGCTATGTGCTTCAACCCATCTTACTCCACTCTCCTCCTAATTCACCACACCCAAGCAACACTGGCCTCTTTGTTCTTTCAGCATTCCATGCTGGCTTCACACTGAGACCTCCACACTTGCTGTTTCCTCTGCCTCTTTCTCTTTACTCAGATTTCAACTCAAATATCCCCTCTTAAAAGAGGCCTTCTATAGCCACCCTAGGTGAAGTACTATGTTTATATTCTTCCATGGTACTTGAATGCTGCAAATACTTCCAAATTATTCGAAATTATATTATACATTTATTTGTTGGTTGGTTTACTTGTTTTTGTTGTTGTCGGGTTTTTTTTGTTTGTTTTTGTTTTTGTTTTTTTGAGATGGGGGTCTTAGTATACTGCCCCAGCTGGCCTCAAACTCCTGGCCTTAAGCAGTCCTCCCACTTCAGCCTCCTGAGTAGCTGGGATTACAGGGGCGCACCACCATGCCCCTTGTTTACTTGTTTATTGACCATTTCCTCCCTCTAGAACAGAGCTTCCCAAATAGTACTGTGGTAACCTGTTGTGCTTGGAGGGGGTTATAGGTGTGCTGAAATATTGATTCCTTAGCCATCAAGGCTGCTCAGTTGGCCCTGTGGTAGCCTGCCCAGACTCAAGCATTTATTCCAGTATACTGTACAAATAATATTAATTAGTATGCTTGCCATTATATGGGAAAGACTGGGAAGTACTGCACTAGAATATAAACTACTTGAGGACAAGGTAAAAGCTAAAACTGTTACTAATAGCATGTGTATCTAGAAAAATGCTGGAGTGGCCACCAGACATATTTGGAAGAGATCAACCTTGGATGATGCTTACTTCATGCCGCATGGCAAGATCTGTTTGATATCTGCAAACTGTCTTCCCTGCCTACCAAGTGATAACCGTCTGAAGCTTCCTACTGGTTAATAATGGCTCCACATATCAGAAAGATTTGAAAATTTAGGGATGTCTTTCTTCCACAAAAAAATCTCCAAGACCACTTTTATGTTTGATCTGTTTTAGCCAAATACTAGGGCTTCGATCTCAGTCTTTTCCAGTTCTATCTAGTTCATTCAAGAAATATTTACTGGGTAGCTACTACAGACCAGGCACTATACTAGGTACTTTCCATATGTTATTTTAAATTGTAAAATATTTTGTGCAAGATATTTTCCTAAATGTCAGAATATCTATGTGTCTTTTATGAAAATCTTTTAAAATTTCAGCTCAAATTGAAAAAAAACCTAGGAAACCATTGGATTCTGTTGGTCTCTTAGAAGGTGATAGAAATAAAAGGTAATTTATTTTAAAATGCTTAATACTTTGTTCTGTTTAATGATGTTTCTAGTAGGACACATTTTATAATTGACAGGAATAAATTTATTCTGCCTTATTATTTAGTTCCACAGCACAATCCAATGAATGGTCCAAGACTGCTTAGCCACTAGATATCACATCCAGACCTTGAGTATTGTTAAATGGAGAGAAAGGCATGGAAAAATGAATAGAGGGAATACAATTTTTTTTTTTAGTAAATACACACATTTACTTACATGACAACATGGACATGAAAAAGTAGCTTTTCTTTGGATAAAGTTCTCATTTTTCTCATGAACCCTTCCATCTCTGTATAATGAAAAAAATCATTAATCCAGTGTGTTTCAAACTTTGTTTGAATCAATAATGAACAAGCACTTTAGGTTTAACTCAGTTTAAAAATTATATCCTGTCTCTGCCTGACCACACTATTCTATCCTCTTAACAAAGCTGGGGCCACCCTATGTTGGCATGAAGCTGCCCTGTGGAGCTTCTTCCAGAATTTCAACATAGGACGTTGCAAATACCTCTCTACCTTTGGTGTTCTCCTCAACCTACGTAATAATACAACTCGTCCCCACTCAAAATCCAAAGAGGCATATATATGACTCTCTTGCTTCCACTCCTACTCTTGCTGTTTTCTCCCACAAACCAGGCAGGACGGGATGATCTTGTCGGTTTGAAAAGTCTGTGGGAGAGAGGTTGGTGCAGAAGTTGGCAGTGACTTCCAGGGATAAAAGGAGGCAGACAAGAACTGACAAGCTGTAATCAGCCCCATGAACACTACCCTGAACTGTGTTTATTTTCAGAAAAAAATCTCCACAGATGAACGATTTTAATATAAAAGAAAACAAATCGGTCAGAAATTATCAATTAAGTAAGTATAGGTCAGTAAGAAAGAAAAGCTTGCTCCCGTTGTGCTTTGAGGATGAATTGAAAAATCCACATGCCAAGATAGTCAACGTTAGTCCAACAAAGACAGTAACTTCTCACATGGTAATAAGCATATCATCTATTGTTAAGTAAATATGTGTAGTCATAAGACTTATGGGAATCACCCATATATTTTAGTGACCAGAATCTTTGATAAATCCTTTTTACCTCTTGGTTTCATATTCCAAAGTGATAACAGCACTTAAGTTCTTAATGCACTTTGCACAACTCCCAAACCAGGGATTCCTTTATACCAGCTGAAAATTCAGTGTTTTTCTTTATGAAGAAGCCTTTATCAAATTTGCTTGATTATAATAGAACTGTAGAATAAAAAGAATTTTTTAAAAATGGCTGTACCAATCTAGCAGAATGCAGTGGTGTGCACCTGTAATCCCCGCTACTCTGGAGTCTGAGGCAGGGGAACTGCTTGAGCCCAGGCATTTGAATCCAGCCTGAGCAATATAACAAGACCCCAGTTCTAAAATGATGGGACCATGACCATGTGTCAATTTTTCTAACAATCTGTTTTGGCTTTTTCAACCAGAAAGTGCATTTATTAAAGGCTATTTAGTAACTCATGCTCTCTAGAGAGGCAATATGGCTCGAAAGCTGTCTAGTCAGGAATCACCTAATTATATAGCCCCAGACTGCTCCACTGAGGCCCATGCTATTGTCACAGATAAAAGTTTACAACTCTGATGCTGAGCAGGGAATACTCTAAGACATTTGCTACTGCTGTCATTCAAAGCTAGATGTAACTCCTACCACCCTCACTAGAATAGTTTTCCCAATACTTTTTCACAGTGCTTGCTTTCTCTGAACTGAAGACTTCATAGGTGTATCTGAATGGCAGAGCCTAGGGCAAATGCCTATGTCCTAACCGCAAAGAAGCTGATAAACATGGTTCTTGCCTCTACCTAAGGGTACATAGACTTGTCAAGTGGAAAATTCCCTAAGGTGTTGGACAGACCAAAAGCATTACAAACATCCATTACTATGGCTAAATAGGTAATATTGGCATCACCAGTGGATTGCAAAACTAGATCTTTGTCATCTTTTCAGTAATCATAGCAGACTTGGATATTACTGCGATAAAAATGTCTATTCTTAAGTCAATCTATTACTTTGGCTATTTTATTCCACAAATATATATTGAGCACTTTTTAGGTGTCAGGTATTGTGCTAAGTATTAGGGTACAATAATAACAGTTGTAGAGATAATTTTTAATTTTTTGAATTACTTACTAGAATATCCAGATTTGTAATTTTGGCTTGTAATCAGTTATGTCTCTTCTGAACTTTGACTCAATCCATTTTTTGGTATGCTTTTTAATTTCTAGAACATGGAAACCTAAGAAATGCCAGAACAACCACCTTATTTCTCAATGACAGTACCCCAGATATTTAACAAATATATTAATTTTTTCGTATTCCAATTTATTTCAAAAAACATTTAAGGCCAAAAGTTCAAGTTTTATCACTAACATCTCTATAGAATATTAAGATAAGAAGGATGTATGTTACATACAAGTACAGTATTTTCATGTATTTGAATAATGCTACTGTTCATATTAAATATTTGTATGTAGTCATTTTTAGAATATTTTACAATTTTATTTACATGTTTTAAAATATATGGAGCTTTCTTGACTCAATGAACTTATGACTAATTATTCTTTTCTTTAATCTACAGGAACAAAAGGACACAAATCCCATAATTTTCCATGACACAGAATATGTACGAATGTTACTTTTGACAAAAAATAGATTTTCTTCTCATCCTTTGGAAAATGAAAACATTTACCCACATAAAAGAACAAATTTCATTTTAGAAAGAAATTGTGAAATCCTCAAATCTATAATTGGCAATCAATCTATTTCTCTTTTCAAACCCCAAAAAACTATGCCTACAGTACAGAGAAAAGATATACAGATCCCTATGTCTTTTAAAGCGGGCCACACAACTGTAGATGATAAACTAAAGAAGAAAACTAATAAGCAGACACTAGAAAACAGATCTTGGAATACACTCTATAATTTCTCACAGAATTTTTCTAGCCTAACAAAACAATTTGTGGGTTACCTTGATAAAGCTGTTATTCATGAAATGAGTGCCCAAACTGGAAAATTTGAAAGAATGTTTTCTGCAGGAAAACCAACGAGCATACCCACATCCAGTGCCTTACCTGTCAAATGTTACTCAAAGCCTTTTAAATATATATATGAACTAAATAATGTAACGCCACTGGATAATTTGTTAAACTTATCAAATGAAATTTTAAATGCCTCATAAAATATTATGTATGCAGCAATATTTGAGTAACAAGAAGCAAATATCCAAGTTCCAAAATTATAAAAGAAATTCTTATCCAAATAGTAATGTTCTAATTGATCATATAAGAAAGCAAAGCATAGACATTAGAATTATAAGTCAGCAGTGGTCTGTTCAAGAACAATCAACATTTTTAGAAAATAGTAGGACAAAATTAGGAAATAATTATCACCAAGAGGATCTAGTTCATGACTTTCTATTATCTCAATTAGATTGCTCAATCATCAGCCTTCCTATACTAAACTCTGATTCAGGACCAAGAAAGGCATAGTCTGACTCTGGAAATGCGCTGTTGGAAGCCAAATAACATCAATACTCTTGTTCTATAATTGAATATCAAATAAGACAAATTACCATTAATTTAATGACTGTGGAGTTAATTGTATACCAGCATTTCAGCAAATCATCATCAATAGTATTACATTAGCAATTTATGCAATTAAAAGGGCTTTGTAAAACTTTGAATAGATTTTATTGTCATTAGTAGCTGTTGGAACTTCATTATTATATAATGTTTTTGCAAACTTTAACTTTTTTCTAAATTGTTAAATAAAAGAATAACTATCCTTAATCTAAATAATTTTGGTAGCAAATCCTATAAGGTATTAAACATTTTAAGGTATATTATTACATTGCTATTTTACTGTTTCTCATTAACCCAAACAGTTTAAAGGCAGAATTCCACTTAGAAACAAGTTGCATTTTGAAAGTTTATTTGTAATCCATTTGTTTGGAATTCAGAAATGTATTTCACATAAAAATAATCTTGGAAGTAATAAATTCCAAAATTAACTAACAAAAGCTTACTTAAAATTTTATCCCATAGAGCTTATGTGAAAATCGTAAAAAGCAATAATTTTGTAATTCCAATAACTAATAGAGAAAACTGAGTAAGGAAAGAATTTTTCAATCTTGACTGTTACTACTTGAAGAGAAACAGATTAAATTAAATGCATTTAAGTTAAGAAAAGGCTTTCGGGGTTCTTTTGGAACATTTAAGGGTGAGGAGGTAAACTGGTTTAGGTTCCTCTGCTTCTACTTCAGACTGGAGATTTTCTTTATTGTGCATAATCATCAATACCACTCAGGAGCATCTTTACAACGAGAGGGAGGTTTGGACTCTCAAAAAGAATGACAAGGAGAGAAAAATGGAGATGGAGGAAGAGAGATGTACCTGGAGATTGTGTGAATGAGAGAAGAGAAAGAGAGAAAAGCTTTGAGATAAGGTGTTGGGCTCGGGTCTGTAGGAGGTAGGGAAGGGGCATACCAGGTTCCCTTGCTTCCAGTTGCTGCCTGGGAAAAGGAGAAGCTGCTGCAGCTCCAAGTCATGAAGCTGTCTTTCTCTTTTCCCCTTCATTCTTTTCTGGTTGCTGTTATATGGTCTCCCCCTGTTTTCCCTCCATCCAGACTTACTGCAAAGCAGAACAGCTTCCCTAACTACATTGCCAACTTAGAACATAAAACACAAACTCTTTTTAAGCGCTAACGATCAGAATAACAAGAATTAGAAAATATACCTAATATTAGTACTAGTCATGATGGTAGTTTCTGTTGATACTTAGTATCAGAGAAGCAAGTTTGGGCCTTGGAATAGGGCAGATAGGAGCAAATTGGGGCAAATAATGTAAATTATCTGCACTTCAGTTAAATTGTATCTCCACCTTAAAATGGAGACAACAATAATTTATTACACTGCTATTCTCAGGATTAAATAAAATAGCATCTAGTACTTTGAGCCTTGTAGCATTCAATAGAAATTTCCTTTCTACTCCCTCCCTTTCCCTGTAAGCCTGCTCTTAATGTAAATGTGACTTCTTTTCTTTCTTTTTTTTTTTTTCTTTTTTGAGATGGAGTCTCGCTCTGTCACCCAGGCTGGAGAGCAGCAGCAGCGCGATCTCGGCTCACTGCAACCTCTGCATCCCGGGTTCAAGCCATTCTCCTGCCTCAGTCTCCCAAGTTGCACACACCAGGTGTGTGCCACCACGCCTGGCTAATTTTTGCATTTTTAGTTGAGACGGGGCTTTTACCATGTTGGCCTCAAGTGATCCACCCACCTTGGCCTCCCAAAGAGCTAGGATTACAGGAGTGAGCCACCACGCCCAGCCAGTGTAATTTCTAAAAAGATACTCCCAAAAGTCTCTCACTCCAATCTCTTCTAAATTAAATGCTAAAAACTACAGTATTCAGATTTTAACCCAAGGTGGGCTGAAACTACTACTGAGAATTTCTGTGTTAGTTATTTTTGGGAGTTTCTGCTGGAGCTTGTGAGCTTTATCCTTTAAGAAGGCACTAAATTAACTTTAAAATTACATTTGGCTAAGGATTCTCCATTAAAGCAGCTCAAGAACAAGGAGCAGTGGATTCTGAGAAGATGACAACCTAAGCTCTACTCCAGCTTTAATCTGTCATCTCCTAAACTAAACAGCTACTAGGGTCTTCAAGCAGCAGAGTGCAAGGCCAGACTTGGCTTGTATTCTGATACTGAGATCTGAGTATGGCCTTGGAGGCCAGTCTCTGTTCCAGGGAGAGGATGGAGTTTGTGCTGTTTCCTGGACTAGTTGGGATCTGTGGATTACTCTAGGTAAAGGTTGTCTTTGTCCCTCTGTAAATGCTCCTGGTCTTATTGGCCCCTAGGACGCCAAAAAGGAGCCACTATGTCTATCTATAAGATAGCTGGGAAACCAGAGATCCATGAATTTTCTTTCAAATGCCTCATCGGGGAACTGTGGTCTGCTTACTTCTGTTAAATTAAATAAGCAGGAGGCCATTTGCCTGAGGTTGTCTCTGTACTTTGAGTTTTTATATAACAAACTGCAACCTAATTTCATACATAAGCAAACTGAAACTTAGGAGTATAATAAATAGTTGAGTTTCATCTGATCACAAGCAGCCAGATTTCAGCCAGGTTTCTGCCAATCATAGGCAGCCAACTCATCACACCAAGCCCAAATAAGGCAGACACTTAGCTGTAGCCAATCAGGTGATTTCTCTATTTTGCTTCTGTGTTCAGCCTATAAAAGCTTCCTACTAACAATGCTAAGCAGAATCCTTCGTACCTCTTCTGGTTCTGAGTGCTGCCCAATTCATGAGTTGTTCTTTGTTCAGATAAACTGTGAAATTTAATTTGTCTAAAGTTTTTCTTTTAACATTTTTATAGTGCCAGCCCACAGTGGGCAAGGCATTTGCCTTCCACCCCTTATAGAACTGTGGTCACTAAGGTACTACAATAAACAGAGCTGAACTTCCCTGAGCCAACTAGAAAAAATAATAACCCATGTAAAGAACCTAGCAGCCAAATGTTTTTATCTTGACACATAATGGTCTTGGAGTTAATTAATATGATGATTAAAATGTATTTATCTGAAATAAGAACTTCTGGCTACAAAATTAACGCTCTTTACCAAGCGTTATTCACTCCTAGGAGAAGGCAAAAAGGCACAGTACTGAAGCAATCTCAAAAGGTAGGAGCGAGACTTCCCTCGTAGCTGCTTATCTCATTTCCAAGGGGTGATAGATAGACCCTGATTGACCATAAACTTAATGATTAAGATCAAAAGGTAGGGGAAAATTAGAATGAACATTTATTTCCCCACTCCTCTTGTTTCTCATTGGAAGAAAGTTTTATCTGTAAAAACACTCATAACCTCCACCCCATCTATTACTTACTTTTCCCCACTGATGAGTGTGAAATCTGATTTGGGGTGACAGCAGTTAGCCCGTTTCTGAACTGTAAGACTACTTTATTAAAAGATTGTAAGCACTAGACAATTGATTACTTTCTTCCCTTTTTGTCCCAGTTTAGAGGGAACAGCATTCCTTGGTTGATGTGTGCATTTGGTAGACTCAAATGGTCTACTGAATCTCCAACTGGATGAGCAATGCCATACTTGGAGATTGGGAGGAAGAACAGTGTCCTAAACAAGTCCATTCATCTTTGAACCTAAGCCATGCTGTGCAAACATGTAACTATGTTATAATTGCCATCAACCTACCTGCTGCAACTATCAATTGCTTTCAAATTTGGGTGGTGAAGACAGGCATTATTTTTTAGTCCCCTCAAGCCCCAACACATATCTTCCAATGTGCTTTCCCAAAAGGCCTCTTGTCAAATATATTGATTTCATTACATAATATTTAAGATTTAAAAGATCACTCAGTTGATATTGTCAGAGGTGGGAAAGTCTTGTAGGGCAGATCTATGTCTTACTAGTGATTTTTGGATCCCCAGCATCTGACACAGGTACTAGCCCACAGTGAGTGTGGATGGGTGGCAGGGAGAACCACTAGAGTAATTCAAACTGTTTACAAGTCATCAATCTTCCCTTCCTTGCTGAGCCACACTTTCCTGGAACTGAGATTCTGGTAACCTGGGCCAGCCTCACACATTTCCATACCTACACCAGCTCTTAAAGCACCAGGCAGCGCAATGGCTCACACCTGTAATCTCAGCACTTTGGGAAGCTGAGGCAGGTGGATCACTTGAGGTCAGGAGTTCAAGACCAGCCTGGCCAACATGGTGAAACCCCATCTCTACTAAAAATACAAAAATCAGCTGGGCATGGTGGTGCACGCCTGTAGTCCCAGCTACTCAGGAGGCTGAGGCAGGAGAATCGCTTGAACTCAGGAGGTGGAGGTTGCAGTGAGCTGAGATCGTGCCACTGTGCTCCAGCCTGGGTGACAGAGCAAGACTGTCTCAAAAAAAAAAAAAAATTTAAAAAAAAAAAAAACCAGCCAGGGCTGAGCATAGGCCTCTACTTGTTCTAGCATGGGGACTGAAATTTAACATGGGTTCTCTACCACAAAGAAGGCCTTTTATGAGAATATTGCACAGTTAAATCTGAGATGACATTTCACCATCTTGATCATACTATAGGCAGCACATCCGGAAACTTTTTTCTGTTACATAGAGTACTAACTTCTTAGCATATCCAAGTTAAATCTATACCTGAACACAAGACTAGTATACTCTTACTCGGAGCACACAGTTAGGTAGTCACATGTTTTAAAAGCAGACCTAAACATTCACCAATTTTGACACATTTTGTTACCGGTGGACCTTTGTTCTTAGAACTCCCAAGATGGTGACAGGCTGCTCCCAAGATGGTGGTGTCCACTCCCAAGATGGCAGCAAGCCTTTTGTTCTCTGACCTGGGGTTCTTGGCCTCACGGATTCCAAGGAATGGAACCTTGGGCCATTTGGTGAGTGTTATAGCTCTATTAGAAGCCGTGGGTCGTGGAAGAGAACCGTGGAACCCAGTGACTAGTGTTCAGCTCGATTAGGATGAACCCAGGCACTTAGCTGCACAGGAACAAGGGCGAGCCTTTAGCCCAAACGGGAGCTGCAATGGGCGCCTCACTGGATCAGAAAAGGGGTGGACACCCTGCCAGATCTGGAGGGGTGGAAATCAACGGCGGGTCTGCCATGGCAGCAAACAGAAGTGGTGGACGGTGAGCAAAAGCTCAGCTCGAGCCAGAATAAACACAGACCAGAAGAATGTGCAGTTGCAAGATTTAATAGAGTGAAAACAGAGCTCCCATACAATGGGAGGGGACCCAAAGGGGGTTGCCTACTCCCAGCTTGAATGCCTGGGGTTTATATCCCAATCATTGTCCCTCCCCCTATGCTCTCAGGTGATATATGATTTGACTATTTCTTTACCTCCTGCTTTTAGCCTAATTTGTGTTTTAGTGATCCCTCTTTACTACCTGATGGGTCGGGTGTGAGCTGAGTTACAAGCCCTGTGTTTAAAGGTGGGTGTGGTCACCTTCCCCAGCTAGGCTTATGAATTTTTAGTCGGCCTAGGAAACCAACTAGTCCTGTCTCTCAATTTAATCCAGCAAAATCTCTCCCTCATTTTCAGCCCTCTCTTTTACTAACCTAGATGTCTCTTCCAGACCATCAACAAACCTCCCTTGGCTACATATATGGTAACACGACAATATGTTTCTCCTTTCTGACATTTCTCTTTCCCAATCCCCATCACTCCTGCAAACAACACACATGCGCGCACACACACACACACACACACAGAAGCAAGATAGCTTTTTGTAGAGCTTTGCAGCCTCCATATTTAGAAATCATAGTTGTACAGTTTTGCCTTCTCCCAGAGCAGAGAATTCCTTCATGGCACTAGTGTCTTCTGACCATCTAGCCTTGGCTTGAACACCCCTGGAATGGAGTAGAGTCACTTTTCTAAAAGCAGCCCATTCTATTTGCAGGACTTGCAACAGAAATCGGGTGGTACAAAAGTGGAATTTAATAAGGGGCCATTATGTGAGAAAACCACAGAGATAATGTAGCTAGCAACCACCCCAGGCCTACCGAACTGAAGAAAAGAAGAGATTACAGGAATCCCAAAATAGACAGCAGCATGTTGCCCATCCAAGGCAAAATCCCACGGAGGAATCTGGAGTAATAAATACCAGAACCCCACTCTCCCCTTGCCCTCTTGAACCTGTGTACCTCCCATTGGCTAAAATTGATCAGAAGTTGGGGGTTAAGACAAGGCTGGCACTACTGTGAGGCTAGGGAGGTAAGAGGCACCCGTGGCACAACTAAGGAGCACTTAATCCAGGAGCAGTACCTGACCAAGTTAGATTTCTTCTAAGTATACTTTTCAAAAAGTTAAAACGCATGACTCTCATAGAAATATAACATGAATGTGTCAAAGATTTTATTCCACCCATTAGTCAATAAAGAGTAAGATGTTAAAACTAGTTTGAAGGAAAATATAAAGACAGATTTATGTAGTCAAGGCAGTCAATACTAAAGTGAATATGCTAATACGTGCAAAACTGGTTAATACCCTATAAGGTGATAAATTGAAAATTTTAGAATTATCTTTTCTATCAGGGGAAAATCAATTATATCTCTATAGATAAATTCCATTTGCATTGCTATGGGCAAGAATCATTTGCACTGCTATTGGTTTTCCACCAGTTAACCTCTTCCAAATAGAGAGTCGATCAAAGGTGCACAACCTTATAGACTTAATTCATTGAGTATCCATCAAACAACTGCCCAGCATTCCACTGAAAGGACCTTCAGTAATCACCTCTCTTATTTCTAAGTACTGGATAATTTTTAAAAACATTTCTGTTCTGCCTGGAAGCTATTCGGATATTTTAAAATACCAGAGACATCTCATTTTTCTCCAGAAATCAGGTGCCCAGGATTGGATGCAGGTGTGGTATGAGCAGGAAGGTGTTTTATTTCAGTACTCAAAGGGAGAATTAAAACCAGTCATTATTAAAGCTGAAGGGATAATAGTAAATGTAAATCCCATTTACTCTCTATTGCACTCTAAAGTGTCTGCCAAGAAAAGAGGTAAGACTATGCATTTATAGCTATAACAGCAGGATAACAAGAAAGAAGCACAGGATTAGTCAGACAAGTAATGCACAGCAGTAGATTACAAAGCAGCATCTAGTTTGTCAACGTGCCCACAGAGAGACAATAGTTCATTTGATCCAAATACCACACTTTTGTGGGAACAATAAATGCAGAATCAAAATATGAGCTTTCTATTTCAGTAAAGAACTATGCAGGTTTAAGGGCTTTAATCGGAAATTAATGCCTCAAAGGCAGTTCTATTTTATTTTTTTTGCTTATTTTTTTCATTGTCTTTTTTGTCTATCTAGTAAGGATAGTAAGATTGATCCTTACTATCTTGCTCTTTTTATTATTTCACTGTTTTGCTTAGGACCTCAGAGGTAAAAAGAGTCTTCAAAATCTTCTAGACTAGAATTGTCTGATAGAATGACGATTAGAAATGTTCTATTATCAGGGCTGTTAATAGCTACTAGTCACAAGTGACTACTAATCACTTAAAATTTTTCTAGGGCAGGATTTCTCAAACTCAGCATTTTTGAAAGTTGGGACTGGGTAATTATTTATTAAAATTCCTCTACTGGCTGGGCCTGGTAGTTCATGCCTGTAATTCCACACTTTGAGAGGCCAAGGTGGGAGGATAACTTGAGGCTAGGCCAGGAGTTCAAAAGCACCCTGGGCAACATAGCAAGAGCCCTCTCTCAAAAAACAAAACAAGGTGGGAGGAGCCAAGATGGCCGAATAGGAACAGCTCCGGTCTACAGCTCCCAGCGTGAGCGACGCAGAAGACGGTGATTTCTGCATTTCCATCTGAGGTACCGGGTTCATCTCACTAGGGAGTGCCAGACAGTGGGCGCAGGCCAGTGTGTGTGCGCACCGTGCGCGAGCCGAAGCAGGGCGAGGCATTGCCTCACCTGGGAAGCGCAAGGGGTCAGGGAGTTCCCTTTCCGAGTCAAAGAAAGGGGTGACGGACGCACCTGGAAAATCGGGTCACTCCCACCCGAATATTGCGCTTTTCAGACCGGCTTAAGAAACGGCGCACCTCGAGACTATATCCCACACCTGGCTCGGAGGGTCCTACGCCCACGGAATCTCGCTGATTGCTAGCACAGCAGTCTGAGATCAAACTGCAAGGCGGCAACGAGGCTGGGGGAGGGGCGCCCGCCATTGCCCAGGCTTGCTTAGGTAAACAAAGCAGCCGGGAAGCTCGAACTGGGTGGAGCCCACCACAGCTCAAGGAGGCCTGCCTGCCTCTGTAGGCTCCACCTCTGGGGGCAGGGCACAAACAAAAAGACAGCAGTAACCTCTGCAGACTTAAGTGTCCCTGTCTGACAGCTTTGAAGAGAGCAGTGGTTCTCCCAGCACGCAGCTGGAGATCTGAGAACGGGCAGACTGCCTCCTCAAGTGGGTCCCTGACTCCTGACCCCCGAGCAGCCTAACTGGGAGGCACCCCCCAGCAGGGGCACACTGACACCTCACACGGCAGGGTATTCCAACAGACCTGCAGCTGAGGGTCCTGTCTGTTAGAAGGAAAACTAACAACCAGAAAGGACATCTACACCGAAAACCCATCTGTACATCACCATCATCAAAGACCAAAAGTAGATAAAACCACAAAGATGGGGAAAAAACAGAACAGAAAAACTGGAAACTCTAAAACGCAGAGCGCCTCTCCTCCTCCAAAGGAACGCAGTTCCTCACCAGCAACAGAACAAAGCCGGATGGAGAATGATTTTGACGAGCTGAGAGAAGAAGGCTTCAGACGATCAAATTACTCTGAGCTACGGGAGGACATTCAAACCAAAGGCAAAGAAGTTGAAAACTTTGAAAAAAATTTAGAAGAATGTATAACTAGAATAACCAATACAGAGAAGTGCTTAAAGGAGCTGATGGAGCTGAAAACCAAGGCTCGAG
This sequence comes from Homo sapiens, assembly GCF_000001405.40. NCBI lineage: Eukaryota > Metazoa > Chordata > Mammalia > Primates > Hominidae > Homo > Homo sapiens. Next base: position 67,083,721 of record NC_000001.11, on the reverse strand, counting down.
AACTACGTGAAGAATGCAGAAGCCTCAGGAGCCGATGCGATCAACTGGAAGAAAGGGTATCAGCAATGGAAGATGAAATGAATGAAATGAAGCGAGAAGGGAAGTTTAGAGAAAAAAGAATAAAAAGAAATGAGCAAAGCCTCCAAGAAATATGGGACTATGTGAAAAGACCAAATCTACGTCTGATTGGTGTACCTGAAAGTGATGTGGAGAATGGAACCAAGTTGGAAAACACTCTGCAGGATATTATCCAGGAGAACATCCCCAATCTAGCAAGGCAGGCCAACGTTCAGATTCAGGAAATACAGAGAACGCCACAAAGATACTCCTCGAGAAGAGCAACTCCAAGACACATAATTGTCAGATTCACCAAAGTTGAAATGAAGGAAAAAATGTTAAGGGCAGCCAGAGAGAAAGGTCGGGTTACCCTCAAAGGAAAGCCCATCAGACTAACAGCGGATCTCTCGGCAGAAACCCTACAAGCCAGAAGAGAGTGGGGGCCAATATTCAACATTCTTAAAGAAAAGAATTTTCAACCCAGAATTTCATATCCAGCCAAACTAAGCTTCATAAGTGAAGGAGAAATAAAATACTTTATAGACAAGCAAATGTTGAGAGATTTTGTCACCACCAGGCCTGCCCTAAAAGAGCTCCTGAAGGAAGCGCTAAACATGGAAAGGAACAACCGGTACCAGCCACTGCAAAATCATGCCAAAATGTAAAGACCATCGAGACTAGGAAGAAACTGCATCAACTAATGAGCAAAATCACCAGCTAACATCATAATGACAGGATCAAATTCACACATAACAATATTAACTTTAAATATAAATGGACTAAATTCTGCAATTAAAAGACACAGACTGGCAAGTTGGATAAAGAGTCAAGACCCATCAGTGTGCTGTATTCAGGAAACCCATCTCACGTGCAGAGACACACATAGGCTCAAAATAAAAGGATGGAGGAAGATCTACCAAGCCAATGGAAAACAAAAAAGGCAGGGGTTGCAATCCTAGTCTCTGATAAAACAGACTTTAAACCAACAAAGATCAAAAGAGACAAAGAAGGCCATTACATAATGGTAAAGGGATCAATTCAACAAGAGGAGCTAACTATCCTAAATATTTATGCACCCAATACAGGAGCACCCAGATTCATAAAGCAAGTCCTCAGTGACCTACAAAGAGACTTAGACTCCCACACATTAATAATGGGAGACTTTAACACCCCACTGTCAACATTAGACAGATCAACGAGACAGAAAGTCAACAAGGATACCCAGGAATTGAACTCAGCTCTGCACCAAGCAGACCTAATAGACATCTACAGAACTCTCCACCCCAAATCAACAGAATATACATTTTTTTCAGCACCACACCACACCTATTCCAAAATTGACCACATAGTTGGAAGTAAAGCTCTCCTCAGCAAATGTAAAAGAACAGAAATTATAACAAACTATCTCTCAGACCACAGTGCAATCAAACTAGAACTCAGGATTAAGAATCTCACTCAAAGCCGCTCAACTACATGGAAACTGAACAACCTGCTCCTGAATGACTACTGGGTACATAACGAAATGAAGGCAGAAATAAAGATGTTCTTTGAAACCAACGAGAACAAAGAAACCACATACCAGAATCTCTGGGATGCATTCAAAGCAGTGTGTAGAGGGAAATTTATAGCACTAAATGCCTACAAGAGAAAGCAGGAAAGATCCAAAATTGACACCCTAACATCACAATTAAAAGAACTAGAAAAGCAAGAGCAAACACATTCAAAAGCTAGCAGAAGGCAAGAAATAACTAAAATCAGAGCAGAACTGAAGGAAATAGAGACACAAAAAACCCTTCAAAAAATCAATGAATCCAGGAGCTGGTTTTTTGAAAGGATCAACAAAATTGATAGACCGCTAGCAAGACTAATAAAGAAAAAAAGAGAGAAGAATCAAATAGACACAATAAAAAATGATAAAGGGGATATCACCACCGATCCCACAGAAATACAAACTACCATCAGAGAATACTACAAACACCTCTACGCAAATAAACTAGAAAATCTAGAAGAAATGGATACATTCCTCGACACATACACTCTCCCAAGACTAAACCAGGAAGAAGTTGAATCTCTGAATAGACCAATTACAGGCTCTGAAATTGTGGAAATAATCAATAGTTTACCAACCAAAAAGAGTCCAGGACCAGATGGATTCACAGCCGAATTCTACCAGAGGTACATGGAGGAACTGGTACCATTCCTTCTGAAACTATTCCAATCAATAGAAAAAGAGGGAATCCTCCCTAACTCATTTTATGAGGCCAGCATCATTCTGATACCAAAGCCGGGCAGAGACACAACCAAAAAAGAGAATTTTAGACCAATATCCTTGATGAACATTGATGCAAAAATCCTCAATAAAATACTGGCAAACCGAATCCAGCAGCACATCAAAAAGCTTATCCACCATGATCAAGTGGGCTTCATCCCTGGGATGCAAGGCTGGTTCAATATACGCAAATCAATAAATGTAATCCAGCATATAAACAGAGCCAAAGACAAAAACCACATGATTATCTCAATAGATGCAGAAAAAGCCTTTGACAAAATTCAACAACCCTTCATGCTAAAAACTCTCAATAAATTAGGTATTGATGGGACGTATTTCAAAATAATAAGAGCTATCTATGACAAACCCACAGCCAATATCATACTGAATGGGCAAAAACTGGAAGCATTCCCTTTGAAAACCGGCACAAGACAGGGATGCCCTCTCTCACCGCTCCTATTCAACATAGTGTTGGAAGTTCTGGCCAGGGCAATCAGGCAGGAGAAGGAAATAAAGGGTATTCAATTAGGAAAAGAGGAAGTCAAATTGTCCCTGTTTGCAGACGACATGATTGTTTATCTAGAAAACCCCATTGTCTCAGCCCAAAATCTCCTTAAGCTGATAAGCAACTTCAGCAAAGTCTCAGGATACAAAATCAATGTACAAAAATCACAAGCATTCTTATACACCAACAACAGACAAACAGAGAGCCAAATCATGGGTGAACTCCCATTCACAATTGCTTCAAAGAGAATAAAATACCTAGGAATCCAACTTACAAGGGATGTGAAGGACCTCTTCAAGGAGAACTACAAACCACTGCTCAAGGAAATAAAAGAGGAGACAAACAAATGGAAGAACATTCCATGCTCATGGGTAGGAAGAATCAATATCGTGAAAATGGCCATACTGCCCAAGGTAATTTACAGATTCAATGCCATCCCCATCAAGCTACCAATGACTTTCTTCACAGAATTGGAAAAAACTACTTTAAAGTTCATATGGAACCAAAAAAGAGCCCGCATTGCCAAGTCAATCCTAAGCCAAAAGAACAAAGCTGGAGGCATCACACTACCTGACTTCAAACTATACTACAAGGCTACAGTAACCAAAACAGCATGGTACTGGTACCAAAACAGAGATATAGATCAATGGAACAGAACAGAGCCCTCAGAAATAATGCCGCATATCTACAACTATCTGATCTTTGACAAACCTGAGAAAAACAAGCAATGGGGAAAGGATTCCCTATTTAATAAATGGTGCTGGGAAAACTGGCTAGCCATATGTAGAAAGCTGAAACTGGATCCCTTCCTTACACCTTATACAAAAATCAATTCAAGATGGATTAAAGATTTAAACGTTAAACCTAAAACCATAAAAACCCTAGAAGAAAACCTAGGCATTACCATTCAGGACATAGGCGTGGGCAAGGACTTCATGTCCAAAACACCAAAAGCAATGGCAACAAAAGACAAAATTGACAAATGGGATCTAATTAAACTAAAGAGCTTCTGCACAGCAAAAGAAACTACCATCAGAGTGAACAGGCAACCTACAACATGGGAGAAAATTTTCGCAACCTACTCATCTGACAAAGGGCTAATATCCAGAATCTACAATGAACTCAAACAAATTTACAAGAAAAAAACAAACAACCCCATCAAAAAGTGGGCGAAGGACATGAACAGACACTTCTCAAAGGAAGACATTTATGCAGCCAAAAAACACATGAAGAAATGCTCATCATCACTGGCCATCAGAGAAATGCAAATCAAAACCACTATGAGATATCATCTCACACCAGTTAGAATGGCAATCATTAAAAAGTCAGGAAACAACAGGTGCTGGAGAGGATGCGGAGAAATAGGAACACTTTTACACTGTTGGTGGGACTGTAAACTAGTTCAACCATTGTGGAAGTCAGTGTGGCGATTCCTCAGGGATCTAGAACTAGAAATACCATTTGACCCAGCCATCCCATTACTGGGTATATACCCAAATGAGTATAAATCATGCTGCTATAAAGACACATGCACACGTATGTTTATTGCGGCACTATTCACAATAGCAAAGACTTGGAACCAACCCAAATGTCCAACAATGATAGACTGGATTAAGAAAATGTGGCACATATACACCATGGAATACTATGCAGCCATAAAAAATGATGAGTTCATATCCTTTGTAGGGACATGGATGAAATTGGAAACCATCATTCTCAGTAAACTATCGCAAGAACAAAAAACCAAACACCGCATATTCTCACTCATAGGTGGGAATTGAACAATGAGATCACATGGACACAGGAAGGGGAATATCACACTCTGGGGACTGTGGGGGACTGTGGTGGGGTCGGAGGAGGGGGGAGGGATAGCATTGGGAGATATACCTAATGCTAGATGACACATTAGTGGGTGCAGCGCACCAGCATGGCACATGTATACATATGTAACTAACCTGCACAATGTGCACATGTACCCTAAAACTTAGAGTATAATAAAAAAACAAAACAAAACAAAACAAAACAAAACACTAAAAAACCAGCTGGTTACGGTGGTGCATGCCTGTCACCTGTCATCCCAGCTACTCAGGAGGCTGATGTGGGAGTATCACCTTGAGCTCAGGAGGTCAAGGCTGCAGTGACCCAAGATGCCACTCACTGCACTCCAGCCTGGGTGACAAAGCAAGATTGTCTCATAAATAAATAAATAAATAAATCTACCATGCTGAGTAACTGGTCCATGGGCAATCATCAGAAGTTGAATAACTTCTTCCTCATTCTTCCAACCTTCAACAATCTTCATGTTCAACTCCTATTGTCTTCCCCTCACACATTCTACAATGGCTGTTCCAAACTTTCTACTCTGCTCAAACTCTTGACCTCACCCTGCCCACTAGTTCCAAGAATAGGAGCAAAGCAAAACAGTTGCTGCTGTTATATGAGATTACTTCCTTGCGTAACTCCGATATTCACTTAAAATTTTCAGTTCCCACAGGGTGATAGAGAATTGTGTTCATCTCTGAATTTCTCCATGCTGTGAGAAATTCGGACTGGGGTTACCTGTCTCCTTGGATCTGAGTGGAGAAGCCCAATATAGGAAAAAAAAAAAAAACACTGAATGAAGATACAAGAGGCCAGGGTTCTGCAACAGATCCTGTTAATAACTCATGGTTTCTGGGCAAGACCCTCAATCTTTCAGGCCTCAGATTCACTACTGCATAACAGGGAAATTTTTAAAATAATTTTTTTTCTAAGATTTTTAGATGATCTTTTTCAGTTCTAGACCTTTAAAGTTCTACCTTCTTCTTTACTGTTCAACTTTTAAACAAAAAATGTTTGTAAGTGTTTACTATGTTCCATCACTGGGCTAACTGCTAAAAATGCAACAGTCACTAGAAGAGATTTGCTTTCTGCCCTCATGTAGTGTTGTGGGAAAGCTGACTACCTGTCCAGTGCTCCAACCTAGGAAAGCCCAACCCTAGAGAGCCATCAGTCTAAGCAAATGGTTGTATTGCTGTATTCCTAGGCTAACACACAGGGTACCAAAGAGTGAGACTAGGCCTCCCCTCAGTTCATGGTTTCTTCCATACAGCTATGTTGACTGCTCAGTAGAACCACAGAATATATGCAAATGACTCAACAATGAGCACAGTAAAGGTGTCAGCCTATTACAACAAACTTATGGCTGAAGCAGGATTTGACCCTAGACTTACTCTTTTAGTTGCTGGGGATCTACGGAATTCCAGATTAGGGGCTAGAGTGACCATGGCAGTAGGTCAAGTCTTGAAGGAGTTGGGGAAATTACTCTTTCCCAGCTCTTATGGAAATATTTAAATATTCCAACTACAGGGTAGCCATACCGGTATGTTGCTACTGAATATCAACCCTAAGTAGAATTGATGAGCCAATGTAGACACACAGCTATGTGATTTATCAATAACACTTGCCTTTCCAGAGTCACTAGGAGAAGACTTCAGGAACCCCAACATTTCTTAGCGGTGCTTTCTTGGATTTATGTGTGTATATAAACCTTTAATCATAACTTTAGTTTCTTCTTTTGACTTTATCCAAATTTCTTCTACCCAGTACTCCACTCTCCTGGGCCATATCATAGTTCTTCCTTCTTCTGAGTCCAAAGTAGGCTCATCCATTACCTCCTTGTATTGACTTGTTCTCTTAAAATGTGGTGCAGCTTAGGGTCCTAGACTACCTCATGTGTCCCAGTATGATGTTCTTCCTTGGAAATAAGTGTAACACTAGTTGTTTTCCACCAAGTGTAGGAAAACCATGTTATGCTTCCATAATACAAATTATGCAAAGTACTATTCCACATCTTCTCTTCCTCTTTCCCTTCCTCCGTTACCTCCCTTGCTTCCTCCTTTACTTCCTTCCTTCCTCCTACCACTCGTTTGTTATTTATTCATTTAAAATATGTTTATTGTATACCTACTTCATGTAAGGCACTATTCTAAGTACTGAGAATATAGATGTAACCAAAAACAAAGTCTTCTACTCTTAGGGACATGGATGAAAAACTAATGAAGTTTAAGCTTCAGGGCTCTTCACTTGCATGAGATTCTTCTTAGGCCCCAAAAGGGGCCCTAGCAACATATTCAACTCATTTATATATTTTTTAAAAATTATGAAATCTGCAGAAGATATTTTAGTTGCAATTTGTTAACAATGCTGTCTCCACTCCAATTTTTTCACCATTACACTTCTTTTTATATCAGGTAATATTTGAGTGGCAGAAGATATTTTTGGACTCCATCTAAGGAGAAGTTGGGTTAGGAATAGATCTAATCTAGTCTTAATAGGATGTATATAGGTGGTATGCAGTTACTTCTGTATGAAGTTATTTAGTTGTTCTAATGTAGGGATAGCTTCCAAGGATACTACCACTGCTTATTGTGCTAATTTACTAACTGTGTGACACAACAGTACAGACCCAAAAAATATACCATGAAATAAAATTGTCCTACAGAAACAAGTTCTAAAAGTCTGTAACCAGAGTAGGAGAAGCAAGATTGAAACAAGATTTAAGTCAGAAGCTAGTTGTGAAACACTTTTCCAGTCATTAGACAAATATAATTGTTAGAGAGAATTTGAGTTACATTAATTCTTACTCAAAAAACTTCTCTCTTGTTGGCAATATACTCAATAAAGTATACAGTTATAAATGCACTATACATTTCTTAATGGGAATTGTACAAAATAGAATTCATTAGAATTCCTGTGTTTGTAGGGCACAGATTTGTAGCAATATTTCAGTAGGCTTGTCTGGGTGTTAGGATGCATGTTTTGGAAGTTCCATTTATCAATAATAAAAACAAACTGGCCAGCCGGGCGCAGCGGCTCATGCCTGTAATCCTGGCACTTTGGGAGGCCTCCACGAGTGGATCACCTGAGGTCAGGAGTTTGAGCCCAACCTGAGCAACATGGTGAAACCCCGTCTCTACTAAAAATACAAAAAAAAGAAAAAAAAATTAGCCCGGCACGGTGGCTCACGCCTGTAGTCTCAGCTACTCGAGAGGCTGAGGCATGAGAATCGCTTGAACCCAGGAGGTAGAGGTTGCAGTGAGCTGAGATCATGTCACTGCACTACAGCCTTGGCAACAGAGTGAGACTCAGTCTCAAAAAAAACCAAAACAAAACAAAACAAAACTGTCCAAGTGCTAGAAGAAAGACTGAATTATGTTTCTATTATCTTTATCAGAAATATATTGCAAAATTATTTTCACATACAGAGACAGTCAAATTAATATGTAGCCCCAAACAGAAAAAAATAGAGAAGCATGACAGGTGCTGAATTAATAAAAATATTGTATTAATTTTTTGCTACCTAGATTTTTAAAAAGTCTTTGTTCTGATTTCTTTTCTTATTTTAATTAGATACATATTTTGTACCTCATTTAACATTCTTTATTTTTCTTATATAGGGCTCACAAAATCTTCTTGTTTGTGAATCATAAAACTTGGATCCACTCCTTCTCATAGAGCTGATATTTTATTGGGAGAAGACAAACAATAAACAAATATAACATAGTCAAGAAGTGGCAAAGCTAAAAAGAAAAATAAGACAAGGTTAGAGGACAGGAAGCCCAGGAAGTATGACATTTTAGATAGATTGGCCAAGGAAGAGCACTAAAAAAAAAAAAAAAAAAACCAAAATTTTCTTTGAATCACACCAGTTTTTCTACAATGTCCTTTTTCTGTTCCAGGATCCAATTCAGGATATCCCACTGAATTTAATCATCATGTCTCCAAACTGTTCTCCAATCTGTGATAATTGTTCAGTCCTTTCTTATTTTTATGACCTTGAGAGTTTTGAAGAATATTGGCCAAATATTTTGTAGAAGGTCTATCTGATGTTTTCTTATGGTTAGACTGGGGTTATGAGTTCTGGGGAACAATACTATAGAAGTGAAGTGTTCTTCTTATCACATCATATCCATTAGAACATGTCAACAACATAACTTTACTGGTGATATTAAACTTGATCACTTGGTTAAGGTAGTGTCTTCCATGTTTTTCTGTTGTAAAGCTATTATTTTTCCTTTTCCTCACTCTTATTTGTCAGAATATTTGCTAGAGTCACTAAAAGTCAGCATACATTCAAGGGTAGGAGAAATAAGCTCTACCTCCTGAAGGAAGAAATATCAAGTATTTGTGAACACATATTGTAATAGGTGTGTAGTGGTATTTCATTGTGGTTTTAATTTACATTTTCCTAAAGAAAAATGATGTCAAGCATCTTTTCACATATCTATTTGCTAACTATATATCTTCTTTGGCAAAGTGTCTGTTCAGATGTTTCCCATATTTAATTGCTTATTTGTTTCTTATTAGTGAGTTGTAAGAGCTCCTACATTCTGGATAGAACTCTTATACAATATGTAATTTACAAGTATTTTCCCTTTGTCTGTGGCATGTCTTATCATTCTCTTAGCATTGTCTTTGGCAAAACAAAAGTTTTTAATTTTGATAAAGTCCAACTTATCTGTTTTTTAATTTTACGGAATGTGATTTTTGTGTTGTATCTTAAAACTCATCACAAGAGGCTGGTATCAGCAATATGGCACAATAGGAAGGCAGAGAGCTTCCTTGGCCTGACAAAGACACCAACTTGCAGCAACAATGCATGGACCAATTTCCTTTATGAGAAATCGAGAAACCCTTTAAGATGCCCCTGCACTCCTGAAGAGCATGAAACCAGCTGCGTCAAAGCCAATGTGAAAATTTGTGCCACTCACTGACCATAGTCCTCTCCCTGAATCAGTGTGGTAGGATCAGGATAAAATTCCTAGCTTCTGCCTTCTCCCTGTAGAGAGAAGGTGAAGATTGAAGCATACATTAAACATTTGATTTTTGGGGGAGGTTGCTCAAGGGACTGGTTTCTGTCTTGCCTAAATCTAGGTGCTAACAGGAAAGTCTGTGAGGATGGGGACCACTAAAGGTGACAGTGTGAAGTAGCATGCACTTATTCATCATAATTCCTCCTGTTGGCTCAGTGCAGAACAAGTGGAAGAAAACCCTCAACTCCTAGCTTCTTCCTGGGAAGGGAAAGACTTGGAACATGTATCCAATGTTCTGGCTTTTCAGGGGACTGATTTCTGTCTCTCCTGCCTCAGAGCATGCCCAAAATGTAGTATGTTATAGATACTTCGTTGTCAGGGCCACTGACAACAAAAGATAGCTAGACAGTTTGTTGCTGCTCCAGAGGATTTGTGCAACAGCAGACAAAAGTCATACAGCTCAGCAACCTCTCCTTTAAAGACAGAAGGAAACAGTGGATTATACATCCAATGCTCTGGCTTTTCAGGGAGCTGCCCAAAGAACTGGTTTCTGCCTTACCTGACTTGAATTGCTCATAGGATTCAACATACTCTAGAAGCCTAGGGGGCACTGAGAAAAACCAAGAGCTGAGTGGCTTGGATAAGCTCTAGAGAACCAACAGCACTACAGACAGACACCAAAGAGAGCAAGAGATTAGGGCTCCTGAAAAAAAGAAACCAGTAAATCCTTCTATTTGGGAATTTATATGCACGACTCCAGGGAAAATGAATCCACAGAAAAGGTTTGAGAAACCCTCACAGTCTTTAGCTGGGCTGCTTGATGAAGGTCTTTCTCTGTATGAAGATAGTCCATAAAGACTGGAAGGGGTGGTGGTTGTTTTTTCAGTGTATAAATGTCAGCACAAAGTTATAACACATAAAGAAACGGGGAAACATGGTCCAATTAAAGGACCAAAGTATCTCCTAAATTAACCCTAAAGAGTGTAATTACCTAAAAAACTCAAAATAACTGTCGTAAAAGTGTTCAACAAGCTCAGGAAAATGATTCATCAACAAAATGAAAATATCAACAGAGATAGAAAATATTGAAAGGAACCAAACAGGACTTTTGGAGCTGATGAATACAATAACTGAATTGAACAATTCACTAGAGAGATTCAACTGTCAACTTAATCAAGCAGAAGAAAGGATCAGCAAAGACAAAGACAAGTCATTTGAAATTTTCCATCCAGAGCAACAACAACAACAACAAAGTAGGATGGGTTAAGAAAATCTAAGGGACTAATGTGACAATAGCAAGTGGGCCAACTCATGCATATGGGAGAAGAGGAGAGAGAGAGAGAGAGAGAGGCAGAAAGTTTGTTTGCAGAAACAAAGGCCAAAAATTTCACAAATCTGGAAAATGAAATGAACATCCAGATTCAGCAAGCACAACACACTCCAACCAGATGATTCCAAAGAAGTGTACACTGTTAAAGCAAACTAAATATGGCCTGAGAAGGACTCCATACTTCTATATGTGAATCCTTGTGGATGAACCATAACATAGCTTAATAGTTAGACAAGATTTAAAACCTAACTTAGGAGTATGTGCCTGTAACAATAACTGAGTCTTGGCCAATCCCAGCGGCCATACTTTAACCAGTCATAAACTGTTAATTGTTCAAACTGTGTTCAAATAAGGCAAACACCAACCTGTAACCAATCCAGCTGTTTCTGTACCTCACTGCTGATTTCTATATATCATTTCCTTTTTTTTTTTTTGTCTATAAATCTTCTTCCACCATGTGGCTGCACTGAAGTCTCTGTGAATCTGCTGTGATTCTGGGGGCTGCTCAATGTGTGAATCATTCATTGCTAAATTAAACTCCTTTAAATGTAATTTGGATGAAGTTTTTCTTTTATCAATACCAAAATATATTATAATCAAATGTCAAACGGCAAAAAAAAAAAAAAAAGAATTTTGAAGACAGCAGGAGAAAAGGTACTCATCATTTATTAGGCTATGAGCGAATTTCTCAGCAGAAACATTGCAAGCCAGAAGGAGGGGGGATGAATGTTCAAAGCGCTGAAAGAAAAAAAAATTGTCAGCCAAGAACAGTGTAACTGACAAAACTATCCTTCAGAAATTAACAGAGCTGGGGACAGTGTTGTGCACCTGTAGCCTCAGACATTCAGGAGGCTGAGTTGGGAGAATCATTTGAGCCCAAGAGTTTGAGGCTGCATACTGCACTATGATATCACCTATGAATAGCCACCGCAGAGCCACTGCATTTCAGCCTCGGTGACATAGTGAAACCCATTTCTAATTAAAACAAACTACAAAAAAAAGAAGAAATAGAAACTTTCCTGGGTAAACAGAAGCTGAAGGAATTAATCGCTTTACAAAAAGTGCTAAAGGGAATTCTTTAAGTTGAAAAGAAGAATGCTAAACAGCAATATGAAAATATATGAAAGTAGAAAACTCACTTACAAATATAGAATACTGTAATACTGAAATGGTAGTGCATAACATACTTTTAATTTTGGTATAGAAGTTACAAGACAAAAGTATAAAAATAACTGTGACTATAAAATATGCTAATGTTACATATTATAAAAATACGTAATTTGTGACATTAATAACATAAAGTGTGTGAGGGGATTAAAAGAGTAGAGATTTTGTATGCAATTGAAGTTTAACTGTTAGCAACTTAAGATACATTGTTATAAGATTTTTTATGTAAGCTCCATGGTAGCCACAAAGAAAATACCTATAGAAAATACACAAAAGAAAATGAGAAAAGAGTCACAATATGTCACTAAAAAATCACTGAAACACAAAGGAAGACAACAAGAGAGGAAAAGAGGGACAAAAAAGTTATAGGACAGACAGAATACAATTAACAAAATGGCAATAATAAGTTCTTCCATGTCAGTAATTACTTTTTTGCGGGGGGAGGGGGGATAGAGTTTTGCTCCTGTTGCCCGTACTAGAGTGCAATGGCACGATCACGGTGCACTGCAATCTCCGCCTCTCAGGTTCAAGTCATTCTCCTGCCTCACATCCCAAGTAGCTGGGATTACAGGTGTCCGCCACCATGCCAAAAATTTTTGTATTTTTAGTAGAGACAGGGTTTCACCACGTTGGCAAGGCTGGTTTCAAACTCCTGACCTCAGGTGATACACCCGCCTCCACCTTCCAAAGTGCTAGGAAGAGCACCTGGCCAGTAATTACTTTTAATGTAAATGGATTAAACTTCCCAATCAAAAAACAGAGTAGCACTGAATGGATTTAAAAAACAAGTCAACTATATGCTGTCTACAGGAAACTCACGTTAGAGTTAAGGACACACATAGGCTGAAAGTAACAAAGATGGAAAAAGATATTTCATGCAAAAGGTAACAAAAAAGAGCAGAGAGAGTCATACTTATATCAGAAAAAAAGAGACACTACGTTTAAAAAGTCACAGGAGACAAAGGACGTTATATAATGATACAATTGCCAATTCATCAAGATATATACAATGATAAATACATATGTGCCAAAGATCAGAGCACCCAAATATCAGACTCAAACACTGACAGAATTGAAGAGAGAAATAGACAGCAACACAATCATAGTAGGATAATTTGATTATCCACTTTAAATTTAGTGGATAGAACATCCATATAGAAGACCAATAAGGAAACAGTACTCGAACAACACTAAAAGAAGCATAGGGGAAAATCTCCATGACATTGGTCTTGGCAATAATTTCTTGGATCTGACACCAAAAATACAGGCAACAAAAGCACAACTAGACCAATAGGACTTTAAAAACTTCTGTGTAGCAAATAGAATAATCAACACAATGGAAAGACAAAATACAGAATGGGAAGAAATATTTGCAATTCATATATCTGATGGGGTTAATATTAAAAAAAAGGAACTTCTAAGACTCAATAGCAAAAACAAACACAAATCCTAGATAACCCAATTTTATAAATGGGCAAAGGACTTGAATAGACATTCCTCCGTAGAAGACATACAAATTGCCAACAGGTATATAAAAAGCTGCTCAATCTCACAAATCATCAGGGAAATGCAAATTGATTCCACCTGTTAGGATGGCCATTAGCAACAAAATAGAAAATAGGCCAGGCATGGTGGCTCACGCCTTGTAATCCCAGCACTTTGGGAGGCTGAGGCAGGTGGATCATGAGGTCAGGAGATCGAGACTATCCTGGCTAACACGGTAAGACCCCATCTCTTCTAAAAATACAAAAACTTAGCCAGGCGTGGTGGCACACACCTGTAGTCCTAGCTACTCGGGAGGATGAGGCAGGAGAATCACTTGAACCTGACAAGCGGAGATTGTAGTGAGCCAAGATCGTACCACTGCACTCCAGCCTGGGTGACAGAGTGAGATTCTGTCTCAAAAAAAAAAAAAAAAAGAAAATAACAAATGTTGGCAAGGATGTGGAAACTTTGGTATTCTTGTGCACTGTTTGTGGTAATATAAAATGGTGCAGCCACTATAGAAAACGGCATAAAAGTTCCTCAAAAAATTAAAAAATAGAGCTACCATATGATCTCATAATTTTACTGTTAGGTATATATCCAAAAGAATTAAACATAAGAACTTGAAAAGACATTTGCACCTCAATGTTCATTGGCAGCATTTTACAATAGTCAAGAGGTAGAAACAATCTGCATGTCCATCAGTGGATGAATGAATTAAGAGAACGTGGTATATATTTACAATGGAATATTATTCAGTCTTTAAAAAGAAGGAAATCATGTCATATGCTACACCTTGGATGAAACTTGAGGATATTACGTTAAGTGAAATAAGTCAGTCACAGAAGAACAGTCATTGCATGATTCCACTAATATGAGGTATCTAAAAATGTCAAACTTTTAGAAGCATAAAGTATAATGGTTGTATTAGTCCATTCTCATGCTGCTCATAAAGACATACCCAAGACTGGGTAATTTATAAAGGAAAGAGATTTAATTGACTCACAGTTCTGCAGGGCTGGGGAAGCCTCAGGAAACTTACATTCATGGCGGAAAGGGAAGCAAACACATCCTTCTTCACATGGCAGCAGCAAGTAGAAGGGCCAATTAAAAGGAAAAATAGGCCAGGTGTGGTGGCTCATGCCTGTAATCCCAGCACTTTGGGAGGTCGAGGTGGGCAGATCATGAGGTCAGGAGATCGAGACCATCCTGGCTAACATGGTGAAACCCCGTCTCTACTAAAAATATAAAAAATTAGCAGGGCATGGTGGTGGGCACCTGTAGTCCCAGCTACTCGGGAGGCTGAGGCAGGAGAATGGTGTGAACCCAGAAGGCAGAGATTGCAGTGAGCTGAGATCATGCCACTGCACTCCAGCCTGGGAAACAGAGTGAGACTCCATCTCAAAAAAAAAAAAAAAAAAAAAAAAAAAAAAAAAAAAAAAAAGCAGCCCCTTATAAAACCATCAGAATTTCATGACAACTCACTATCATGAAAGCAGTATGGAGGTAACCACTCCTATGATTCCATTGCCTCCCACCAGGTCCCTCCCATGACACATGGGGATTATGGGAACTACAGTTTAAGATGAGATTTGGGTGGGGACACAGCCAAACCATATCATTCCACCCTGGCTCCTCCCAAATCTTATGTCCTCACAATTCAAAACACAGTCATGACCTTCCAACAGTTCCCCAAAGTCTTAACTCATTCCAGCATTAACTCAAAAGTCCAAGTCCAAGGCAAGCCCCTTCCACCCGTGAGCCTGTAAAATCAAAAGCAAGTTAGTTACTTCTAGATACAATGGGCGATACAGGCATTGGATAAGTATACCCATTCCAAACAGGAAAAATTGGCCAAAACAAAGGGGCCACAGGTCTTATTCAAGTCTGAAATCCAATAGGGTAGTCATTAAACCTTAAAGTTCCAAAATGATCTCCTTTGACTCCATGTTTCACATCCAGGTCACGCTGATGCAAGAGGTGGGCTCCCATGGCCTTGGGCACCTCTACTCTTGTGGCTTTGCAGGTTATAGTCCCCCTCCTGGCTGCTTTCACAGGCTGCAATGGAGTGCCTGTGGCTTTTCCAGGTGTCCAGTGCAAGCTGTCAGTGGATCTACCATTCTGGGGTCTGGAGACAGTGGCCCTCTTCACACAGCTCCACTAGGCAGTGCCCTCGTGGGTACTCTCTGTGAGGGCTCCAACCCCACCTTTCCCTTGTGCACTGCCCTAAGCAGACGTTCTCTATGAGGGCTCCCCTGTGCAGCAGACTTCTGCCTGGACATCCAGGCCTTTCCATACCTCCTCTGAAATTTAGGCAGAGGTTCCCAAACCTCAATTCTTGACTTCTGCACACCCACAGGCCCAACACCATGTGTAAGCTGCCAAAGCTTGGGGCTTGCACCCTCTGAAGCAATGGCCTGAGTTGTACATTGACCTCTTTTAGCCAAGGCTGGTGCGGAAGCATTTGGGATGCAGGGCACCATATCCCAAGGCTGTACACAGTAGGGATGCCCTGGGCCCAGCCCATGAAACCATTTTTCCCTCCTAGGCTCTGGGCCTGTGATGGTGGGGGCTGGGGTCACTGCTATGAATGTCTCTGATATATCCTGGAGACGTCTTCCCCATTGTCTTGGTGATTAACATTTGACTCCTCGTTACTTATGCAAATTTCTGCAGCCAGCTTGAATTTCTCCCCAGAAAATGGGGTTTTCTTTTCTATAGCATTGGCAGGCTGCAAATTTTCCAAACTTTTATTCTCTGCTTCCTCTTGAATGCTTTGTTGCTTAGAAATTTCTTTCCCCAGATACCCTAAATCACCTCTCTCAAGTTCAAAGTTCCACAGATCTCTGGGGCAGGGGCAAAATGCTGTCAGTCTCTTTGCATAGCAAGAATGACCTTTACTACAGTTCCCAACAAGTTCCCCACCTCCATCTGAGACCACCTCAGCCTGGACCATTGTCCATATCACTATCAGCATTTTGGTCAAAGCCATTCAACAAGTCTCTAGGAAGTTCCAAACTTTCTGACATTCTCCTGTCTTCTTCTGAGCCCACCAAACTGTTCCAACCTCTGTTTGTTACCCAGTTTCAAAGTCACTTCAACATTTTTGGATATTTTTACAGCAGTGCTCCACTCTCTGTGGTACCAATTTACTGTACTAGTCTGTTCTCACATGCTAATAAAGACATACCCAAGACTGCATAATTTATAAAGGAAAGAGGTTTAATTGACTCACAGTTCCACAGAGGCTGGGTAAGCCTCAGGAACCTTACAATCATGGCAGAAGCAAATGGGGAAGCAAACACATCCTTCTTCACATGGCAGCAGCAAGGAGAAGTGCCAAACAAAAGGGGGAAAGGCCCCTTATACATCAGATCTTGTGAGAACTCACTCACTATCATGGGAGCAGCATGGAAGTAGCCACCCCCATGATTCCATTACTTCCCACTGGGTCTCTCCCACAACATGTAGGGCTTCTGGGAACCATAGTTCAAGAGGAGATTTGGGTGGGGACACAGCCAAATCATATCAGCATGTTTTTTAATGAAAAAACACAAAATTCATCATCAAATTCATAGAGATTTTCTCCTGTTTTCTTCTAGAAGTTTTATGGTTTTAGGTTTTACATTGAGACCTATGATCTATTTTTAGTTAATTTTTATATAAGCTGTGAAGTATATGCTGAGGTTCCTTTCTGGCATATGAACATCCAACTATTCCATCACTATTTATGTAAATGACTATTCTTTTTCCATTGAAATTGTGTGCCTTTGTCAAAAATTAGGCAACCATATTTGTGTATTTATTTCTGGGTTCTCTATTCCACCCCACTTATCTATATGAATATCCTTATGCTAGTACCACAGTCTTAATTACTGTAGCTTTATAGTGACTCACGAAATTGGGTAGTGTGGGTTCTACAAGTTTTTTCTTCTTATTTATAATTTTTTGATCATTCTATTTTCTTTGTCTTTTCATATACATTTTAGAATAATCTTGTCATTATCTATAAAAAATCTTGCTGGAATTTTGATAGGAATTACCTTAAAACTGTAGATACATTTGGAGAGAATTAATATCCTAACAATATTGAGCATTTCTATCAATGAATAGTATAGCTCTTCATTTATTTAGTTCATTCATTTCTTTTTCCAGTTTTGAGAAGACCACTTCGATAAGGAGACATTTGAGTTAAGACCTGAATTAAGTGAGGAAGTGAACCATCTGTAGAAAGAGTGTTTCAGGCAGGCAGTATAATAATAAGTGCAAATAGTGTTTCAGGCAGGCAGTATAATAATAAATGCAAAGGCCCTGAAGTAAAGTGTGGTTGAAGTAGTCTAAGAACAGTAAGGAGGCTAGAGGAGGAGGTGGGAAATTCTTGTTTGATTCCTGGTAGCATTACTCCAACAATTATTTCTTCACCCCAGCAGCAGCAAAGTCTTCCCATAGCAGTAGCTGAATGGAGTTTGTAGTTCTTCTTGAATTTGCAGAATTAGCCTCATTACCACACCACCCCTGCCACCTCCCTTACCACCCTCATTAGTGAACAGCACCAGCCAGTGGAGTGGAGTGAAGTGGTGTGAAGAGGAGTAGAGGATCTTATCACAAAAGTAACAAGAGGCCAGATTATATAAGGTCTTACAGCCACTGTAAGGCATTGAATTTTATTCAGAGAAAGAACAGAAGTGATTGAATGTTTTTGAGCAGAGGAGTGATATCTGACTTATCTTTTAAAAGATCATTGAGTGCTGTGTGCAGAAAGGATTGATGGGAAAATATGAGTCCAAGATGGAAGCAGGGAACTAATGATGAGACAATTACAATATTTCAGCAAGAGCAGATGGTGGCTTGGACTAAGGCATGAGTACAGGAAGTAATAAATGTTGGAATATAGATCTATTTTAAAGATAGCACTGATGTGAGTTGCTGAGGGTTAGATGTGGGCTGTGAGAGAAAGAGAGGAATTAAAGGTTTTTGTTCCAAGCAACTAGAAGGATAGCATGTCCATCAACTAAGTTGGCGAAGACTGTGAGAGTAGAGGTTTCCAAATTGTTTATCTAGTTTAGAATGAATAGGCAGGGGAAAAAAGATTCTAAAATATTTATTAAATATTTATTAAATTTTAAGTACAGAATCTAAGAACCTGCATCATACATCTTAGTACATTCTAATAGCAACCATCCGGGATAAACAGCAGCCTATGCATTATGGCTTGAATGTGAATGGTGAGGGTAAGGCAATAGGCAGAGGGGAGGAAAATAATATTTTAATTAGTAACTCCAGTTATTATGCCTCTAAAGGAGCATGTAGGAATGATATCTGGGGCTCAGGAAGACCTCACTGAAGATTATGTACTTTACTTGAGACTTAAAGGAGTTAGCCAGAGGAGGAAGTTGGAGTTTGTAGGAATGGGAGGTTAGTCCATAAGCCAAGTGATGAACAGATGCAAAGGTCCAAGAATGAGAAGATGTGTTTGACAAAGTAAAAGAACAACAAGCATAAATAGAGAAGGGAGAGCAAAATTGAGAGTATTGTGAAATAAAGCAGGAGATAGATTTTATTCTAATAACCAGATCTGCATTTTTCTTTTTTTTGAGATGGAGTCTCACCCTGTTGCTTAGCCTGGAGTGCAGTGGTGTGATCTTGGCTCACTGCAACCTCCACCTCTGGAGTTCAAGTGATTCTCCTACCTCAGCCTCCAAAGTAGCTGGGATTACAAGCATCCGCCACCATGCCCAGCTAATTTTAGTATCTTTAGTATAGATGGGGTTTCAGCATGTTGGCCAGGCTGGTCTCAAACTGCCGAACTTGTGATCTGCCAGCCTTGGCCTCCCAAAGTGCTAGGATTACAGGTGCGAGCCACGTGCCTGGCCCAGATCTGCATTTTTACAGAATGAATTGGAGAGGAAGAGTCATCTATCCTGAAGACTAGTTAGGATGTCATTGCAGACATCTTGATAATGATGGCTATGGTAGTGGATTCAGACTTGAGAGATATTTAGCAGCTTATATATGGCAAGTTAGAAGAGACAGGTTCTGAGAATGACTACTAGACTTCTAAGGTGGCAACTTGGCATATGGCGATATGTTTACTAAAATGGGTGTGCCACATATTAATTGTCTCTCAGCTGGAAACCTACTCTTCTATATTCTACTTTGTGAAGCTGATGCTTGTATTTTGCAAAACACATTTCTGCTTTGCTGGCTGGCTCTACGTAAACTCTTCCATACGTGGCACTAGAGGGATACTGGGTAGCTGGAGGAGGAGAAAAGAAATGCTTTTTCCCATGTGCTTCCTAGTAGCCTCAGTCTAGCAATGATTCTTCGTCCCAGAAGTAGCAAGTTCTTCCCTTAGCAGTAGTTGAATTCAGTTTGCAGTTTTCCCTAAATTTAGAGAACAGCCTATATCACAACACTGTGTTCCCGTTCCACTCCCCCTCCTACCCTTCCCGCCCCTACTCCCCTCCCACCCCACGTGACACTAAGCCCACAGCACTAACCAGATAGTGCTCTCTCTTCAAAGGTCTGAATTTCAGGCTTATGGGGATCCTCTTTTGAACCCAAAGACCCTAGAATCACTTGAGCAGCATTTCTTCCTCAGAAATCTTGAGTTTTAGCTATTGGAGTTCCCCTTCTAAGTTTCTAAGTTTTGATAATTCTAGCCTCTTTCCTTTGTTCCCTCAGCCCTTCCTGCAGTTGCTACCTCCACGATACCTTATGGTTTGGGGGGCTTTTGAAGTGTTTCTTTTTAAACTTTCATTTACCTAGTTAACATTTTTTAATGTAAAATTATCTCTAATCAAATAACGTGTGGTTTCTGTCTCTTGACTGGACCTTGATTGATATAGAAATTGGTTCTAGAATAGACTTTAGAAGTTGGGATTTGGGATTTGTTTGGTTCTGTCCTTGAGCTTGAATGAAGTGCTGAGCTCCCCACTAATGTGAAATAAATTCTGGTAACCCATGTCATGCAGAAGTATCATGATTCATTAAATTGTCACCTGCAGTTAATTGTGATGATATTCCTACTGAACCAAGTGCCTTAGGAGCATGGGCCTGCTACATCTAACTGTTAGCAGTAGTAATGACTGTGAGGACTGTGGTGTGGGATAGATTCTTGAGTTTAATAAAACACATACAGAAAGAATAACAAACTCAGGTCTTTACATTCTTCATAAAGTCTCATTAGAGTGCCAAAATGATTCTATGGCAGTCCTAAAAGAATCTCTCTTTTCTTGCAGCCACAGGGCTGATATTGTTAAAAATAAAAAAAGGCTTAATAGGCCAGTTTACAATTTTTACAACATCAGTTGAATTTACAACCTTGCTAGGTCTCTCATGTAGAAGTTAAAAAAAATGGAAAGAAAATGACCCTAAAACTTGGAATGAGTACACATTTGTTTGGGCTTAAATGGGGTTAAGAATTTTGAATTGTCAAGTCATTTTGAGCCTCTTCTGACAGTGGGAGCCTCCTGTGTCTGACAGATTAGCCTTCTCTTGCTTGAAAACTCTATCCACTATACCCATAACTAGGTCAGATATCAACACACCCCAAAGAGCCAGCATGAAGTTTAACTTAGGAGGAAGCAGGTGGTAAACCAAAAGAATTGCAAGATTTTTCTAATTTATATCACCATCAACCTAGGGAATATGTATAGGAATGGAGCTTAAGGAAGATGAAATATAACACTGGATTCGGCCAAACGTATTGATAAGGGTGTACTTACCTGAGGTTCTGGATTTAATGTGTTGGCTCATGCAGGTGGAAGCATTCCAACAATTTAATATGTTTGTTTACTGACAGTTGGGCACAACAGCAGGGTCTATTTAATGAGGTTGAGATACCAGAACTTTCCATATTATAATGTTGAGGAAAAGATTCCAGTGCTTAGGGAAACAGGAATGGTGGAGCATATTTATCACATGTAATCTACACACCCATCCCTCAACATCCTTGAGAGAATCCAGAGGAAATCCCATAACTGACATGTGGAGAAACACACTTGTGTATAGACCATGTACATCCTTGAGAAGTTCTGTTGTGGCTGTGCTCTGTAAGCTAGGTATAATGGGAATTTTCAGTATTGAGATGGGCTCCGCAATTTAATAGAGATGTTGGAAGTTCTGGAGTATCAGAGGCAAGCAGTAGTACTTAACCACAGAAGACAAGGTAGGGGGCATATTTATTATAAAAGGAAAGCAGTAACATAGTGGTAATCATAGTTTTAAGCCATAGGAATTTTGGGCAGTATCCTATTGATTATAATGTCCCTAAGAATGAAATAGTTAGACAACCTAGTAAAATGGTCCTTAATCTCTATAACAGTAAAAACCAGACCTGACAGCAAAGAAAACTGACTGGAGTCTCAGAAATGGACAGTCACGGTCTTTTATTCAGTTTCCAGACCTAAGCCATGTACAATACGAGAATCTCTTGGATTGAAGGAGAGATCAGGTCTCTTTGAGGAAGGCCCTATATCATAGCCACAAGTGTATACTGTATATCTTCTTTCAAGTCTTCCTCAAAGGAAACTGCTGCCATTTACTAGGGTGACTGTGTAGTAACAAAAAGGAAATACCCAGACCTTTTGTGGGATTATCAAACACTGGCCAACCGATACTAATTCCTGGGCACTTACAGTCCTGCAGTCTACCAGTTAAACTGGGGGCTTATGTAGCGTCTTAGTCAGTTCAAGCTGTTTTAATGAAATATTACTGGGTAGCTTATAAACAACAGAAATTCATTTCTCCCAGTTGAAGGCTGGGAAATCCAAGATCAAGATGCAGGCTGATTTGGTGTCTGGTGAGTGCCTGATTTCTGGTTCATAGGTGGTATCTTCCAGCTGTGTCCTCACATGTTGGAAGGGGTAAAGGGTCTCTCTCAGGGCTCTTTTGTAAGGGTACCAATTCTTTTCATGAAGTCTTCACCCTCCTGACCTAATCACCTCCTAAAGACCTCACCTCCTAAAACTATCACCTTAGAGGTTAGGATTTTGTGAACATTGTCAGATTCAAAATGTAGTCACTTGTGTCAAACCCTAGCAAAATGGAGCTAGAGAAGGCTATGCTGGTAGGGCTCTCACACACAGTTTGCCTGAT
Source organism: Homo sapiens (assembly GCF_000001405.40). Taxonomy (NCBI): domain Eukaryota; kingdom Metazoa; phylum Chordata; class Mammalia; order Primates; family Hominidae; genus Homo; species Homo sapiens. The sequence goes on along the minus strand of NC_000001.11, from coordinate 67,061,015 downwards.
AACACAAACTATCACAGGACATTTTTCCAAACCACAGTTTACTACGTGAGTCACACAAAGACAGCTGGCAGCACAAGGACAGCTAGCCGCTTACACAAGAACACATGCCTGACACACTGACTCACAAACCCAATTCTAAATGTAAAGGCCTAACTGAAACTCCAAGATTACAAGTCCTTCCTAAGGACCACTGACATTCACATATCAAAACTCTTCAGCTCTTGTAAGATGCTGCCAGCACCAAAAAACTTTCTTTTAAAACAACTTGCATAAATCTCCTCTTTCTCCAATAAAATCCTAACCTTTTACTCTGTTCTCCATATATACTGGAGGCCATCCTGGTTTGTATATATGTCCCAAATTACAATCCTACGTCTTGTATACTATTCCCAAACAAAACCTTTTTACTTAGAGATTCATCTCTATTTTCACATGACAATTTCAATACATGAATTTGTTGGGGGACACACACATTTAGACTATAGAAGTGAGTCAGGTGATAATTGGAGACCTAGCCCAACTTTGAAACACGATGTGCTCAGTAGGTCCACAAATCCACTGTGTGTTTTTGTCTCCAGCTCTTGAATGTATAATTGGAAGAGACATATGTTTAGGCATAATAGATATGCTAGGCAGCTGGTAAAATCCTCACAGTGTCTGTGTGACCCATGGAATAAGGACCACGATAGTAGAAAGAGGAAGCCTCTGGAGCTTTCCTTCCCTTTCAGGACAGTACAAAAAAAGATATGCCACATCTTTAGAGGAGTTGCAGAGATTAGTGCCATCATCAAAGACTTGAAAGATGGATGAATCCTATCACATCTCCATTTAAGTCACCTGTTTGTCCAATGCAGAAGAGAAATCTTAGCAAATAACTGAGTGTGGTTATAAACTTAATCAGGAGGTGACTCCAATGTTAGTTGATGCTCCAGACGTAGTGTTACTAGGGCAAATCACCATGACATTTCCTGACACCTAGTGTGTAGCTATTAACATGGCAAATGTTTTGTCTCTATATTAATTTATAGGGTCCAACTAAAACAGTTTACCTCTTACATGTCAGGGCCAGCAGTATAGCATCATTGGATTGACATCCAATCTTTTACTCTTTGCCATAATATAGTTCACAGAGATCTTGATCATCTTAATATTCTCATACAAAATAAACTGGTTCAACACATTGATTAAATTATGTTGTTCAGATCTGATAAATGCAAAGTAGTAAGCATTTTGGATGGCAAAATAAGACAACTAGGATCTCAACTGTCAGGATTCATTACCTGATACAGTGAAGAACAATAGAGAAGCAGAATGTTGGAGTAAAAGGGATAATGACAAGATTAGTTTCAGGCATGTTGAGCAGCATAACAGAGAGTTATCCAAGTGAAGATATTCAGGAGGCAGTCAGACACATTAATCTGGAGTTAGAGAGAACATAAGTAATGTAGATTTGGTAAGCACTGGCAAACAATAAGTCATAACTGAAACCATGGAATGGAATGAGATTTAGTAAGAATACATAGAATAGAGAAGACCCAAGACTGAGCCCTGAGGAATGTAAAACTTTAAAGGTCTGTGAGAAGAGGAGGAACCAGCAAAGCAGGATGAGAAGGAGCAGCCAGAGTACGAGGAGAGGTTTCAGAGAGTATGGGGCTTCAGAAGTCAAGGGAAGAGGGTGTAGCTAAAAGAAGGGAGAATATCAGCAATGTAAATGCTGTAGAGTGGTCAAGCAGGAGGACTAAGAGTGCTCATTGGGTGTAGTCCCATGGAGGTCATGGGTAACTTTGCAGTGAACAGCTTCAGTGTATTGGAGGGGGTAAAACTAGTTTGGTGGGGGTTAAAGAGTGCTTGCAGGGTGATTATACAGAGAGCAGAACCACAGTAAATAGGTGGATAGTGAGGTCAATTCACTAAAATTGGAGATTCAAAGAAGCAACTTATTTGGGAGAGATTTATATAAAGTTCAGTTGTAAATACATTGAGCTTGAAATGTCTTCGTATTTCCAGTGCCTAACTTGGTGTCTGGTATGCTATTTGTGAATGAGTCATGATTGACTATGACTTCAACACATTACTGTTCCTTTATCCTGCTTATCCTTCTTCATAGGGTTGATAAACACTAAACTTGGTCATTGAAGAAAGCATTGACATTGCCAGAACGTCTTGTAAAAGTAGGTCTTGTCCATCTGCCCCAAAGGAGGCAGGAGTGTCCAGTGGAGGAACACAGAATAAATGCTAAACAGACCTAGGACCGAATCTGTACACAGTCACTTAGAGCTGTGGGATGCAGTGTATGTCTAATACTCCCTCTCAGCCCTTGTTTTCCTGTTTATATGTTGTTTCACCATACCTGCTTCTCACAGTGGTTAGGGTGAAATGAGATAATGAATTACAAGAGAAGCACATTGTGAGGCTCATCATCAGTGGACAATAAGTTCATTCTTTGCAGTCCAATGTAGAAAAGTACAAGGCACTGCAGAGAAGAGAAGCTCCATGCTGATTCTCAGAATTTTTAAAGTATTGTTCAAATAGGAAACATGTATGACCTTTGCTCCTTGACTATAAAGTAACCAGCTGTGCAGCACAGCAGGTCACTGGGTATGATCTAGGTTGGCAGTGAAATAGGAAACTGGTGAATGCAGGTGGATAACAAAAGAGGCCTATATACATTCCACTATGAGAGGAGCAAGTGGGCCAAGGAAAAGGGAGAAGCGTGGAGAAAAGAAGTAATATAAGCTATGTTTTAAAAAACTGTGTACAGAATCAATATTCCCTCAATGAAAAACAGGATACCTAACGGCAATGTTTTGATAAAAAGACATCATTTAATACTAAGAAGAGTTTTTGCTAGTAATTCTACCCAGTAAGATGTAAAATTTATCAACCCACAAAGTTGACCTTTCCAAATAGAGTACACTTGTACCTAAGTGAGAACATTTAATTCAGTCTTTCTTATCTTGAACAACTTTTTAAGATATATTTCAATATTTATTCAGTTTCACCCAATGATGTGTAAATACTCCATATATAATTCTGTGATTAATATTACTGAAGTGAGGAAACAGATCTGAGGACCTAAAATACCAAAATTTACCCCAAAGTCTAAGTACCTATAACATGGGAAAGAGATAAAAATCCTACTAGAGATGGCACCTATCTTATCTTTGTGGGTACCTAATGAGAATGCTTGACTCCATTAAACTCTATAGCATTTTACTGGGGGTCCACAGCAACCAAATCATTACTGGAGCTGAGAAAATCCAATGCAGTTCATGGCCTGTGATAGGTCTTAAATATTTGTTAATTAATAAAGTAATCATGCTGAGAAAAACAGTAGTTGCCTGGATCAGCACTCTTATTTTTATTTTCTGTAATCATAACTTATGATTTTGAAAATTTGTACCTGGCATTTCATACTTCCACAGGGTAGAACTTGAAATATTATCTCACCTCTTCCATTGTTCTCCATTGCTGCCCTCTTGACTTTATAAAAGAGGGTTTCATTTTCATACCGTGTTAGCAGGAATAAAAAATGAGTATAAACTCTTTGGAGGTTGTTAATTTGGAATTTCCTCAATTCTATTAATTTTTTTATTAAAAAGTAGCCTTAACTAAGCAATTCTACTTCTAGAAATTTATACTTGCACAAAGTTGAATGGACAAGCATTGTTTGTACACTGAAAAATGGCAATAACTTAAATGTCTATAGGGTTACATGATGATGCATCCAACTAATGGAATACTCTGAAGCCTTTGAAAAGAATGAGGTTAAGTTTAAGCGTTGCCACAGAAAGACCATCAAGGAATAGTAAGTGAAAAGAGGAAGACTGCCTAATAATACTAGTGATAACAGTAATTGTAATAAACACTCATATTATGTTCTAAGCACTTTACATTCATTAACTCATTTAATTCTCATTGTAACTCTATGAGGTGGGTACTATTGTTATCCCCATTTTACAGGTGAGGAAATTGAAGCACAGTGATGTCTAGTAATTTGCCCAAGGTCACAAAACTACTAAGTGTCAGCAGCAGTGTGTGGCTTGAGGATTAGTGTTCTTCTCTGGTTCTATTCCAGGTATGTTTTTTAAAATGTGTAAAAATGTGTATATATGTATATATTTGCTTTTTATTATGAGGGTCATTGTTACTTCTATAATATTTTTTCTGCAAGGATGTTTCTTAAAATACAATGTTTTAGTTATTTTTCCTTTTGAAGCTAGCAGTCAAGGAAGAAATTTAATCATTTTCCTTGTTTCCATTGATTCAATCAACTAAAATATCTAAACTGTGTTAGGCACCCTTGCCTGCCACTGTCCTCAAGAAGCAACTGTCTAGTGGAAGAGAGTGATATGTAAACATGTAATGCAGAGCCCCTTTGCTACGGTCTGTATGTGTCCTCCAAAATTCATATGTTGAAACTTAATCACCAATGTGATATTATTAAGAGGCAGGCCCTTTAGGAGGTGACTAAGTCATGAGGGCTCTGCCTTTGTGAGTAGGATTCATGCCTTATGAGAGAGGTTTCACACAGTGTTTGTCCCTTTCTGACCTTCTGTCCCTTCTGCCATGTGAGGACATGGTGTTCTTCCCCTTCAGAGGATGCAGTGGTTAAGGTGGCACCTTGATCTTGGACTTCTCAGCCTCCAGAAGTGTGAGAAAATAAATTTCTATTTTTTATATGTTATCCAGTCTCAGGTATTTTGTTATAGCAGCAGCAGCAGATGGACACTCTATAAAGGGGGTATATAAAGATGCGGTAGGAGAGGCACAAAGGAGAGAGATCAATTATGTAGAGGGAAGTGGGGGGCAGTGTGAAGGCTGCCCAGAGAAGAGGTAATGTTCTGCCAAAATACGGAAGGAAATGTAAGAGTTTTTCAGGAGCTGGGTGAGAGGAGGAAGAGAAAAAGCAGCCCAGATGGAGGGAATAATGGGAGTAAAGACACAGAAGCCGGAACCCACATTGTTGATTTATCTGCACCTTAGGGGAGGGAAACGTGAATAGTGCCTCTGGAGATGTGGGTAGGAACCACATTATCTAGGACCTTGTAGGCTATGTTAAGAACCTCATCCTGTGTACCAGTTTTTTAAGAAACACTTGAAGAACATAGGTGTTCTCAAAGTAACTCAAAAGATATAAACCAATTATACACATATAATTTAATATTATTCAGCCTTAAAAAGGGAGGACATTCTAACATATGCTACAACGTGGCTGAACCTTGAAGACATTACGTTAATGAAGTAAGTTCATCACGAAAGGACAAATACTACATGATTCCACTTATATGAGGTACCTAGAGTAGTCAAATTCACAGAGACAGAAAGTAGAACACTGGTTAACAGCAGAGAGGGAAGGAAGTAGGGAAACAGGGAGTGATTGTTTAAAGGGGAAAGAGTTTCACTTTGGGATGGTGAAAAAGTTCTAAAGATGGATTAGTGATGATGGCTGCAAAACGATGTGAATGCAGTTAATGCCATGCAATTGCATACTCAAAAAGGGTTAAAATGATAAATTTTATACTTTGTATATTTTGCCACAATTTATTTCTTTCTTTAAGATGGTCTTGTGCTGTTGCCCAGGCTGGAGTGCAGTAGTATGATCATAGCTCATTGCAGCCTTGACCTCCTGGGCTCAAGCCATCCTCCCACCTCAGCCTCCTGAGTAGCTGGGACCACAGGCGTGCGCCACCACATCTGGCTAATTTTTTTATTTTCTTGTAGAGAGAGGGTCTCACTTTGTTGCCCAGCATGGTCTCAAACTCCCGGGCTCAGGCATTCCACCTGCTCCCAAAGTGCTGGTATTACAGGTGTGAACCACTATACCTGGTTTACCAAAATATAAAAATAAGAAAAAAAAAAAAAAGAAATTTAAAAAGATACAGACCAAGCACTTAGAAAAATAATTCAAAGTTCTTCTTTCCTAATCTATTAAAGTTCAATACGTAATTTCTTTGCTTAAACCGATCATAATGATTTGCTTCTGTTATACAATAATGACTACCATTTACCGAAAACTAGCTCTTTGCTAGCTACACATCCACAGAGATCAGGTTCAGGGAGGTCATCTAATTGGTCCAAGACACACAATAAGGAGTGAGTGTGTTGGTGGGGGGGGGGGGGGTCGTCATTTCTAGGAATCCTACAATTGGAAATCAAGTCTTTTAGGCTCCAAACACCTTGTGCTTTCCCCAATCCCCAAGCTGCTTATCTTGCTACTTTTTGGGATATGTCAACATTTTTCTTAAAACAAACAAACGAAACTTCTCAATCTGAAAAGTATTGTTTGGTGTTTTCTGGGTTCAGAAAATGTAAGAAGCCTGAGGCATTGCGGAATGAAATTTTCGTTGAGTGTTTACTGTTGATCCACATCTGATACTTTTGAAGGGTTTTTACCCCCTGCAAGAGAGACTAAAAGAGCATTCAGAATTAGTCTAGACGCAGTGTACTGTAACTACTTGGCCGGCCACCTGTAACAGAGGGGAGGAGGGTCTGCACTTAGTTGCGGCAGTTATCCGGAGAATACGGCCTTCCAGCCCCTCTGCCACCAGACTCCCCACGCCCCAGGTACGCGCCCCGCGGAGAGACCCAGCGCGTGCTCGTGCGCAGGCGCAGGGCGACTGTCACCCGGAGTCTGTGGTTTGTCGCCCGGCGCTCTGGTGTCTCGATGTAGTTCCCCTGGCTTCTCCTTATCCGCCTCGGGCAGGGGGGTCGCCACTGCCCCTTCTCCAGGCTCTCTCCAACCCCTGCCCAGGCTAAGCCCGGCGCGGCCCTACTCTCTGACCCCGCGTTGCACAATGCCCGAGCAAAGTCTCCAGGGGTGTGAACCCCGGCGTCCCTGCCCCTGGGCGGGGACAGGCGGCGGCCAAGCGGGGAGTCGAGGCGGCGAGCGCGCAGCTGGCCTAGTCTGCGGTCCCCAACTCCTGGAGTCCCCTGGGAGCTGCCGCTGCAGGCCCCCGAGCCGCTAGGCCCCGCCGCCAGGCCACCGCTGCTGCGGCAGCCATGGCGGAAGTTCATAGACGTCAGCATGCTCGGGTTAAAGGAGAAGCCCCCGCGAAATCCTCCACACTCCGAGATGAGGAGGAGCTGGGGATGGCGTCGGCCGAAACGCTGACCGTGTTTCTGAAGCTGCTGGCCGCCGGCTTTTACGGCGTGAGCTCCTTCCTGATCGTGGTGGTGAATAAGAGCGTGCTCACCAATTACAGGTAGGGCCGAGGCGGCGGCGGCCCAGGCCGCGGAGGAGGAGCGGGCGGCGGCGGCGGCGCGGCGCCGGCTCCCTGGACTTTGACTGCCAAAGTTAAAGCCGAACAAAGTTGGGCGGGAGCTGGGGAGGGCGGGCGGCTGACGCGCGCGGCCCGGGCAGCGGAGCCGGCCTGGCGAGCGGGCCTGTGGCAGGGGTCCGCTCCCTGCGCGGAGCTCCGGCCGGCCCGGCACATTTGGGGCTCGCCTGCCATGCCCTGGGCGCACCGCCCCGAAAACCCTGCCCTTCAGAGAGATGGAGCAAAGTGATTTGCTTGGTGACTTTTGAGCCGTTATGCCTGTCGATCAGGGAGGAGAGCGAGGGAAGCCTCCCTCCTCCGCAGCCTGGACAGGGGGCCGGGGCTTCAGTGTCCCCTGCACCCGCTGACAGCCTCTGGGGACGTACGCATCCTCAACCCAGCAGACAATTATTCCCTTGCTAACACTGGGACCCAGAGGCAGAAGTTGGTTGTTTTTTTTTTTAAGGTGTGTGAAATCGTTGCAGAGATCTGTATCTGCACTGCCTTGAGAAATCCTTTGCAGGCAGCGGACTGAAACTGTAGACTCGGACAAGATGGGACAAGCGGCCGCCCGAGGCTACATCAGCGGGGTGGACTGACAACCAACAGGCAGAGAGTTTTCTCCCAAGATTTTTGTTTGATTTAGGGGCGGACGTTGATGTGGCTTGTATCGGAATGCCTTATTAACGTTGCCGATGTGCAAATTGAATTCACGGAGCTAAGTTAGGTTTGTTCTGATCTTGTTTTTTTCTTTGCCCTTTTTGTAGATTTCCCTCCTCACTATGTGTTGGACTTGGCCAGGTTAGTTGGAATCCTCACCATTACGTGGTTTATGTTGTTAGAACTTCTGTGTGTGTCTTTATGTGTAGAACAGTGAATCTGTGTTCTCTTGTTTACAGATGGTGGCCACAGTGGCAGTTCTCTGGGTGGGAAAGGCGCTCAGAGTAGTCAAGTTTCCTGACCTTGACAGAAATGTACCTCGAAAGGTAAAAGAAGAAAAGCGATACTTTATTTTGTGAAATGAAGTCAGTATGTATTAACATATTTTATCAGTGCCTTGCGTATTTAAAAATTGCAGCCTCAAAATTGCCCAGTCTAGAGTGGTTATAATGAATGTAAAGAATAAAAGTAGTAATATGTGTCAAAGAAGGCCTACAGTCTCTTTAAACTTAAGAGAAAAAATAACCTAGGAATATTCTTCTGTTTTTAATTAATGCACACTTGTTGAGAGTACAATAGTTTTGCAGTTTCTCTATCCATCTAATCTAGCCAGTGTATCCTGCATTCATTATTCTTTGGGCTTATTTTATACTGTCTGCCTCTGCTTGACTCCAAACGAAGATGAAATGCCTTTACTTTTTCTGCTGACAATAGAGCCATGGGCTCTAATACATTATCATATTTTACAGCAAATGATGTTTCTGTCTCACATTGATCATATTCATATTTCTGTCTTTTCTCCCTGCCTTCCTCCCTTTCTTTCTGCTATAGTAATGTTGTTTATCCAAGCATAAGTTTTGTTTGGGTGTTTGGGTGTCAAAATTGTGTATGATAACTAATTTTACGTTTTAAGTGGAAAAAATTTTGATCATATAAACAAAATTGTTTCTGTTTGAAAGGACCTTGTTTTAGCTATCTTTATTATTGAGTTTTGTTATCCCTTTTTAAATTTTCTAGACGTTTCCACTACCTCTACTATATTTTGGGAACCAAATCACGGGACTGTTCAGCACAAAGAAACTGAAGTATGGATAACTTTATTTTACTAGTGAGGTTAATATAATGTATTCTTAAAATTGTACTTGAATGTCAAATATTTAACACATTGTTATTGATTCTGGAAAAAAATGAAAGGACCAGAAAGCTTCTATTACTACTAAATAATGAAAGTGGTGCCAAAGGTTTTAGTTTATAGTTTATGCTCTTTTCTTTGAAGAGAAAGAGGAGTTTTTTGTTTTTGTTTTTTTACCCCTCATTTTGATGTTAGAAGTCTTAAAATGTTATAAAATGCTATGATAGGAAATTTTTATTATTTTTCTAGAGCCACAATAGTGAAGATATATACTAGGCTTCTGGGATTTCAGTTCTTTAGTATAGTTCATAAATATTTTAGGCAACTTCCACACAGCAAAATTAGAGGGTAGGCACAAGAACTTTTGCAGTTTTTCTTTTAATGTGAAGTAAGGTAACATCAGCTAGAACCCTGATAAAAATATTATTAATATCTTACACATGGCATGTAACTGTAGAGGCAACATACTTATTTTCAGAAAGAAGCAATAGCTCTCCTCTCCATGGTAACACTGTCTTTCCCTCTAACCTCCCGGTTTCTGGCTTCTGCTCTTATTGTAGTGTACATATCGGTTGTGTGTGGTATTAAAATGACACAAATAGAGAAAACATTTAACAGAAACCCCATGGCTTCACCACTACCACACAAGCTAAAACCCTGGCATTGTAAAATAGAATGGAGAGATTTTTGAGCATCAAGGACAAGGTGTTTTTCATTTCTTCCTTTAAAACCCGAGAAACCTGACAGAATGACCGAGATGATATCTCTGAAGAGGGTTCCAAGGAAGTCAGATTTATCATGGGTGGGACATTTTTTTCCATTTCATTACCCACCAGGAAAGAAATGCAGGCCTTCTGCAAAGTGCTGCTTGTGTAGAGTTTGCTTTTTTTCATCCATCTCATCCAACCATTCATTCACACCTATCTTTGATTGCCAGCTAAGTATAAGGCACTTTGGAGTGAGATAAGATATATTCAGAAATAACTATATTGCAAGAGGCTGTATGTTTGATTAGTACAAGCAAAATGCTCTGGGAATTTAGATGAAGACAAAATTACATCCACAAAAGGACAGTCAAGGCATTTCATGGGGTAAGATTTTCATAGATGGTTTTTGGGTGGTCTAGGGGGTGGGAAGGGAGGTCAGACTAGTGAAAAAATGAGAAGGAAGCCTTTTTCTATTAAAAACTGACATATTTACAGCTTAGGGTTTTGCATAATTAGAATAAAGTTTTGTAGTTAATTTAATGTTTCTCACTTCTAGTAGTTTTTTAAAAGCAACTGTTGTAGGCTTTCAAGTAGGAATTGCTTCTAGAGAGAAGCAGGGGTTTAACCATAAATTAATTTGTATGGAATTTCCATAATGGAAGAATAGCATTATTTTAACTACCAATTTGGAAAATCTTAGTTTAAAACAAATTGTTAAATTCTATTTTACCTAATTATCTTTTTTTTTTCCAGCTTGCCAATGTTTACAGTTCTGAGAAGGTTCTCCATCCTGTTTACAATGTTTGCTGAAGGAGTTTTACTCAAGTGAGCTAAGTTTCTAATATATCTGTTCTTTAAATCACCTTGAAAAGGTGCCCAGCATATGTGAGATATTAAATTATTTGTCTTGTTCCTACCTTACCTTTTGAGAAGTTTAAGCAACCCTCTCTCTTGGCTGCTGGAATTGATAGTTTGTGGGAGTGGTAGTTGGGAAGGTTATGAATTAGAGTTGAAAATCTTATCTGAACGTGAGATTTACTTTCTAGAATTTCTGTACTACTGCCACCGGGAGAAGCTGGATCAGAATCATAGGTATAGGTTTTAAATAGTGTTCATGTCTAGCTCCAAATGAATGTGACATTTTTCTGTTAAAGAAATTCTGCTTCACAAAAATTCAAACTCACTAATAATGACAATAGGTGAAAATTTTAAAAGTGGGTGTAATAACTTATATAACAATAAATTTTTGCTTTATCAAAGGGGTTCTTTTAAATATCAGTTTCTCAGAAATGTTTAAAATACGATTGTTTATAGCTTTTGAGAAAGCATATCCCATTTTTTGCTTCTGTTGTAAAATGAGTGTGGGAATAAAGTCATGTGTGTATTTTAAAATTTTTTGTTTTGTAGGAAGACTTTTTCTTGGGGTATTAAAATGACTGTATTTGCAATGATTATTGGAGCCTTTGTAGCTGCCAGGTAAGATGTGGGCCTATGACTAGCACATTATAAATTGTCAATAATTATTGATAATAAATGATTGCTTATCAATAACAATTTTTTATTGCCTAAATAAGAATTATATCTTTGAAAAGCATCTAGAAGACTCTTGAAAAGGTTAAATCTTTTTGGCTGTATTAAGATAAAGGTTGACAAAAATAAGATTCTTGGGATTGTTAAAATTTAAATTGATGTAATTTAGAATTTGTTACTGTCGTTGTGCTGAGCACATAGCATGTGCCACACAATATGTTTGGCATTTTACACATCTTATTATGTATTCTTCACAACACCTCTGAGAGGTATGGGTATAATTTTCCTATTTTATAGTTGAAGAAACTAAAACTTAAGTTCAATAACTTACTTAAGGTCACAGAGCTAATGGCAGAGCTGAAATTTGAATCTGTGGCTTTCTTCAGAGCCTGTGTGTTTTTATAAACCATGTGGCATTTCTTTTTTTTTTTTTTGAGACGGAGTCTTGCTCTGTCGCCCAGGCTGGAGTCCAGTAGTGGGCTCTCGGCTCACTGCAAGCTCCGCCTCCCAGGTTTACGCCATTCTCCTGCCTCAGCCTCCCGAGTAGCTGGGACTACAGGTGTCTGCCACCACACCCAGCTAATTTTTTGTATTCTTAGTAGACACGGAGTTTCACCATGTTAGCCAGGATGGTCTCGATCTCCTGACCTCGTGATCCGCCTGCCTTGGCCTCCCAAAGTGCTGGGATTACAGGCGTGAGCCACCGCGCCTGGCCTGGCGTTCCTTAATTTTGCATGCTGCTAAAGAAAAGCATGTCTCCTCTTCTGTGAGGTGAGGAAAATGACTATGAAACATTTGCTTGCCTTTTCGAATAATGAACAATAACATTGCTTTAATTGGCCTCACATAAGATATGTCACAAATGCCATAACTTAGATATTCTATTAGGTTATTAAAGCTTTTCCCATTTTTCTTAAGTTTTAGTTTTAAAATACATGAGGAAAATGTATACCCACAGACCTAGAAAATTATAATGATGCTAGAAGTCTTCTACAACATTTTAATCAGCCCAGGGCATGCATATATGTATTTACTAATGCCACACATTCTGCCAGACATATGTTTTCCATCCAGGAGTTCCAGTGTACTTCTTGAATTGACTCATTTACCTTCATCACATTCCTGTAGTATAGGTGGAAGAAAATATTATCAGTCCAGTCCTGTTTTACAAGTCCAATCTCCAAGTAAAATTTCATTCTAAAAAAAAGAGAGTGGCGTAATTGGTTACTAGAAATTGGCTATATAGCTAACTGCTTTTCCTTCTATGTCATATTCCCCCCTTGGAGAAAAATTCTATGCTAGCCTCCTACCTTTCTTTTTAGAGGTGCCCTGCTAGTCTTTGAAACATTTCCTTGAAGCTGATGGGACCCAAAATTGTACCAAACAACAGGGGTTCCTCAGGGCTTTCTTGTGTCTACAAAAACTTCTGAAAAGGATTACTGTCTGGACCAGCCTTATCTGGTTAGACCCTTTGACTTGGAAAAAGATTGAAAGGAAGGGAACTCAGACCTCTGAAGTCAGTCAGAAGGTTGTTAGACTGCTTGGGGTAGGGAGTGTGCATTAAGTTAGTCCTGCCTAAAATTGCAGTGGCATAGAACTCATTAGATAAGTCTTGGCTCCTATACAGTATCTCTGCAAAATCAGAGTCTGTGCAGCCACTATTTTAGCTAGGGTGCTGAAGTATGCTGAAGGCATACCTTTCTCAGATTTTCATTTATTCTGTTTAATTTACTAAATTCTTATCTCGTGCCTGGTACTCTAAGTTCCAGAAATTTTCAGTTTCCCTAAACCCCCAAGTTATACTTCACAGGTTCATTGAGCTATTGTTTAAGTATTTGAGTTCCTGCTATGTGCTTAGACATTGTTCTAGCTTGATCTCAGAACTAACCATGATCCACACTTCAGAAATTTCACCCAGGGGCCCAACTACCTATGCAAGATAGTCCTACCTTTCATGTGGACCTTCAGAAAATGACTTGTTAATGGCCTCATCCTTTTGGTTTTCTTGTCTATGAAATTGAGCTCTGCCTGCTTCTGCCTGCTTCACAGATGTACTTAATGGTAATTTGGTGCTTGTTGTCATCTGGCTTTGAATGCAGAGCGGTGTGCTATTAAATGACATGAATGACCGTTGCTAATTATGTGTTTAAATGTTAGTGCCTCTTATTTCTGAGGAATCCCTTATTGAGGTGAAATTGCAAACTATGACCAGAAATCAAGAAATACTAGTAGCTGATAAAATGCCTAATATTCACTTCCCTAGATGAGAATATGTTCTTGTAAATATTTTAGCTTATATCTATTTAAAATTAAATGCATGTTCTTTAAGTTGTTCTTAAAGTGTTGCTTATGTTTTGCAGCTCTGACTTGGCATTTGATCTGGAAGGATATGCTTTTATTCTGATAAACGATGTCCTAACAGCAGCAAATGGTGCATACGTAAAACAAAAATTAGATTCAAAAGTAAGTAGCAATCTAAAGCTTTAACAGTTGTGTACTGATGTTGGCATGTCAATTCATAGGAGAAAAAGTGGGGAATAAAGAAAGTTCTTACTGGGGATGAGAAAGACATAGTGGCTCTCTGAGGGTAAAATTCCTGTACTTTAGTGTTCATATAAGAAACTTTATTTTTTAATTAATTAGCAATTAGGTTTTATTCCAGGCTTTTCTGGGATTGCGTGAATTTTGACTTCGTGTGGGGTAGGGAAAGTAAAGTGTGTTCACTGCAGTGTCTTTAAATGTTCATGGCTGTATTCTAGAGGACTTTCCGAGGGACCTGGGAGGCAGAAAGAGAACTACTTGGAAACCTTTGGGCAGACTTGAAGGGAAATGAATGTTGGAAGGGGCTGCAAAACAAAAATGGCCTTTATGTATTTGCCCTATAAATAATGGGAAATTTTAGGGAGCATTAGTATCTCTGTCTCTCTTAGGGGCAACACAGTGTTTCCTGGCCTTGGCTTTACCAGATATTGTTTATTTGTTTACTATATACTTTAAATATATTATTTTTAGATCAAGCCAGATTATTAGAAAGCTGAGTATTTGAATCATATTGCTTTTGCAACATTACGTTATGAGATTACATTACTGTAAGAAACACCTAAATGGATCTCAACTTTATATATCCTAGGGTGGCTAATTGAAGGAATTGTCCTTGATATCATAATGTATCCTATATGAGGACTCATATGAGATACTTATCTTAGATGTCACCATAGTTTTTCCTGAGCAGCTGGTACATTTTTATCTCATAATTACATCTTGTAACTGACCATGACTTTATCTTATTTTCCTACCCATATTTTCTCTTTAGTCAGATGACTTTAACTGCTTAGTTTTTAGTCTTTTCTATTATGTGTAGAATGTTTCTGAAACTACTTAAGTTCCTTTTTGGGAGCTTAGATAATAAATAAATACAAGTGTCCTACCTGCTTGATAGTACTATTAGTATTGAATTGATCTTGCCTTGGCCAGGGGCTTTGCCTGCTCCTCTAGAAAAGAAGTGTAGATTCAATGTCTATCCCAGTAGGTTTCATTATTTTGCAGATAGTTTATTTTTTTTTGTTTTGTTTTTGTTTTTGGAATAGGCTTGAAGAACCAAGGACGGTGTTGATTTGTTTCCAATCCATTTTCTTTAAATATGCATGTCTTGGCCTCCATTTATTTGCTTTGATGAATCTATATGATGGTTACATTTTAATGGAAGCTACTAGTAAGAATTTTTATCTTTTTAAAATAGCTAGAGAAAAGGTAGCAGTTAGTGATTGATCTTACTCTTTTCTTCAGCCCATTTGCTGCTTTGGAAAATAGATACTATTAATGACATTTTATTTGTCCAGCAGCTTCAGTTGTCTAAAACATCACTGTTAATAGAATTTTCTGTGACATTGGAAATTTATATTTCTGCTTTCCATTAACTGGTCATTAGCCATGCATGGCCCTTGAGCACTTGAAAATAACTGAGAAACTGAAATCAGTAGTTTTATGTGATTATAATTAAATTGAAATAGCTACATGTGGCTAGTGGCTACCATATTAGTACAATCTATAGTATATCCTAGAATCTAGAAAAAAAATCAAAGTTTCTGAGTGTTTTATTCCTAGGAGAGCCCTTCAGTTTCTCACTTAGAAATCACTATGACTTATTTATACTAGAACTTTTAAGTTCATTGATTACTTCTCCTAGCTCATATCTTATAAGCAACAAACTAGAAGGTAGAATTCTATTTAGAGGCAGAGAGGTTTACCAGCAGTATAAAAGGTCAGCTAACAAGAGAAACAGTCAGATTGTAAAAGACAGAAATACTGGAGAAGAAGAAAAAGATACAGGGTCTATTAAACAGCCGTAAGGGCAACACTGAATAAGAACATAATACATAAACATAATAATACAGATTTATGATGCGTAACAGTGTATCATAAGATGTAATAATACATGTTTATGATGATGCCCTAAATCTAGTTTCAGTCAGTGTACTTTAAGAAGGCAGGGAGAAAGACATTCAAAACAATTAAAATGTATAAAGAAAAACAGAAGTTTTGGCATTTAAGTTCTTGCTGTTTGTCAGTTACTGGATGATGTGTATTTGTGTGTATGTGTGCCTCCATGCATATCCTCTACTTCCTGGATAACACTCATGTCTCTGGCTGACTGGGCACCCTTCTTAAAGGTTGTCCCAGTATGGCTTTTTTTTTTGCTGCCGTACACATGAGGCACACCTTTACACTGATGCTTGTGGTGACCATAAGCAATCAGTTACTTGGTTTATCCCAGAGGCAGTAAGGCAGTACGGCCATGCTGAGGTGCTTTTTAATACATCCGGAGTTTTCTTGTTTTCTTTTGTTTTTAGAAGTAGAGAAACAAAAGAATGGCTACTCCATAGGCAGGGCAGCCAATCAGGAGTTTTATTACTGATAATATCAGGCTGCTTACAATTATAGTCCATTGAGTATGAGTCATATGGCATAAAGATTTTGTGCTGCATTTTAGACCTGAATGTGGCTATCGAATTTAAAACTTTTTAACTTTAAAATATTACATAAAATAATGCATGTTTATGATAGAAGTAGTAGAAAACATGGATAAGCAAGAGGAAGAAAACATAAATCTCCCTTAATACTATCATCGAGTGAGAAGCACTGTTTTGGTGGATATCCTTTATTTTGTATGTGTATGTGTGTGCACACTTATCTGTATGTTAAAATTTTAAGCAAAAAAGGGATGATATAGTTTCTAACTTGTATTTTTCACTTAGTACCATTTCTTGAACACCTTTTTAATGTCAATCAGCATCATTAAACATTTTTAGTGGCTGTGTAATGTTTCATTGTATAGCTAGTTATAGTCTAATCATCTAATCAGCTAGTTTTCCTTCGGGGTTTTTTTTTTTTTTTTCAGATGGAGTCTCACTCTGTCGCCCAGCCTGGAGTGCAGTGGCACATCAGCTTACTGCAGCCTGTGTCTCCTGGGTTCAAGTGATTCTTGTGCCTCAGCCTCTTGAATAGCTGGGATTACAGGTGTGCACCACCACGCCAGGCTAATTTTTGTATTTTTAGTAGAGACGGGGTTACTCTATGTTGGCCAGGCTGGTCTCAAATTCCTGACCTCAGGCGATCCGCCTGTCTTGGCCTCCCCAAATGCTGAGATGACAGGCATGAGCCACTGCACCCAGCCTAATCAGCTAGTTTTCAATTGTTGGGTATTTATTTCCAATTTTTCAGTGCTGCTTTTGAGAAGGCAGTTCGACTTTTCTCATCAGTCAGTAATCTTTCAATCGCAGGAGTTAGGCAAGTGTTATGCCCCCATCCTTACCACTCCCTCACTGTCCCCACTTCCCACCTCTCAAACCCTGGCCTGCATTTTCAGGAGACTGCTTCATGCTGAATGTCCCAGAAGTGTGTGAATCAAAGGTGGACTCAGAGTTCTTATAGGCTCCCTGTGTTTGAAGATGTGTGTTATCCTTTGTTGCTCCCTAGTAGCTAAGAACCCAGTAAGTCATATTGTGTTCTGGGAGCTGTAGTTATAGTAATCTTAATCTTCATTTTACTTCATGTACACGTTTTCGGAAATACTTCACTGAGAAGTGCTGTCTGTTGGTATTGGTCTAGGCCTGAGTCTGCATGTCTGAATCTGGCCATCTTTTTTTGTTTGTTTGCTTTGTGCTTTTTGTTTGTTTTGTTTTTGAGCCAGGGTCTTGCTCTGGTGCCGAAGTTGGAATGCAGTGGCACAATCAGAGCTCACTGCAGCCTCCCTTGGATTCCTGGGTTCAAGGGATCCTCCCACCTCAGTCTCCTGAGTAGCTGGGACTACAGGTGCACACCACCATTCCTGGCTAATTTTTTTTTCTTTTTAATTTAAGATAGGTTCTTGCTCTGTTACCCAGGTTGGAGTACAGGGGCACAATCTCGTTCTTGGCTCACTGCAGCCTTGAACTCCCAGGCTCAAGAGTTCCACCCACATCAGCCTCCCCAGTAGCTGGGATTTACAGGAACGTGCCACCATGCTCGGCTAGGTTTTTTTGTTTTTTTTTTTGAGATGGAGTGTCTCACTCTGTCATCCAGGCTAAAGTGCAATGGTGCGATCTTGGCTCACTGCATCTCCACCTCCTGAGTTCAAGCGATTCTCCCGCCTCAGCCTCCCAAGTAGCTGGGATTACAGGCACCCACCATCATGCCCGGCTAATTTTTGTATTTTTGTAGAGACAGTTTCACTATGTTGGCCAGGCTGGTCTTGAACTGCTGACCTCAGGTGATCTGCCTGCCTCAGCCTCCCAAAGTGCTGGGATTACAGGCGTGAGCCACCGCGCCTGGCTGTTTTTGTATTTTTTGTAGAGACAGTGTTTCACCATGTTGCCCATGCTGGTCTTGAACTCCTGGGCTCAAGCAATCTGTCCGCCTCAGCCTCCCAAAGTGCTAAGTTTACAGGTGTGAGCCACCGTATCCGGCCTCATCCATCTTTCTTAAATGACACTGTGCTAGGCTTCTGAAAAGCCCAAGACATACTCAGTCTTGATTCAGTTCTAGAAAGAGAATGGCTTCAGAGAGATGTTTTGATATTGCTGTGTGTGTGTTTGTGTGTGTGTGTATGTGTTCAAAATAACCTCTTTTCTACTTGCTATTTTGAGGCAGCCAGTAGTCATTTTTATTTCTCTGATCTTAAGCACTTGAGGAATTTATTTCAAGTAAGTATAAAATTTTGTAAGTTTGCTTTATTTGGTCTTGAAAGTTTAGATTATTTCTTAATGTTTGCAAAACTTCTAACTTAATTCATTTGCTGTGTATGTTGTAGGGGAGGGTGTGTGTGTTTGTGTATTTATGTGTAGTTTGAGTGGTATTTTGTACAGTGTTGTATCTGCTAGAACAAAACGCAGATGAAACACCTAATTATTTACTGTCCTAGGAGCTGGGAAAATATGGACTGCTCTATTACAATGCACTGTTCATGATTCTGCCCACCCTGGCCATTGCGTATTTCACAGGAGATGCACAAAAGGTAGGACTTTCTAATTACGGTTTAATGGCTTACGTTGATGAACTGCATTATTATTTATGATGAAAAGATAGGCTTTGTTGTTCAAAAGAAATATGCTTATTAAGTGACCAAAAACTGAGCATTTACTCTTTAAATTGCTAATGTCATGCTAACCTCTTTTCTTGGCGTAAACATTGGATAGTACAAAGATGACTCAAAATAGCTCTGCTGTCAACATAAAAATAGTGCTTGCCAGCTAGTGTCTTTTTCTTACATGCCAGAAGGATAGAGGAAGGGAATTTTTACATTTCTGCTAAACTATAAAATAGGAATAGTAGTAAACTATCCTTGAGAAACAAAAATCTTGAAATAGTAAAATTCTCCAAATCCTAAACAAAATGCTAGGCATTGCTAGAAGTTCTCAGTTTTAGTGTACAGTTGTCATCCTGGTTTAACTCCCAACTTGTTTTTTTTTTCTCAGGAGATATTTAGCATTGTGTGGCAACTTAACCTTATAAAGAACAACTAATATAGTAGTTTACCAATTTTCTGCAAATGTCTAGCTAAATAAATACAGCATAGAGTAGTAAAATAAATCTGGAGAAGAATTTTTCTTTAAAACAAGCCCGTGTAGGAGACAAATTGATAACATATTGTCAGAATTCACAAAATTCTGCAAACTAAATGGAAATCCAGAATTATGGCAAGGATTTCTGTACCAAGATTCCTTCTAATGATTCCCCTGGCTAGTAACTTCTTCAGAATAAGTATGTTGGTCATTTACTCTAAAGACCGTGATTTTTACAAGTTTGTGGGAGCTAAAATAAAAGAGATTTTTAAAAGCTGTTGGACTATTAAATTGTTCTTGAACCAAAGGCTGGAGACTGACAGCTTATGAAGCTGTTTCCCACCCCCCATCATACCTCTTCTTTTAAAGAACTGGTACAGGTCATCTTGAATATACGTGTAAATGTTTTAATGAACTGTGACCTACCTGCCAGCAGGCCTAAAAATGACACCAAAGTAGGAAACGGCTATTTCTCTAATAAAGAGTATTAAATAAGTATTTTGTGGCTGTGAAAAAAAATGGGACAAGAAACTAACATTTATTGAATCCCTATTATGTGTTAGTCACTTTGTATATTTAATATAATGTAGTTTTTATAACAGTCAAGAAAATTTTAATTATACCTATTTTACTAATGTGGAAGGAGAGGTTCAGAGAGACTAAGAAACTTGTCCAGTGTCATACTATTGGGGAATAGTGGAGTCAAGATTTAAACCCAAGCCTGACTCCAAAGGCTGTGTGCTTTGGAGCAGACTAGCGACTAGCAGAAGCACCCCTCACTCTCGAGCTTTGGGACAAGAATATGGTGTGATATATGGTTCTAAATCTTGAGGCAAATCTGAGAAAGTTGGAAGAATTAATTTGCTTAGGGAATATATAAAGTTTCTTTTAGCAGACATTGAACCAAATGGACTAAGAGAGCAATTTGTATGGCCCTTTGGAGGGAGAGTAATCTAGGTCAAGGAAGAGCAGGTTCCAAGTCCTGAGGTGAGAGTGCTTAGCATTTTTTAAATGGGCAAATACCAGGAAAAGTCAAAGTGGGCCTTGAAGAATGCGGAGGAAGAGAAACAAAAGGTACATTCCAGATAGAACTAACAGCATGAGCTCAGGCATACCTGCAAAGACCAGACTCTTCAAATTAGAAGGTAGAAGTCAAAGACCTTAGAAACATTAGCAGAGACCTTAGAGAGCATCTGGTTTGAGCCTCTTATTTCATAGTTGGGGAAACTGGGCCCCAGAGAGGACTAGAACCTAGATTTTTAAGTTCTAAGCAGGTGTTATTACCATTCCCACCATATCACACCCTGATTCCTTCTAAATTAGGACCAATGCTAGACACAAGAATTTGACATTTACTCTGCAGGTAGTGACAAGTCCTTAAAAGTTTGTGACAAAGGGCTGGGTGCAGTGGCTCCCGCCTATAATCCTAGCCCTTGGGGAGTTGTGAGCAGATTGCTTGAGCCTAGGAATTCAAGACCAGCCTGGGCAACATGGCAAAACTCCATCTCTACAAAAAATTCCAAAAAAATTAGCACAAATGGTCGGGTGTGTCTGTAGTCCCAGCTACTGGGGAGGCTGAGGTGGGAGGATCGCTTGAGCCCAGGAGGTCGAGGCTGCAGTGAGCCATGATTGTGCCACTGCACTCCAGCCTGGGTGACAAAGCAAGACTGTGTCTCAAAAAAAAAAAAAAAAATTGTGATGTAAGTGGTACAGTGGGGAGAATTTAGGGCTCTCAGAATGCAGAAAACTAGCCACCTCCAGTTCTGTGCCTGACCACCATCTGACTTTGGATAAATCCCTTCTGCTCTCCCACCTAGCTTTATCATTTGTAAAATGAGTCTCTAGGTACAGCCCTTTCTGGGGTTGAGACAGAGTTTCTGAGGAGTAAAAGCCATGTCATTGTGGAAACAGGCAGCTATTCTCACAGCTGGCATGAGCCCACTACTCCCCTATAATCAGTGCTGATAAACTGCTCTCATTTGTTGGACTTCAGACTTTCCTGACCCACTTTGAATGGGGGCCACTTTGAATGGAAACTTTCTATGTATTGAATTAAAAGATCTCCAAGATAAATGGTTAAATGAAAAAGCACAGTGCAAAATGGTGCATATGATATCCTACCTTTTGGGTAAAATAAAAAGAAAAATAAGAATACCCCCCACGCGCGCACACACACACACACACACACACACACAATTTTTTCACTTATTTAAATAAAGTCTGGAAAAATATACATGAAACTAATAAATTTTTGTGCATATTGTGGGAACAGGGTAAGTAGAACAGGAATGGGAGGGAGACTTCTCAAACTATTCATCTTTCTATATTTTTTTGATTATAGGACCACATAAACGTATTTAAAAACTATATCAAAGGAACAATAAGGAAAAGATAGTTTTTATATAAATGACTACTATCCTGTGATTAACCCTAAATTTGAAAATAACTGGGGACATGGCAAGTCAGTTTTTTATTATCCTAAGTTGCAGACTCTTGACCCACATTGCAGTTTGAAGCAAAATCGATGCAAATTATTCTGAAAGTCTCACTGTTAAATTTAGTAGGCAGAAGAGGGAAAACTTCCCTTTGTTAGGACAAGAATCCAACAAGGGGGCTCTGAAAGGCCAGCTCCCCAGAGAGACAGGAGTTGGATACAGCAGTTGATGGGGTTGATACAGCCTTTAAGCAAGAGTTGGAGGCCAACGATGAAAAAAACGAAATATATTACCATAAGAATGTAAAGGAAAGTTCCAGTTGAAAAACTCGTCCCAGTGAGCACATAATGCAAGGTCTTGGCAAAGCATTTTGAGAAACCAAACTAGTTGTGTGTGTGTTTGTGTGTGTGTGTGTGTGTATACATATTTAAAGTTTATCCAAGGTTCTCAAAGTTCTGGGTTTACCAGAAACCAAGGAACAAATAAATATATTCAGCACTTAGTTTTTAAAACATGTATCTTCTAACTTAAAAACATTTTTTTAAACTATGCCTCATGCAAAAACCAGCTTACTGTTAATAAAAGATACCTAGTTAACATAGATAAAGGCAGAGTGGACATCATTTGACCAATGACTTTCCAAAGCATCAGTACAGATTGTGTTTAAACTTACTAATTGCTACCTCCAGATGGGATTTTTTTTTTAGTACAAAGCCAGTGATTCAGTCACAGGAGTTGGAGCTTGGCTTTCTGGCAGCACACCCTGCTAGGTGTTCTTACATAGAGATGGAAGAACAGACCACTTGCTGTAGATCTCACAAGGCTAGTTCTGTGGTACGCTGTATAATGTCTCCATTATATCACTGGCTAAATTACATGGTTTAGGGGAGTTATAGGAAAGGTTGCTGCACAAATTGTCTGCCTGGAAGTGTCTCATACTAAGCATTGCTGACTAAATAATGAAGAAATTTTAGGCTGTTAAGTTAGCCTGTTTAGAGTTATTCATCTTTTCTGGATTGCTCTGTGGACCACACAGATTGATTTTCAGACTCTGAATTATTCTCACCACATAGAGACAGATTCCTTCTGTTTTCTGGGCCTTGGTGTTCCCATATGTAAAACAGGTGGGTTGGATCAATTATTCTTTAGTTATGAATGAATAGAACTTTCTCTTTGCCAGTATATTATTTGACTGACACTGTTATGTTTCTAACCATTCTTACCTCTGAGATATCTCTTTTTAAATAAGAGCAAGTGACCTACTTGGCAAGCTGGAATGTGTAGTTTTGACATGATCTGTAGGTTTTATTTTATATAGGTGGCACCACTGACATTATCTTCTTTCTGCCTTAGCAAGTTTCCTAACAGTTTACTTTCAGATAAGGATTCAATTTTTTTCTTAGTAATTTTTCAGGGAAAGAATTTTCAGGAATAGAATATCATTTATTAATCTTTTTTCTTTACCATGACATGCAAACTCAGTGGTTTATTTTTAGACTTCATGGTAAACAGAGATGTGTCAAAACACTAAGAAAATATCTGTCACACTTTGGATTTTAGTTCAGATTTCAAATGAATTGATGATTCAGAAATGGGGAATGGTTGCCTCAAGTGGACATTGAAACTTTTCCATACTTCTGACTAGATTAGGGTTGGTAAATTGTAAATTGGTGCTAAGTTATCCTGTGCTCATTGTAGACATTACCAAGTAGTCACAATATTTTCTTGCTATGCTTACACATAGCCTGAGACTGTTTACCAAGACAGGAGTCTAGACAGCCAGAATCAGTTGATCAGAGCTGGTACAAAAGACAAAATCTGATTGCATCCCTGGATGAGAGTTTAGCCTTTGTATTGATTGTGTAGTTTTTGTGCTAATCTTACTCACATACTCCCTTTCTCTCTTAATTTCCTTAACCTAGGCAACAAAAAAACCCACATTTTTAAAATTAAAAATTTTTTCAAATATTTTTATTTAACTAAAAGTTTTCAACAAAATATCTACTTATACACTGTGACTGTGGTATGTAAACTACTCTTATTTTACATATAAAGACAAAAAGATGAACCCATCAAAAATAATACCTACAACAACTTTTCAACACATTGACAGTACAATAAGATATCAAGAGAAACAATAGAAAGTTAAAAAGTGAGGGGATGAAATTAAGGTGTAGAGTTCTTATTAGTTTTCTTTTTGCTTGTTTGTTTATGCACACAGTGTTAAGTTGTTGTCAGCTTAAAATACTGGGTTATTAGGTTGTGTTTGCAAGCCTCATGGTAATGTCAAATAAAAAAGCATACAACAGATAGATAAAAAATGAAAAGCAAGAAATGAAATTATACCACCACAGAAAATCACCTTCACTAAAAGGAAGACAGGAAGGAAGGAAAGAAGGAAGAGAAGACCACAGAACTACCAGAACAAAGTGGGCAGGAGCAAATCCTTACTTAACAGTAATAATATTGAATGTAAATGGACTAAACTCTCCAATCAAAAGACATACAGTAGCTAAATGGATAAAAAAAGAAAAAAAAAAAAAGACCCAGTGATCTGTTGCTTACAAGACACACACTTCACTTGTAAAGATTCACATAGACTGAAAATAAAGGGATGGAAAAATATATTACATGCCAATGGAGACCAAAAAAGAGCAGAAGTAGCTATACTTACGTCAGACAGTATACATTTTAAGATAAAAACTGTAAGACACAAAGAAGGTCACTATATAATGATAAAGGGGTAAATTGAGCAAGAGGATATAACAGTTGTAAATATATATGCACCCAACACTGGAACACCCGGATATATTTTAAGTTAATATACATTAACTTAAATTAACCAAATAAATGAAAGATCTCTACAGTGAAAACTATAAAACACTGATGCAAGAATGCACCGATATATAAAACAAATACTACTAGTGCTAAAGAGAGAGATAGATCCCAATACAGTAATAGCTGGAAACTACAACACCCCAGTTTCAGCATTGGACAGATCTTTCAGACAGAAAGTCAACAAAGAAACATTGGATTTAATCTGCACTGTAGACCAAATGGGTCTAATAGATATTTACGGAACATTTCGTCCAGTGGCTGCAGGATACACATTCTTTTTCCCAGCACATGGATCCTTCTCAAGGATAGACCATATGTTAGGTCACAAGACAAGTCTTAAAACATTCAAAAAATTGAAATAATATCCAGCATCTTCTCTGACCACAATGGAATAAAGCTAGAAGTTAATAACGAGGGATTTTTGAATACATGGAAATTAAACAATATGTTCCTGAATGACAAATGGGTTAATGAAGAAATTAAGATGGAAATTAAAAAATTTTTTGAAACAAATGATAATGGAAAACCAAAACTTATGGTATACAGCAAAAACAGTACTGAGAGGATAAGTTTACAACTGTAAATGCCTACATCAAAAAAAAAAAAAAAAGAAAAACTTCAAATAAACAACCTAATGATACATCTTAAAGAACTAGAAAAGCAAGTTCTTTTGGGTTCCAAACCCAAAATTAGTAGAAGAAAAGAAATAATAAAAATCAGGGCAGAAATAAATGAATTTGAAATGAAGAAAACAATACAAAAGATTAATGAAACAAAAAGTTGGTTTTCTGAAATGAAAAAATTGACAAACCTTTAGCCAGACTAAGAAAAAAAGAGAGAAGACCCAAATAAATAATATCAGAGCTGAAAAAGGAGACGTTACAACTGATACCACAGAAATTCAAAAGATCATTATTGGCTACTATGAGCAACTGTGTGCCAATAGATTGGAAAAGCTGAAACAAATGGATAAATGCTGGACACATACAACCTACCAAGATTGAATCATGTAGAAATCCAAAACCTGAACAGACCAGTAACAAGGAATGAGATCAAAGCTGTAATAAAAACTCTCCAAGCAAAGGAAAGCCTGGATATGGCTTCACTACTGAATTCTACGAAACATTTAAAGAAGAACTAATGCCAATCTTACTGAAACTATTCCAAAAAATAGAGGAGGAGGGCATACTTCCAAATTCATTCTACAAGGCCAGTGTTACCCTGATACCAAAATCAGACAAAGATGCATTAAACACACACACACGCGCGCACACACACACACAACACAGAACTGTAGGCCAATGTCACTGATGAATAGTAGTGGAGAAATCCTCAACAAAAATACTAGCAAACCAAATTCAACAACAAATTAAAAAGATCATTCATCATGACCAAGTGGGATTTATCCTAGGGATGCAAGGATGGTTCAGGATACACAAATCAATTAATGTAATACATCATATCAACAGAATGAAGGACAACAACCAAATGATCATTTCGATTGATTGATGGTGGAAAAAACATTTGATAAAATTCAAAATCCCTTCATGATAAAAATCCTCAAAAAACTGAGTATAGAAGGAAAAACAATATATGACAGATGAATGGGTAGTATCATACTGAATAGGGAAAAATGGAAAGCCTTTTTTCTAAGATCAGAACACAACAAGGATGCCCACTTTCACCACTGTTACTCAGTGTAATACTGGAAGTCCTAGCTAAATCAATCAGACAAGAGAAAGAAAGGGCATCCAGATTGAAAAAGAAGTCAAATTATCCTGGTTTGCAGATGATATGATCATGTACTTAGAAAAACCTAAAGACTCTACCAAAAAACTATTAGAACTGATAAATTCACTAAAATTGCAGGATACAAAATCAACATACAAAAATCAGTGGCATTTCCATATGGCTATAGCAAACGATTTGAAAAGGAAATCAAGAAAGTAATTACATTTATAATAGCTACAAATGAAATAAAATACTTTAACTTAAAATTAACCAAAGAAGTGAAAAGTCTTTACAGTGAAAGCCATAAAACACTGATGCAAGAAATTGAAAAGGACACAAGAAAATGGAAAGCTATTCCATGTTCATGGATTGGAAAAATCAATATTGTTAAAATGTTCATGCTGCCTGAAGCAATCTACAGATTTAATTCAACCCCTGTCAAAATACCAGTGAAATTCTTCACAGAAGTAGAAAAAAATATCCTAAAATTTATGTGGAACCACAAAAGACCCAGAATAGCCAAAGCCATCCTAAGCAAAGAGAACAAAACTGGAGGAATCACATTACCTGACTTCAAATTATACTACAGAGCTATAGTAACCAAAACAGCATGGTACTGTCATAAAAACAGACATATAGATCAGTGAAATCTATGTGTCTGAATAGAACACAGAACTAAATCCATACATCTACAGTAAACTAATTTTTGACAATGGTGCCAAGAACATACACTGGGGAAGGGACAGTCTCTTCAGTGTATGGTTCAGGGAAAGCCGGGTGTACATATGCAAAAAATGACGCTAGATCCCTATCTCCTGCCTTGGACAAAAATCAAATCATAATGGATTAAAGACTTATCTAAAACTTCAAAGTATGAAACTAGTAGAAGAAAATATTGGGGAAACTCTCCAGCATATTGGACTGGGCAAGGATTTCTTAGTAATACCCCACAAGCACAGACAACCAAAGTAAAAATGGACAGAGGGAATCACATCAAGTTAAAAAGCTTCTGCACAGTGAAGAAAACAACAGTCAAGAGACAACCCACAGAATGGGAGAAAATATTTGTAAATATTTGAAAAACAGCTCTATAGGAAAAAATCTAGTAATCTGATTAAAATAATTGGCAAAAGATCTGAGTAGACATTTCTCAAAAGAAGACATACAGATGGCAAACAGTCATATACAAAAAGTGCTAAACATTGTTGATCATCAGAGAAATGCAAACCAAAACTACAATGAGATATCATCTCACCTTAGTTAAAAAGGTTTTTAACCAAAAGTCAGGCAATAACAAATGCTGGCAAGGATGTGAATAAAAGGGAACCCTCATACACTCTTGGTGGGAATCTAAATTAGTATAAGCACTATGGAGAACAGTTTGGAGGTTCCTCAAAAAACTAAAAATACAGCTACCATACAATCTAGCAATCCCACTGCTGGGTAAAACCCAAAAGAAAGGAAATCAGTATATTGAGGAGATACCCCTATTTTGTAGCACTATTCACCAAGATTTGGAAGCAACTCGAGTGTCCATCAGCGAATGAATGGATAAAGAAAATGTGGTACATATAAACAATGGAGTACAATTCAGCCATAAAAAAAAGGAGATGCTGAAATTTGCAACAACATGGATGGAACTGGAGGTCATTATGTTAAGGAAATAAGGCAGGCACAGAAAAACAAACTTCACGTGTTCTCATTTATTTATGGGAACTAAACATTAAAACAATTGATCTGATGGAGATAGAAAGTAGGTGGTTTACCAGAGGCTGGCAAGGGTAGTAGGGGGGTGAGGAAAGCTGGAAGGGTTAAGAGATACAAAAAATGGTTAGAAAAAATGAATAAGAACTAGTATTTGGTAGCACAACAAGATAATTGTTCATTTCAAAATATAGCTAAAAGAGTATAATTGGATTGTTTGTAATACAAAGGATAAATGCTTGAGGGGATGGATACCCCATTTACCCTGATGTGATGATGGTGATTATTGTTATTATTTTGAGACGGAGTTTTACTCTTCTTGCCCAGGCTGGAGTGCAATGGTGCGATCTCGGCTCACTGCAACCTCTGCCTCCTGGGTTCAAGTTATTCTCTTGCCTCAGCCTCCTGAGTAGCTGGGATTACAGGTGCACGCCACCACGCCCAGCTAATTTTTGTATTTTTCGTAGAGATAGGGTTTCTCCGTGTTGGTCAAGCTGATCTTGAACTCCTGACCTTAGGTGATCCGCCTACTTCGGCCTCCCAAAGTGCTGGGATTATAGGTGTGAGCCACCGAGCCCAGCCCATGATGTGATTATTACACATTGCATGCCTGTATCAAAATAGCCTCAAATAACCCATAAATATATACCTACCATGTTATTTAAAAATAACAATTAAACAAATTTAAAAAAAATAAAAGCGTAGTTATAGGTAGTGGTAGGTCCATATAACATTTGCTGTCTCCCGTTGATTATGGGACATTGTTTTCACTCCTGGGGTATTTACATTATACTGGCACCTGTAGCGCTAAAGACTTTATTCAAAACAGAAGGAAAGCCTAAGAAGCATCTTTGTTTATTAAATCTGTAATCACAGCTACCAGTCAGCCAAGACCGAAGATTCCAGGCCTTGTGGCAGAGAGCCTGTTTAGTTCTGTGTCACACACAGAATGACCAGGTAGGTCATTCTCTTCACAATGGCTCTTTATCAGAGCTTTCTCTAGAAGCAGAAGTTTTGTTTCATTTTAAATGTTTTGTTTTTTTCCTGATTAACAAAATGTATGTTCACCATGCCTTCTATTTCCTATCTTAGGGAGAATAAAAAATTCGCTTGCAAATCTACCACCAGGAGATAACTGGTGGAAGTTTAAGCGAATAATTTCTTCTGTATGTAAATTCTGTCTACATTTAAAGTGACTGCATTTTAGTCTCTCAGTTGATCCTCACAGGAGGCAGATAGAGCAGACTGTTTTCTACATTCATAACATAGGTAGAGGCTCACTGATGTTAAATAACTATGATGGCCACATGGAAAGTTAATGGCAGTTAGAATTAGAACTCCTGCTATTTGACTCACTGATTGGTAACCACGTGGAGCCATAAAGGAAAAAAAAATTGAGAACATGTTGTTGCCTTGCCTTTGTTTTTTTTTGCGGCAGTACAGATGGAAAGACTATAGGTTATGGAGCTGAACAGGTACTTACTAGCTAGATAATTTTGGAAAAGTTACTGAATGTTTCTGAGCCTGGTACATAATAGGCACTTAATAAGCAGTAGTTTTTATTTTTTTTTAATGCTGTCTTTATGGCAGGGAGAATGGGCTCCTTTGCACTGTAGGGACTGCCAGGGTTCTGTTTTTCCTACAGCTGTACTTTCAAATGGCTGCTGCTGCTTTTGTTGCAGCCAAAGATCTATTCCTGTGGCGAAGCAGAGGAATGCAACAGCGTGCTTGTGCCATAGACTGACTTTCTCCAGAGACAGGCCAAATACTTAGAGAAATAAAAAAAAAGTCCCATGAGAATTATTTTTCTGTTTTTGATTTTTATCTGAATGGAACCATATCCATGAGATTTATTTTAATGTCCTGCAGATATCATTATTATGTCCCCAAAGGAGACTGTGCAGTATATATTTGGGGCATTTTTCTGAATCAAATGTAACATTCAGTGTAGACAGCCTTGGGGCTTAGCATATGTAGACTCATGTTTACCGTATATAACCTGTGTGACCTAAAGTAAGTTACCCGTCTTCTGGGTATAAGAAGATCTGGCCTTTCTGTCCCACAGGTTGTCATGGCAATCAAATGACATGATACATGCAGAAGCACTTGGTAAACCATAAGGCACTCCAAAAATGTATGGCAGCACTTTTTTAATCATTTGCTGCTTGATTATCAGGAAGCCTGATTAAACCATCTTTAGCATTGTGCCTCAAATCCTGCCTGGGGCCTGGCACATGGGACTTAATAGATGTCAGAATTGTACACCGAAAGCAGAGGAGATATTTAGAGCTAGAGGAGAGAAGAAACTTAGGTTTATGAGAGGTTTATTTGAGGTCTTTGCCAAATAATTCTGATTACTGAACCACTGATTAGGTCACTGATAAAAAAAAAAATTAAAAGTAATGATTATATATAGTAGCTGACATCATTTATTGAGCCAGATTCCCTCCATGTCAGTGATTGTATCCATATATATATTTTTTGTAATTCTGATAACAACCCTGTAGATGAGGCCTTATTATTCCTCTTTTTACATATGTAGAAACTAAGGTTCAGAGAATTATCATTGTCCCTTACAACAACTTATTCTGTATTCTTAATGACTTTGGGATAAAAGAATAGCTTAGCCAGGAAAGGAAGATAATTTAGAGCTGGAGGAAAGGTTTTAGGGCTGAGATTTCTTTTATGTGTTTTAGCTTGGGTAAAATAAACTCTCTACTTTTCAAGCTGATCTAATACTCCTGTCACAACTGGAAGAAGCCTTAATACCCATGCAGTTCTCCTTTACAGAAGCTCAGTCTAGCATAATGAAGCAGTGGTGAGGTGGTACAAGACACCAGGCTTCTGAATCCTGGTCCACCTACTTTTCTAGGTACAATGGCTTTTCTTGCAGGGTATGCGTAACCTTTCCATTGCCTAATTGATGGCTTACTGGGTTATGCCTTGTCTGTTCAAAGAAAAAAAAAAAAAACTTAGTGCAAAGCTAATGAGTTACATGCAGTTCAAATGACCTTTAATTATTAGAAGAAAAGTTAAAATTATATATTTTGTTAACTATACCTTAATAAAGCTTGGGGCGTGGGGCGCAGGAAACAGGGCAAACTGATAGTGTAAGAAACAGTTAAAATGTGAACAATTAAAATGTAAACATACTTGAGATTCTGGTCCAGTTTCAGATAAATGTGAAATAAAACTTTTTTTAAAAACAAATTATGTAGATTTAACATTCAACTTAAATACAGTTAGTAGCATGTACAAGCAGGTGTGTGGGTGTATTAAAAAGCAAAGTTCAGAGGGGGTCAGGGATTAAAACAAAAGCAAAGTTCACCTCATCTGTGTGTAGAAAATGATGCTGGGCCACAGATCATGGATGTTTAATCTACTGCCACTAGTATTTGTGCTTAGCACTTCTAAGTGCATGGAACTCTGCAGAAATGACATGTGACACATTTCCTGCTCCCAAGGAACTTACAGTCTTGCTAGCAGAAGCTGGTCTCCTGAGTCGTAGGCCAGTTTATTGTGCGTTACTGATTTTTCATCAGAGAGGAGGTTGTGTTTACAGGTATGAAGGAGCGTAGCATGAGATTGTATGCATGAGTTCTCATGTCTTCCATTCATCCAGTAAACAGTTATTAAACACCTACTATTTTCTGATCACTTTGTTAAATACCATGGATACAGAGATAAATCATCAAGGTATTTGCAATGTCTGTCTGGAGAGATAGTCATGTACATAAAGATGTCCATATATGTACACATACTTAGTAAGGAACCTGATAAAAGTAGCATTTAGTCTTCTCTTGAGTTTGGCAGGAAAGATACTAATGTGCAACTTAGGTTTTTGTGAAAGCTTCCTAGTGGAAGCATCATTTGGTACAGGTTTATAATTCAAATCAGGAACTGAATGTGGTCTTTCATTTCCTAGCCATGATGGAATAACACGGACAGGGTTTACCTTCCTACATTAAGGTACTAGAAAATCAAACATTTATCAAACAACATTTTTCAGTCTTTGGATGACAGGCTGTGAAGGATTGTTAAGAAAGGATGAGAAGAGAAAAGAAAGCTATAACAAAAGACTCAATTGGAACTTTTAGGGATGAAAAATATCTGAATTGAAAAATAAAGTGGAAGGAATGAAACAGCAGATTAGGAGAAAAGATCAGTGAATTAAAGACAGTAATGGAAACTGTCCAAGATGAAGCGTATAGAGGAAAAAAGATTGTAAAGCAAATGAACACAATATTAGTGACCTGTGGGGCAATATCAAGAAGTCTATGAAGGGTGGGAGTAGAAATTTTTTTTCTGCAAATTTGATGAAAACTTTAAAGGCACACACACAAGGAGCTCAGTAAACACAGAATGTAAAGGAAACTGTACCATAAAGAGGAACATTTCATAATGATAAAATGGGTTAATTCCTCAAAAGGATATAATGGTCCTAAGTGTATATATTCTTGATGAGAGAGCTCCAAAATATATGAAGTAAAAACTGATAGAACAGAAAGGAGAAATAGACCAACCCACAATTACAATTGGGATCTTAATATTTTTAACTCAGTAATTGATAAAACAGTGAAACTGGAAGTCAGTAAAGTATAGAAGACTTGGATAATACTGTCAACAAGCTTGATCTACTTGACATTAAAGAACAATCCACTCAACAACAGCAGCGTACACATTCTTTTCAAGTGCACATTGGGTATATACCAAGATAAACTATATTCTGGGCCATAAAATGAGTCTTAATAGTTTAAAAGAATTGAAACCATACAAAGTATATTCCCTGACCAGAACAATATTAAGGTAGAAATTAATGGCATAAAGATATTTGGAAAATCCCCAAATATTTGCAAATTAGCACACCTCTAAATAATTCATAGACAAAGAAAAATCACAAAGAAAATCAGAAAATATTTTGAACAATGAAAATCAAAGCACAACATAGTGGCTGGGTGTGGTGGCTCACTCCTGCAATCCCAGCATTTTGAGAGGCTGAGATAGGTGGATCACTTGAGGTCAGGAGTTTGAGACCAACCTGGTCAACATGGCAAAACCTCGTGTCTACTAAAAATACAAAAATTAGCCAGGCATGGTGGCTCACACCTGTAATCCTAGCTACGTGGGATACTGAAGCACGAGAATCACTTGAATCCAGGAGGCAGAGATTGCAGTGAGCCAAGATAGCACCTCTGCACTCCAGCCTCGGCAACAGACCCTGGTTGTTTTTGTGTCTGTCTCAAAAAACAAAAAAACTACAACATAGGAAAATTTCTGGAATGCAGCCAAAACAGTATATAGAGGGAAACCCATAAAATTAATTATATAAATTAAATCCCTAAATGCTTATTTTAGAAAAGAAGAAAGATCTAAAATGAGTGATCTAAGCCTCTGTCTTAAGAAAGTAGCTGGGATGAGGTGGCTCATGCCTGTAATTCCAATGCTTTGGGAGCCTGAGGTAGGAAGATTACTTGAGGTCAGGAGTTCACGGCCAGCCTGGGCAATATAGTGAGACCTGTCTTTTAAGAAGGAAGAATAAAAAAAGGAAACTAGAAAATTAAATCCAAAATAAACATAAGAAATGTAAGATTGTAAGATAAGAATAGAAATCAATGCAATGAAAACCAATGAAACTAAAAGCTAAGATTTTTTTTAAAAAAGATTAATAAAATTGCTAATTCATAGCCAATTAATCAGGCCAAAAAGTGAGTTTACATAAATTATCAATATCAGAAATTAAAGAAGGACCTCATTACAGAGCAGGTATATTTTAAAAGAATAGTAAGAGAATATTATGAACAATATTATGCCAATAAACTTGACAACTGAGACAAAATAGATTCTTGGAAAAGACAAACTATGTACCAAAGCTCACTCAAGAAGAAATAGGTAATGTATGAATAACTCTACTCTGTTAAGTAATTGATATGGTTTTGCTGTGTCCCCACCCAAATCTCATCTTGAATTGTAGTTCCCATATTCCCCATGTGTCGTGGGAGGGACCAGGTGGAGATAATTGAATCATGGGGGGCAGTTTCCTCATCTTGTTCTTGTGATAGTGAGTTCTTACGAGATCTGATGATTTTATAAGGGTCTTCCCCCTTTGCTGGGCACTCATTCTTGCCACCCTGTGAAGAGGTGCCTTCTGCCATGATTGTAAGTTTCCTGAGGCCTCCCCAGCCATGCGGAGCTGTGAGTCAATTAAACCTCTTTCTTTTATAAATTACCCAGTCTCAGGTATTCCTTTATAGCAGCATGAGAAGAGACTAATACAGTAATTAAATAGGTCTGTTTAATTGAAATTAATCATAAGCCTTAATTAATAATAGGGCTATTATAGCCCTATTTATGTTAAAGAAATTGAATTTGTAGTTAAAAACTTTCCTCAAAATAAAATTTCAGGCCCTGATTGCTTCACTGGAGAATTTGACAAAAAATTTAAGGAAGAAATAATAATTCTACATAAATTCTTCCAGAAAATAGAAGATAGAACACTTCCTTGTTGATTTTATATGGCTAGGATTACCTTCTGCCAAAATCTGACAAAAACATTACAAGGGGGGAGAAAGTACAGTACAAAAAAATCCAGCAATATATTAAAAGGGCAGTATATCATGACCATATTGTGTTTATCTCAGGAATTAAGGTTAATTTAACATTTGAAAATCGATCAGTGCAGTTTACCATATTAACAAGAATATAGTAGAACTATCCTAAATAGATGCAGAAAACCTATTTGACAAAAGGTGACACCCACTCATGAGTGTAAAATTCTCAATAAACTAGGAATAGAAGGGAACTTTCTCAGCATAAGAAAGGACATCTACCAAAGAATCTATTGCTGACATATTTAATGGTGAAAGAAAGACTGAATACTTTTTCACTAAGATTTGAGAACAAGGCGAGGATGTCTGTACTCATATAGTGTTCTATTCAGTGTTATGTTGAAGAACTCCATCTGTATAATATAGATTTGAAAGGAAGAAGCAAAACTGTGTGTATTAAAAACATGATGATATATGTAGAAAATCTTAAAGAATCTAGAAAAAAGTGATTGGAACTAATTAGCAAGTTTGTACAGTACAAGGTCAATATGCAAAAATTAACTGTAGCTCCACAAAACAGCAGTGAACACTTGGAAGCTAAGTAAAAAATACCACTTATAATAGCTTCAGATTATAAAGTACTTGGGGGATAAATTTAACAAAATATGTTACCTGTATGCTGAAAACTACAAAACACTAGTGAGATAAATTTTAAAAGACCTAAATAAGTGATTTTTATGTTTATTAATTAGATGGTTTGATATAATTTGTCAGTTCTTAGCAAATTCATCTATAGATTCAACACCACCCCAACTCTATGGGAAGATTTTTGTAGATATTGACAAGCAGATTTTTAAATTTATGTGGAATTGCAAAGGACTTAGTATAGTCAAATCAGTTTTCAAAAATAACAGCTTTAGAGGATTTACCCTACTTGATTTCAACACTTCTTATAAAGCTTCAGTAATCAAGACACTGTGATATTGGATTAAGAGTAGACAGACCAGTGAAACAGAACAGAGAATCTAGAAATAGAAATATACCATGTGGGCAATCATTTTTGTCAAAGGTGTGAAAATAGATCAATGAGGAAAAGATAATGTCTTCAGCAAATGTTGGTAGAACAATTTGACATCTGTATGCAAAATAGTGAACCTTGACTGTGACCTTGTGGAATATACAAACATTAATCAGGAAAGTGTTATAGGTTAAATTGTGTCCCTCCCCTTCCAGATTCATATATTGAAGTCCTAATCCTTAGTACCTCACAATAAATCTTATTTTGAAATGTGATGATTGAGGTGTAATTAGTTAGGATCAGGTCATACGGGAGTAGGGTGGGTCACTAATTCAATATGACTGGTGTTCTTACTAAGAAGGGAAATCAAGGGCCAGCAGGGTGGCTCACACCTATAATCCTAGTGCTTTGGGAGGCCGTGGTGGAAGGATCACTTGAGGCCAGAAGTTTGAGACCAACCTGGGCAACAAAGCAAGACCCTGTCTCTACAAAAGAACTTAAAAAATATTAGCCAGATATGGTGGTGCACACCTATAGTCTTAGCTGTTCAGGAGGCTGAGGTGGAAGGATTATTTAAGTTTCGGAGTTCAAGGATGCTGTGACCCATGATCACGCCACTGTACTCCAGACTGGTTGACAAAGCAAGACCTTGCTTAAAAAAAAGGTTGGGGGGCGGGGTGGGAAATTAGGACACAGGTATGCACACAGGGAGAACACCATGTGAACATGAAGTTAGACATCAGGGTGATACCTCTACAAGCTAAAAAAATACCAAAGATTGCCAACAAACCACTAGAAGCTAGGGGAGAGGCAAGAAAAAGATTGTGTCTCAGTTCTTAGAAGGAGCCAATCCTGTAGACACTTTCATCTTGGAGTTCTACCCTCCAGAACTGTGAGACAACAAATTTCTGCCATTTAAGCTACTCAGTTTTGTGGTGCTTTGTTATGGCAGCTCTAGCAAACTAATGTTAAAAGGTTCATAGACCTAACTGTAAAAGCTAAAACCATAAAACTAGAAGAAAAGATAGGAGAAGATCTTTGACTTTTGGTTACACCCAGGTTTCATTAAAAAGTTATAAGCAAGAATTATAAAAGACAATATTGATGTTAGACTACATCAACATTAACATTTTTTGCTCTTCAAAAGACACTATTAAGAAAATGCAAGGTGAGGCTGGGCATGGTGGCTCACGACTGTAATCCCAGCACTTTGGGAGGCTGAGGCGGGCGGATCACTTGAGGTCTGGAGTTCAGGACCAGCCTGGCCAACATGGCGAAACCCCATCTCTACTAAAAAATACAAAAATTAGCTGGGTGTGGTGGCATGCACCTGTAATCCCAGCTAGTTGGAAGGCTGAGGCAGGAGAATCACTTGAACCCAGGAGACGGAGGTTGCAGTGAGCCGAGTTCGTGCCACTGCACTCCAGCCTGGGCGACATAGTGAGACTCTGTCTTAAAAAAAAAAAAAAGAAAATGGAAGGTGAGTCACAGACTGGGAAAAAATATTTGTATTTTATGTATGTGTGTGTATAGCATATGTGTGATTAAGGACTTTTATCTAGAATATATTTTTAAAAACTCGTGCAGCTCAGTAATAAGACAAATAATGTGAATAAAAATTTGGCAAAAGAGGCCGGGCACCTCTTTTGTACCTCTGTAATCCCAGCACTTTGGGAAGCTAGGGCGGGCGGATCACTTGAAGTCAGGAGTTCGTGACCAGCCTGGCTAACATGGTGAAACCCTGTCTCTACTAAAAATACAAAAATTAGCCGGGTGTGGTGGCATGTGCCTGTAATCCCAGCTACCCGGGAGGCGGAGGAAGGAGAATCGCTTGAACCCAGGAGGCAGAGGTTGTAGTGAGCTGAGATCACACCACTACACTCCAGCCTGCGCGACAGGGTGAGACTCTGTCTCAAAAAAAAAAAAAAAAATGGCAAAAGATTTAGACAGACACTTCACCAAAGAAGAAATGCTAATGTCAAAGATTAAAAGATACTCAATATTGATAGTCTTTAGGGAAATGCAAATTAAAATGAGAAAATATCACTTAACCACTTATTAGAATGGCCTGTAACAGTTCCAAGTGTTGGTGAGAATATAGATCAGTGGGAGCTCTTATATAGTGCTGGTGAGAATACAAAATTGTGTAGCTACTTTGGAAAACAGCTTGGCAGTTTCTTACGAAGTTAAAGATACACCTAACCAAATGAACCAGCAATCCCATTTTCTAGCTATTTACCCAAGATAAATAAAAACATGTCAGTTGGGAGACTTGTAACGGAAGGTTCAAAGGTTCATAATAACTTGTGGAAATAACCCAAATAAGTGTCAATTACCTGGTGTTTGGATAAACAAATTGTGGTATACCCATAAGATAGAATACTAATTGGCAATAAAAATGAATGAATTACTGATACATACATAGGATGGATGAGTCCTAGGAGCATAATGCCAAGTGAAAGAGAAGGAAGACACTAGAGTACATGCTATACAATTCCACTTGTAGGAAATTGTTGAACAGCGAAGTTATAGTAACAGAAAGTAGATCAGAGGTTGCCAGGGGCTAGAAATGGAGGGGAGATTGACTCAATGGGGAGGAGGGAACTTTGGAAGGAGTTGATTTCTTTATCGTGATTGTAATGGTGGTTACATGATTATACATTTGTGACTACTCATTGAATTGAACACTTAAAATTAATTTATTTTTCATGTATTCTACCTCAACAAAGAACTATAAACAAACTGTCTGTCAAGCACTGTTAGGAATATGATTAGATAAATGTGATGTGGGTCCTCCCTTCAGGGAGTTCATTCTGTAGACATGGTATAGAAAGATTTACAGTTCGAAGAGACAAGAGCTCTAGAGAGGAGTACTGAGGCACAAAGGAAGGAGTACTTGATCAGGAAGGGCCCCACAAGGGAGCCTTGAGTTTTAATTTGATGGCTGAACAGGAGTCAGACGAATGTTGAGGGGAAGGACATTCCAGGCAAAGGCATGCAAGTAAGAAAGTGTATGGTATGTTTTATAAGCCACAGGGAGCCTGGTATTGTTGGAGCCCTGGTGCCATCAGATTTATGCGGAAGTAGCAAAAGTTGAAGCTGGACAGGTTAGCAGAGATAAAAAGGTGGAATGTTTGTCACATTTGCTTATCAAACTCCTATTGCAAAAACAACTAGGTACTTGAGAATCCATTCCTCTTGGACAAGAGATGAGATGATCAGTGTACCCTTTCATTTCTCTTTATTCCTTTCCTTTTGGCTTAACACAGACAACAACAACAACACAAAATACCTTGTTTTTAGAATGAACCGTTTTAAAACAGTAATTCTCCTTGAATAGACCTCAGCTGAATTTGTATAACTAAGGCTGTATTTAAGCTTTCACATGTTACAGAAAGGAAACATGTTTTAATGTTTGAGAAAGCCTTTAGTACTAGCACATTAATAGCCATCTGAAAGAACTGAGATTAGCCAAATGTGGCTTGTGCCTTCAAGGAAATACCAGTTTCTTTGCACCAATAGTGAGAAGTATAAAATCCCCACGTTACATTTTGGATGGGAGAAAATCTTATGAAACTACTTACTAGTTCAACTCTGTATACATGAAATCTTTGAACATCACTCTCTATCCTTGGAGTAATTCAGGGAAACATATACCTGTGTGTGTGTGTGTGTGTGTGTGTGTGTGTGTGTCTGTGTCTGTGTCTGTGTCTGTGTCTGTGTTGGAGGCAGACTCGTAGAAGGATTTACATTAAAACGGGATAGCTGATTTTGAAGGCCTGGTCTAAAATTTAATGCTTTCTTGTGTGTTGCAGGCTGTGGAGTTTGAAGGCTGGGCTGACACCCTCTTTCTTCTGCAGTTCACCCTCTCCTGTGTGATGGGGTAAGCCTTTGTTACCTTGTTAGCAGATAGTTTTCCTAAAGAAATAGGTTAGAGAAATTTGCATGCCTCTTTTCTCAATATCTTTAGGTCTCCTGAGTGTGTCAGCCTAGGATAATTAAGCCTCCAGATTCAGGTGGTTTCATAGCTCTTGGGAATGTGCTCTTAGGGCTACTGAATTGATACCTTAGAAGGATGAAGAAAAGAAAAAATTTACCTGATAACCTGCTGTTTAGTAAGCACCATTATATTTCAACATGCATTATATAGTTTTATCTCTATACTGACCATTTGACAGATAGAACTTTAGTAAATTGTCTAAATTTGCGCACTTTGTAGGTGGCAGTGG
Source organism: Homo sapiens (assembly GCF_000001405.40). NCBI lineage: Eukaryota > Metazoa > Chordata > Mammalia > Primates > Hominidae > Homo > Homo sapiens. Next base: position 67,021,188 of record NC_000001.11, on the reverse strand, counting down.
CAGCATTTGAATTTGGGGCAGTTTGACCCCTCTTTACCATGTTTTCTTCCTCATAGGAGAGAATATGTAGAGGTTAAGAGGATACCTGCAAACGTGCCTCTTATCCTCATGTCCATATTTCTCTAATGTGTTTTTTTTCCTCAGCCAGTCAGTTTAGTTGCTATTTGTGACTGGATCTGGCACACAGTGAGCAGGTGCTTCAAAATAAAGTTGACCTGATGCCTTGGTACTTAAGCTGAGAAGCCTCAGTGTAAATCAGAGAGTTCCAACTGCTGCCACTTAGTTGTTAAGTGAACCTGTATCCCCTCTTAAAGTAGTTTTAATTTGGTTTTCTTCAATATTTAAGGATCTCTCTTGTCTTCGTCTGGCCCAGAGGACATGTTGTCCTTATGGAAGGTGCACAACTGCATTTTAGGGTCTGTGAGCTCTGAGCTTTCTGTCTGGCTGGCTTAGGTGTATTAGTAGGAAGCATGATCTATAAAAATAGTCATGATTGTAAGAGATGGTTCAGGGTTTTGATGAGGGCAGCAAAGAAAAACTCTTGGTAAGGAGATGAATGTGTTTCTATTTAGTGAAATTTTAAAAATTCTGAAGCTGCAGTATAAGAAGCAGTGAGGTGGGGAAAATTCATAGCTGGTCAGTGACTAGAATGTGCTGGCTTGGCCAACACTGATTGTTTATCTTGGCTAGAGATTAGTATAAAGTGAGAAACTGGATTTTATACCTCTTTCTTCATTCTAGGTTTATCTTAATGTACGCCACAGTACTCTGCACGCAGTATAATTCTGCTCTTACAACTACAATAGTTGGCTGTATTAAGGTAAGTAGAAAAATACTGTTAGCTTTTGGTACCTGCATTATTTGAAAATTGTTCCTTTAAGATAAGAGTCTGTTGATGGCCTTAAGACCCAAATCGTTATTTCCTCACATACTGTCTTAGTTTGACAAATTGTGGTGATAGTTTCTGAAATATTCTTTAAGAATGCAGGGAGGGCATAGTCTCTACTTGGAGGCAGCTTAGCTCTGAAGAGCATGGGAAAAGGAAAATGTATTATCTGAATAGAGGAAGGAATAGAATTAGGTCTATTTCTGACAGGGCAGATTAATAGCTTGGTAGTGATAAGCCTGTCCCTTTAACCCCTAATGAGAACTGCTGTGTTCTCTGCCTCACTGAGGTCTGGCTGTTTTGTAGGGAAAGTATGCTGGCCAGAAGCTAATTGGGGGGGTTTTCCTATGCCTGAGCCAAACCTTAAATGGCTCACTTTTGAAAGCTGTGTCTGACATTTCCAATGATCTCATTTCCTCCTGATCCATTTTATTTGAGGCAGACTAATTTGTCTTCAGCCAGGAGAGCCAAGTTGACTTGAATATTGAGCTAAAGTTGGTGGCTTGAAGCCTGAGGCCTCTTTCATCTGACTTTGTGATTCTAGTGCTTTATGATTCAAGAGGCCACAGCTTGTCTGAATTCCAAATGAATTAGCCAAGTGGGCCTGCTTCCTTAAAAAGGCAAAACCCAGAGAGGTAGGTCCTTAACGTTTGGGGAAAAGAGGGCCATTACCCTTGTGACTTCCTTTCTGATGCCCCATTACTCAGTAGTGAGGGAAGAGATTTCAGAGGTCAAGTTTTTACTGCTCTGCTGTTTATCTTTGTAGTCTCAATAGAGTGGTGCCCACCTGATCTCAGTTTAGAGACTAGATTGGGTTAAAATCCAGAAAGTCTGTGGTTTCAAATCATGAAATTGAACTGTTTGCTGTGAATAGAATTCCAAATTAAGCTGTAACAGGTCAATTTGTGTGAATTCCTTTAGAAAGCTAGAGACAATCTATATGCCAGGGATTGGGCTGGCTGAGACAGTTTTAGGCCCCTCCCCCAAATTAGCTCTAGGTATGTTTTGGTTTTGTAAAGTGAATGCCTCAAGGGCAAAGTGGATGGCTTTCGTCTTCAGCATAAGAGTAGCGAGAATGTGAGAAATAGGCCATGTTTTTAGTTAAGGAGACGGATGATGCCGGAAAGCCTATGTTTAATTTTAATAAGTAAACCTATTTGCCTGGGATTTCTTAGTGTACTTTATCATTATCAACATGGGATACAAATAAAGTCATTCTTGCTTATATAAGGTTTATACTTTCCTTTTGATATATGTTTCTCCTCACAGTAGTCCAAGAACTCCATGGATTTACTCATTCCAGGGTGATTAATTTTACTTACAAACTCCACAGGGAGGCAAAAACTGAATTGTCTGATTAGTTCACTACTGTTCTTGCTTCATACTGGTGCAGGGTATCACTGTTGAAGGATGGCTTGCACATGCAGACAGATGGGAATCTGCTGATACCCTTGCAGGGTCGAAGTCTCACAGGATACAGTGCAGCTTCTGTCATTAGCATCCCAGTTATAACCCATTTAGCTCAGCCATTCCTCCTACAAGAGGCTTTAAGCTTCCTTCTGTGCTTGAGAATCCCCTGCAAATCCTTCGGTCAGCATTCCTTTTTCTCTTCAGCATGGTGGGAAAATCACTTAGGATAACTCATTGAAAGTAGAAATTCCAAGGCCTACCCAGATAGACTCAGTCAGAATCTCTAGAGTAAAGCTTAGAAATGTTTATGTTTAACAGGGTTTCCAGGCAATTGTCGGGTATACTAAAGTTTGAGAATTGCAGTCTTAGTTTTGAGCTATCATGACTCTTCTGTGCTTCTTGATAATTTCTTTTTTGAAGACGTTGGTGTCTTTTCTTGATAGCCAGCCTTGCTTAGGATACCCTAATATATACCTACAGGTTTTCCAACTTCTGATTTTGAGCAGCATGGGTTGGATTCTCTGTCACCTTCATTTCTGAAGTTCCTTGGGCAACTTACATAAATTAATCCACCTCCCTGGATCCCTGTATTCAAATGACGTCCTGTTATACACTTTCCTAAGTTGCCTGCTAGCCTTGTTGTTACATGATACTTAATTTTATTTTTTCCCTTCAAATAATAGGAAAATCCTTTCTAAGGCAACCTCCTGTCTTCATCCTTAGGCCTAGAAGAGGCTGACATAATTTTGAAGGTTCTCTCAAAGGGCGTTTTATTAGAAAAATAATTTTGAAGTTTCTTTTTGGCCTTTTTCAATGTATCAATTTACTTTGTGTCTCATAGGCCTAATCTAGAGGCCTGTGAGAAATAAGTCAGATAAATATATTTTGGGGTAAAATATTTTAATTTCCTTCAGTCCTCACTTTAAAACTTCATAAAGTTTTATATATTAAAAGCCATTTGGGCCAGAGGTCATCAGAGATAGACAAAGAAGTGAAAAAACAAATCTAGATAAGCAGAAAAGAGTAAATTTAAATGTATTGCCCCATATCTTTTTTAGTCATAGTCCTAAGAATGGATTAAACATTTGTGTCCCATTTTAGAAGGTGGCATTGTAGGTACACTAGGCCTCTGTGTATGATGAAGGGAAACAGATCTTTAATAAGAGATGTTTTTGTGGAAACAGAAGAAAAAACCAAGGTTAATGTCTGGAGTAGTGTATAGAGTTTTTTAGAGTCCTTGAGGTATCTTCAGATTGCAGTGGCAATCTGACAGATTTTACTGGATTATAGTTCAAATCAGCATTGAAGTGAACTTTCTGAGTATTCTATACATCAGTAGGCATGAAGGCTGTTTGTATTTAACTTCTGATTTTTCCTGAAGTTTACGTTGTCTAGTTTCAGTTTGTAGGGCTTTAAGAAAAGCACAGTTTCAACTTTCAGTGGCTTAAAGTCAAAAATGGAAGAAAAATTTGAAAATGTTAGTTTGGAAACTTGTAGCCAGGAAAGAATTCAGGTTTTAGTCTAAATATTAGAGAAGTAATAACAACAATAACAATTAATGAGGCTAGAATCTAATTTAAACAGATGTGCTATAGTTTTATTTGAAACATGATTTTTTTCTTCTAGTCTCCCATTTTTACCAAAGATAAATCATAGTAGGATTAATTTATTTGTAAAATAAATTTTAGTCTTATTGTACTTGGCCTGCTTATTTGTATAAAGTGTAATAAGAATAGCGATTGGCCATATAGGCTCTTCTTAGATTAGTTTTATTGGAACTTTTTAATAAGGAATCTTAGATTATTAGACTTTTAAAAGCCTCAAGGCCAGGAGGCTAAGCCAAGGATTTGCCACCAGACTCTAATACCTGTAACAAATTGGGTGAATCTTTCTCCTTTTGATATCATAAAATAACTCGAGGTCCCTTGGTCTGTCAGAAAGTTACATTTTTTAATCACAGGTCAGGAAACTTATAAAGGAACTGTGTAGACAAGGGTCTTTTTATTGGCTTTATAAAGTCAACTTTAATTTCTTCAAGTAGTCTGGTCATATCTGCAAATATGTTATTTTAGTCAAAGTATTGGTAAAATAACCAGTGTCTCTGTGTCCTATTACAAAGAAAACAGATGTGTATTGAACTTATCTAAATAATTATATTCTGATAAGTTAAGAATATTTATAAATAGTTTTTAAATTTGGAGAAATTAGTTAGAAAGATGTTTTAAATTTGTTCACAAAGTATATTTTACCCAATTGTTGTAAATTATAAATAGTTTAGAAGAAAAAAAAGTTTTTTGACTGGAAAACACAGCATTTTTTTTGAAGTCATAAAAATTAGTCTTTTACTAATGTAATTCCTTGTAATTCTTATACTGTTGGATGTTAGGTTAGCAATCCTCATGAATACATCAGTTTTTTAACTAGAATACTGAAAGTTTTTACCTAGTCTAATGGTCGGATCAATAAAGTTATCAGAAACCTATATTTACAACTACTTATCAGGGTCTTTTTTTATTAATTTCTCCGAAGAAGAAGCAAATTTTGGACTCTACCGATTGTAAACTACATTTCGAGAAGAATCAAAGTAAAACAATGATTGTCAATGGAAAACAAAAGTCTTAGAATAGTTAACAATTGACAAGGAAATTTGATTATTTCATTGACATGTACCAATTTAACATAATCATAATTATTACTGATAATATATCTGAAGACATTTCAAATCTTTAGGAATCTCATACAGGTTTAGAACATATATTAATAACACATTTATATAAATATAATGCAGAGAAAGTTAAGCACCATTTTTTTAATGATTTCCATTTGATTTTAACATACTAAATAAGGCTAATATGTTTCTCTTAGACTTCTAGGGGCCCTATTATCTAAAAAGTTAGTTTGAGGTCAAAAAAACTGAATTTGAAATTTTGATTTGGGGAAATATGTCAGATAACAAAGGTTTAAAACAGGATTGCAGGCCACTAAAAGATATCATTAGTCAACGTGATAATTTAAAGATTTTAAAAAGCAAAACCTTTTACTCTTGGTAGAGACTTATAAGACATAATAAAGATACCATGAGTCATACTGAATCTGTTTTTCCCTCTACCCCCTCTTTTTTGTAATTTATTTAGAAGGTAAATAAAATTTTAAAAATTATTTTTTATCAATAGTACATAAAAATTTTGTTTGAAAGAGAAAACTGCCTGGGCTTGGTGGCTCACGTCTGTAATCCCAGCACTTTGGGAGGCCAAGGCAGGGGGATCATTTGAGGCCAGGAGTTTTAGACCAACCTGGCCAACACAGTGAAACCTGTTTCTACCAAAAATACAAAAATTGGCTGAGCATGGTGGCATGCACCTGTAGTTCCAGCTGCTTGGGAGGCTGAGGCAGAAGAATTGCTTGAACCCAGGAGGGAGAGGTTGCAGTGAGCTGAGATCACGCCACTGCACTCCAGCCTGGGCAACAGAGTGAGATCCTGACTCAAAAAAAAACAGAGAAAATTCGATTTTATTTTTGTATTAGTGTATTATTAACATTAAAGTTAATTTTTAATAAAGCCTTGTAAATAAATCTATTTAATTTTAATTAGTTTGACCACAAGATTTTTATACGTTTTTAAATAGCCTCTTAAATTTAAACATTTTTAAAATTTTTTATTTTTGTTTTTTTAATTAAAAACTTTTTAAACGTTTATACTAGGCAAAATCTTTTTTTTTTTTTTTTTTTTTTACAAAAACACATTTTTATGTGTTTTATAACCTTTTTTACTAAAAACACATTTTCCTTTTGGAATATACTTTGCGTATGGAATTGTTTATTTTAATATCTAGTACTTTTAATTATATATATTAATTATGATAGTATCTCTTAGTAACTCTTACTTTTAGTGAAAAACCTAGGAAATAAGTAATTGTAACTATGTGCAGTGCAAGACAAAGAATAGAGCTGTGAACACAATGCCTGGAGGAGTTAATCCTTAGTATGGCCAAGAGACATGGTTGGGCTAGGGAGGACAGGGCCTGGGTGTTGTCCCCAGACCTTTTTTGTCTAGACATTAGAATCTAAAGTCTCAAATTTACAGACATAAGCTCACAGATAAATTAAGTAAGCATTAAAAATATTATAGAAGTAACAGTTCTGTGACCTTACAACATTTAGTAGAGACAGTATAAACCTGTCTGATCAATCCAACCAGGCCAAAAAAAAAAAAAAAAAAAAACTAAAAATTGAAGACATTTTAATTTTATTTTACTAATAATTTTTAAACTTTTAATTTATTAAGGATTACTAAAATCATGTGAACTTGAAAATTATTTGGGCCTATTTAATTTGTGAGTACTAACTTATAAGTTAATTTGATATTATGTAGACAGTATATACACTTAGACATGTATATATAAAAATATAGATGGACACAAATAAAGACTTTATAGCTTTGGTTTTTAAATTTTAGCCATAAGACCAGTAAAATTCACTAGTTTAAAAGAACAGTTGGATTTAAACTTTGTATTCATAAGTGAAAAAGATTAAAGTTTATCTGCCTCACATGGCCCAAGCCCTTATTGTGTTTTAGAGAAAATAGGGTAGTAAATTATATTTTAAAGTGCAGAGAGAGAATTTATATTTTTTAAAAGGAGTTTGAATGTGTTAGTGGAAGATTAAAAATGGATGTCAAGGTAACAGACTTATAGGAACTTATAGGATTTTATAAGGGGACTAATTTTATTTAGAGGGGCATTGTAAAATTTAGTCTGTTTTTTAACTGGATCACTGAGCTCAAGGCAGAGCCCATTAAGCAACAGGGTCAACAAAGTATCTGTAGTTTTTAGGGCCTAATAATTAAAATATGTGGAAAGTAGGCACCGTTGAAAGGCAAAACATATAGAGCTTTACAAATGTAGAATTTTGCTTTTACATTGAATCCCACATCCCCAGAAAGAAAAATGCTATGAAACCAGGTTATGCAATGCTTGTATAGTGTACTTTGATACAGACATTTTTAAAAGTATTTAAACTACATCTTTTAAATCTAAACTCACAAAGAAACAAGTAGTCTCTTGTAGTAATAATCGTTTACTATAAACAGCTGTTACCAGTCACCTCTAAAACTGTAGCTCTTACCGTGGTGATGACTCACCACTCATCTCTCACACACACACAAGTCACATTTCTCCTACAGTACAAGTAAGAGGTAGATGGCACCTTTTTTTGTGTTTCTTAAGGGATCTGAATCATTAGAAGTGCCCTCTAGATTCTTTTATGTTGTACCAAAGACAGCAAAGAGGAGGAAGGAGGAGTAGGAAGAAATAAGAGTAAATGGGAGAAAAATATATATTTTTTGAGACAGGGTCTCACTCTGTTGCCCAGGCTTTAGTGGCACAATCATGGCTCACTGCAGCCTTGACCTCCCGGGCTCAATTTATCCCCCCATCTTAGCCTCCTGAGTAACTGGGACTACAGACACTTGTGACCATGACTGGCCAACTTTTATTTTATTTTATTTTTTATAGAAACAGGGTTTTGCCATGTTGCCCAGGCTAGTCTTGAACTCCTGGGCTCAAGTGATTTGCTCACCTCTGCTTCCCAAAGTGCTGGGATTACAGGTGTGAGCCTCTGTGCCTGGCCCAATTTCTAAGAAAGGAAGTAAAATTTAAGAGTCTAATTTTAAAAACATAATTTTGAGAGAGTTTTAGTCTACTGAAAAAAAATTTAAGAACAGGATATATATATATCTCCAGGATATATGTTCTTAAATTATATATGCATGTATAATTTGAATATCAGTTTTTAATTAAGCTGACTTTTAACCACAGAGCTCTTTTTAAAAAATCTTTTAAAATCTATTGTCAGATTTTAGCTGGGGGGACAAACAGATGATATTTTTGCCTTTTGAATTTTTTTTATTGAAGATACCTTCACAAGTGAAACCAGTAAGACTTAACCAAAGTTATGACTTAACTAAGGATGCACCTGGCATCTCTAAAGAGGTGAATGGGTACCCCAAAAAGTCAAAGTCACATGAATACTGAGCCAAAAGGGGCTGATTCTCTGACCAGGAATTGAACCCAGGCTATGGTGGTGAAAGTGTACAACTTGAATTACCAGCCATAAGGTACAGCAGCCTTTATTGTGAATCCCACAGGGGATCTAAAGCAGGGAGTGTGAGCTTACAAAGGATTTTAACTTTGTTTTAGGTCAGATTTTTGCTCTTTTAATTTTGTCAAGAGAAAAATTTGTAAGACTAACCATGACACTATTGTGTGTCTTCTAAAAAAAAATGTGACCTTCTCATCAATTGTTTAGAATAAGAAATCTCTTAAATTTTTTTTTTTTTTTTTTTTTTTGATTTAGGAGTCTAATTTAAAGGATCCATCTTTTGGCTGTTGAATTTTTAATGGTGTACTTATTTTAATAGTGACTCAATCTAATAGTCTCTTTATGGAAAACCTAGGATGTAATTTTTTAGGTTTAGAAATGTGTTCTTGGAGAGGGCATAGAAGAGCCTTCCCAAAGTTCCCATGCCCCCGCCCAAAAAATGTATTGCCAGGAATAAGCTCAGATAGTGAAAGATTCTAATTATCATAGATGGTCTTCAGTAACCCACAGATATGTGGGGTACCACCAGTCACAGACCTGTTAATCTGTGAGAATAGGTAGGCCCTCATGGGACTGGACTTTTTTAGTACTAACCAGGCAACAAAGGTTGAGATGACAAAAGCCCTTGTAGATGAGACTTTATGACAGACTGTCCTAAGAGCTTGACACATTTGGAACAAAGTCTTGGGTTTCTAGCCATTTTTAGACTGGCCACCTGACGTGACTCAAAAATCATGCCCCCAGATGGCAGAGACCAAGAGAGAGTGCTTCCACTTGATCAGAAGTCAAACTTTCAAGGGCACAAAATGACAAGAGAACCTCAAGCAGTACCCTAATTTTTATGACAGAGCAACACAGAAAGACAAAGATAAAGGAAAAGACTATTTTGGGGAAGAAATGAATCAAACAATTTGAATATTCATGCCACAGAGAACCAAAAGCTATAACCAAGACTTGTCACACAAATCTTTTTCTCCCATTAATCAAGATTTGGGCTCTGTGGCTGTATGGGTGGGTGTGGTGGCTGAACTCCTATAATCCCAACACTTCGGGAGGCTGAGGTGGGTGGATTGCCTGAGCTCAGGAGCTCAAGACCAGTCTGGGCAACATGGTGAAACTTCATTGCTATCAAAAATAAAAAAAATTAGCCAGGCATGGTGGCACACACCTGTGGTCCCAGCTGCTTGGGAGGCTGAGGTGGGAGGATTGCTTGAGCCTAGGAGGCAGGGATTGCAGTGAGCTGAGATTGTGCCACTGCACTCCAACTTGAGAGACAGAGTGAGACCTGGTGGCAAAAAATGAAAAAGATTTTGGAGAGGAAAAAGGAACTGATTGTTTTTTTACCATCCACTTGACCAGATTCCACAGGGAGAAAGAGGTCTGGAGCCTGGCTGGTAAGAAATTTTTATCCTTATGCTGGCTGGTGAGGTCCTGGATTATCTTTGCTGCAGCTTCCAAAAGAGCAGAACAGCTTTGGTGACCCTGCTTACTGCATCAAAACTGTAGGGATGAAGGGAAAATTTGCTTAAAAATCAGCTCACAAAAGACAGACTAGTAAAAGAAAAGGTATCTAATTTATTGATGTGTATATGGAGAATATTGCAGAGTGACTACCTAAACCCCCAGTGGAGTGTAGAAGCTTATATACTATCTTGAAGTTACAGAAAAAATGGGGGCTTAGATTGGGCAAAATAGGTTATGGGAGGGAGAGAAGAGGAGGCTTGGCTAGCTAAAGTGGTCTTGTTATACAGATGAAACCTCACAGGTAGCAGCCCTTGGAGAGAATAGATGATAAATGCTTTTTTAGACCTTGAAAGGTGTTAGACTCTCAGTTAGTGTTTCCTAGATCTGGACAAGGGGAGGCCTGGCTACAGTCAGTGTAGATTTTTCTACAAATGTAAATTTCCCTCACAAAAGACAGCTTTGCAGAGCTACTTCTTTTTGCTGGCTTTCTGACAGCTATCTTAATTACTGTATGTTAAAGAAATATATTTGGGGGTAAAATTTTTTGATTTCCTGCAACCCCAAATCTGAAATCCAAAATGCTTGCTCCAAAATCTAAAACTCTTTGAATGCCAACATGATATTCAAGGGAAATAATCATTGAGGCATTTGGATTTTTTAATTTGAGATATTCAACTGGTAAGTGTAATGGAAATATTACAAAATCTGAAATATTTCAGGTCCCAAGTATTTGGGACCTGATAAAGGATATTCAGCCTCTAGTTTAAATTTTAGAAACTTATTTTTTGTTTTTATGGTCTTAGGATAATTAAAAGGGAGCCAGAAGATGTTTGCACCTGGGAGTGTCAGAAGTGATTTTAGGTATAATATCTTGAGATGACTTCCCATGTGTTTTCTTAAGAGACCAAGGAAGATTCCTCTAAAAACAGTCATTGTATTGGTAAAGTCCCCACCATTCCCTTTTTTCCATTTTAGAAGAAGATGCAAAGATATTTTAGGTTCTGGGGGTGCATGTGCAGGTTTGTTACGTGGGTAAATTGTGTGTCACTGAGGCCTGGTGTACAAACGATCCTGTCACCTAGGTAGTGAGCATAGTACTCAACAGGTAGTCTTCCAACTCACATCCCCCTTTTACCCTCCCACCTCAAGCAGCCCTCAGTGTCTATTGCTCCCATCTTTGTATCCATGTATATTCGGTGTTTAGCTCCCACTTTCAAGTGAGAGCAGGTGGTGTTTGGTTTTCTGTTCCTGTGTTAGTTTGCTTAGGATAATGGCCTCCTGCTGCATCCGTGTTGCTGCAAAGGACATGATTTCTTTCTTTTTTATGGCTGCATTGTATTCCATGATGTATATGTACCACATTTTCTTAATCCAGTCCATCGTTAATGGGCATCTTGGTTGATTGCATGTCTTTGCTATTGGGAATCATGCTGCAGTGAACATAAGAATACATGGGTCTCTTTGGTAGAACAATTTATTTTCCTTTGGGGATATAACCCAGTAGTGGGATTGCTGGGTCAAATGGTAGTTCTGTTTTAAGTTCTTTGATAAATGTCCACACTGCTTTCCACAGTGGCTGAACTAAATTTACATTCCCCCCAACAGTGTATAAATAAGCATTCCTTTTTCTCAACCTCGCCAACATCTGTTGCTTTTTGACATTTTAATAATAGACATTCTGACTGGTATGAGATGGTATCACATTGTGGTTTTGATTTGTATTTCTCTGATGATTGGTGATGAGCCTTTTTTCCTATATTTGTTTGCTGCATGTATGTTTTCTTTTGAGAAATATCTGTTCATGTCCTTTTCCCATTTTCTAATGGGGTTGTGTTTGTTGAATTAGGTTGCTTATCAATTCTGGATATTAGACCTTTGTCCAATGCATAGTTTGTGAATATTTTCTCCCATTCTGTTGGTAGTATTCTTCAGTATTGGCAAAAGCATTTATCTTCTGGAGAAATCGATTGGGAAGAGGCTAATGTCACTGATTCCTTAATAGTGTTCTTCCTTATACTATTATTAGGGTTGGTGCGTTTTCATTGTTTGTCTTTTGTTTATTTGTTTTTGTATTTTAAGGACAGATATTTGGATGAGTTTTATATATATTTAAGAAGCTCAGTTAAACCTATATAACAGTATATTACTATTTTTATTTTTAGAATATATTAATAACTTATATTGGAATGGTCTTTGGTGGAGATTATATTTTCACGTGGACAAACTTCATTGGTTTAAATATCAGGTAAGTAAAAATATTTAATTAAATTGCAAAATCGGAATTGGATATTCAAATAGTGTCACAATAAGGTTAGGCTATTAAATTAATGGAACATTTATTCATTATTAAACATATGTGGAGTGCCTTCTATGTGCTACATATTTAATGTCTCTACATAATGCTTTTTAAGAAGCAGGGAGAGGTTGGGCATAATGGCTTATACCTATAATCCCAACACTTTGGGAGGCTGAGGTGGACAGATTGCTTGAGCCCAGGAGTTTGAGACTAGTCTGGGCAATGTTGTGAAACCCCGTCTCTACAAAAAAAATGACAAAATTACCTGGGCGTGGTGGTGGACATTAGGACTGTTGTTCCCTGGCCACAGGGTTGCTATATTGAAAGCATTTTTAGTGTATATTTTTGGAATGGGTATCTCATTGTCGGGGGCTAATGAATATGTCCATGACTGTAGGTTTAGGAGAAGTAGACTGTGTTTGCCTTGCTTTTGAAGATCAAAAGTGGATCAGAGCAGATAAAGTAGATTTAGTAGATTCAATAGATTTGGAAGCAGTTCGGCACGTTCCATTCAGATTTGCAGTATTCTAACAAGGCCCCTGTCTCAGGAACTGTAACTTTGTCTTTTTTTTCTGGTGTCTCCCAGCTGTATCTGCCACAGAGGTCTCTGTGAGTTAAGAGTTGGTAGTGCCACTTTGGGAGGCTGAGGCGGGCAGATCACAAGGTCAAGAGATCAAGACCACCCTGGCCAACATGGTGATACCCCGTCTCTACTAAAAATACAAAAATTAGCTGGATGTGGTGGCAGGCACCTGTAGTCCCAGCTGCTCGGGAGGCTGAGGCAGGAGAATCGCTTGAACCCAGGAGGCGGAGGTTGCAGTGATCCGAGATTGCGCCGCTGCACTCCAGCCTGGCAACAGAGTGAGACTCCGTCCCAACAAAATAAAACAGTTGGTAGTGCTGTTGTTTGAAGATTAGACAGATGGAAAATTGCTTGAAAATTTTTTAAAAGGCATAAACTTAGGCTTGCATAATGACTGTACCTTATTTTCAATATGCATGTTTTAACTTTTTAAAAGAAAATCTTGTTGACCAGTACTAATACCAGGAGTTCTACTTTTAAAAAATGAATATTTAGGATGATCTAATGTATTAACACCAATTTCATAGTACTAGAAGGTATCAACTTTAATGTGAATATTTATGGGGCCAATAGATTAGTTAAAGGGTCTCTGTTTGAAGTAGTAGAAGATCCTGATTTAGAATCATTTGGTAGTGTTGTATAAAAAGTCAGATATAACCCCTCTCCCCTTCAAATCTGGGCTTTTCCTCATTTTCCCTTTCCCTTCCTTCTAGTTTTCCCCTTCCCCAAAGCTGCTAGAGAGCAAATTATAGTTCCTTTCCAAAGCGTTTACTCATCACTGCGTAACACATAGTATGCTCGTTGATGAATATTCAGTTCTCTTCAGGTGGTTCATGAATTGCCCTTTCCGAAAATCTATATTTGATAATGATCGAGTCAGTAATAAAGATGAAATTAAATATATTTTATTGTTGCCTCAAGTTACAACCATGTGGCAATAGTGTGCCCCCTCTTTCATAATGTTACATTCCTTGCTCTATGGTCTGAATGTTTGTGTTCCCCCAGTTTGTTGAACTCTCAACTCCCAAAGTCATGGTATTAGGAGGTAGGGCTTTGGGAGGTGATTAGGTCATGGAATTGGCATCCTCATGAATGAGATTAGTGCCCTTATGTAAGAGATCCCAGAGCATGATGAGAAGATACTGTCTGTGAACCAGAGAGCCCTCTCTAGACATTGAACCTGCCTTGATCTTAGACTCCCCAGCCTCTAGGACTGTGAGAAATAAATTTCTGTTGTTTATAAGCCACCATTTATGGTATTTTGTTATAGCAACCCAAATGGAGTAAGACGTTTATAATTATAGTACCTTACCTTTTGTCAGCAGTACATCTCCCCTCTGGTTCTGAGTGTCAGGGCTGACAGGGAAGGTAGGGGAGAAGAGAATGAAGAGAAGATTATCCGTGTAATCTCATTTAATCCTCAGACAAGCTTAGATAGATAACATTATTCTTATTTGATGAATACAGAAATGGATTAATTAATTTGCCCAGGGTCACATAGCTAGTGTAGATTGAACATCTGTGATCCAAAATGCTCCAAAATCTGGAATTTTTGAATGATAACAGGATGATCAAAGGAAATGTTCTTTGGAACATTTCAGATTTGAGATTTGGATGCTTGACTGGTGAGTATAATGCAGATATTCCAAAATTTGAAATTGGAAACCCTTCTGGTCCCAAGCATTTTAGATAAGAGATACTCAACCTAGAGTACATTCAGGATTTGAACCAAGACCTAACCGTAGAGTCAGTGTTTTTTCCAATACACTGACTATGCTGGGAATATAGGGTCTGGAATTATCATTAGGGCTAAGCCTGGAATAAATTACAGGACATTCTTTGTCTTCTTCTATCCTGTGCTTCCCCAGTATTCCTATCCAGTTTAAATAGGATTAATGTGAACATCAAAGATCATCTTAACAGGAAAAATAAGAAAGCATTTTTATTTTTTAGGCTGTTGTGGGAAGGCGAAGCTAGAGGAAGGTAGGATGAAAGAAAGGAGAGGTAGCCCTTCTACTTTGTTTTGGGGTGGGTTTGGAGGCAAAGGGAAATTGACTGTCATGTGGGTGGACGTACATGTGAACCTTAAAGAACTTTTAGCTTCAGTCAAAAAAGACTTCAGTAAGCCATCTTCTTGGGTCCAGGCCAGCTACCAGGGAAGTAGTCTACTTGAGGGACTAGAAAAACCAGAAAAGTTTCTAGGAGAGTCATATCAAATTCCAGAAAAAATTAAATGGGAAAAAGCTGCTGGATGAAGGAAAAGATGAAGCTCTATGAACATTGGCATAAGAATTGGGTTCATGCTAGGCGCGGTGGCTCACACCTGTAATCCTAGCTCTTAGGGAGGTAGAGGCGGGAGGATAGCTTGAGCCCAGGAGTTCACGACCTGCCTGGGCAATATAGCGAGACCCCATTTTCCACAGAAAGGGGGGGAAAGACAATAAAAAGTGTAAGAATTGGGTTCATGAGGCCCCCTTTCCTCAAGTGGGGTGATAGGGGATACTCAGTTCAGCAGTTACTTATTGTGTTGCTAAAAAGTGTCAGGCCAATTGCAAGAGACTCTGTACAGCTAAAAGAATTAAGGCCGTGGGAAATTAACAAGATGATAAGGACAGAGTGAGGATGGATAACTAGTATTCAGTGGCACAAGGGTCATAAGGGAGGCAGCAGTTGGAGTGGAGAAAGACTGACCTAGGTTGTATTCTGGCCCATCAGTAGGATGCTTTGTGACCCTGAGCAATTTATCTTATGACTCTGGGACTTTCCTCATCTATAAAATGGACACCTTGGAGGGATATTGTACCTTGCAGGAATATTGCAAAAACAGGAAATGTATGTAAAATGCTTGACAAGTAGACTTTAATAATTTGATTGCTCTTAAGTGCCGTGAGGTGCAGATGAGGAAAAGGAAGAATCTGGTTGGGAAGGTTAAATTGGAAAAGGCTTTATTTTGGGTTGATTGGAGTCTCAGAGAATGGCTAGTATTATGCGAGCGTGTGCAGTAAAGAACAAGCGCCAGTGCCTGATCCTGCTTTCTTCCTAGTGGGAACAAGAGCTAGGCGTCTCTCACCCTTCTGCAGCTGGTCTGGGGCTGATGTCAGAGCCCAGAGAACAGAACTAATTTCAAATAAGCAGCAAGTTCATGAGTCAAGTGGTTAGGCAGAAGATGAGGGCCAAAACCAGGGCAGAAGAATTGGCGCCCAGGTCAGGCATCCAGCTGGCTGGAATCCAAGGGAGTCCTGGGTGGCAGTCTCAGTGGAAGAGCCAGGGAGGACAGGGCAGGAGTGGTCGGATCTGTGAGCTCCTCCAGACTACTTTCCACTTAGTGAATCGGGTAGGAGGCTGCGTATCCTAGGTGAGTTTGAGGTCCCCACAGAGAATGGACCAAGTAATCATTGTCACCAAAGAGGGATCCTTCCTGGTGGTAGGTGCGATGGATAAGTGAGGGGTACCAGCAACCACCTGTCATAGGCTGACGGCCCAGATGATAAGTTCCCCACTGTGAACTTGCTTTTAGTCAGAGAAAAATCAGCTCTGTGAATCTCCTAGGGTCTGCATATTTAACTAATTTGGGATGTTTCCTATTAATGCCTATTTTTCGAAATGCAAAAAAATACAAGTAAAAATTTACCTGTAATGTCAGCATCCAGCTGTAACCACTGTTAATATTCTTGGTGTGTTCCTTACAGACTTTTGTCTATTCCAGTGCATATTGATATACATACTCATGTTCATTTAAATAAAATGGGATTAGACAATGCTTGATGTTTTATGATATATTTTCTCATAAAAATTTAAGCTGTCTTACAAAATTTAATGTGTCAATGCCTGTTTATATTTTATACCATTTTAATGGATGCATAGTACTTCATTGTATGAATTTCCCCACTGTGAAACTTTACTCTTCATCTAATTTTTTGGTGTAAGTTTTTTTACTGAGTAGAGTGTTTACACTAAAACCCTCCCTTCCTCCATCTCTGATAGTGGCTTTCTGTTTTGCAGCATTGCTGGGAGCCTGGTATATTCCTATATCACTTTCACTGAAGAGCAGCTGAGCAAACAGTCAGAGGCTAATAACAAGCTGGACATTAAGGGGAAAGGAGCAGTGTGACCAGAGGATTGCTTCATCTGATACGTAGGCCTAAGTTTTTAATCAACTCAGAACACTGGCAGTTCCTACAGAGACACTGAGGTGTCTTGATTATGGAGGAAATAACCATTCCTTTGCACTTGTACAATCTGAGGATTGATTGCTGCCTTTTAAAATTTTATGAAGAGAGAAACTTATAATTGACTCTATTTTAAATATGTTGTTTGAATTAATTTATATCAGACTGGAAAAGGTACTGGGCTTTTTAATTTATTTTTCTTATATGCCGACAGTGAAACATCAGTGTTTTGAAAGTATTTTATTTCATAATTTGATATCCAGGTGTCCCTGAGAGCTGCATATGTAATGTTTGCCAACTGGAGCTTCATCATTCAAATTGTTGCTGCATCTGGAGGCAGTTTAGCCTTTCCTCTGCTGGAAATGCAGACGAATATGTGAAATTTCTCTTCTTTGAATCTTATTTCTTATGATTGCATTGTCTTCATCATATCATCATTCCATTTGCCAAGGAAAACAACTTTGGCACTATAAAAATATGTGGGGCTTTGAAGTGTATTGCTATCTATGTTGGCTTCCCTGACTTTCATAGGATGAGCAGAGTGCATTCCTTGAAAACATGTTCTTTTTTTGTTGTGTAGAATGGGGATAATGAAGGGGGTGAGAAAGTAGGCCTTTTACTAATTTTTCATCTATTTGACTTATTGATTCAACTAAAATGTTTTAAGTATATGTGCCAGGCATTGTGCTAAATGCTGGGGATACAGAGATGTTTGCAGAGGTAGTTGAAACATCTCACTCCTGCCATAGTGACTCAGGTAAGGTTGAGAATTTAGCTCTGTTAATCTATTCAGAAGATGTCACTAAGAGTAAGTTGTTTCAGCACTCAAAAGCCGCAAATCTGTAAATTGGATTAAGAACACCTGCCCTACCTACCCGGCAATAGTGTGAATCCAAATGCTGCAATGTGAGATGAGGTACAAGTAAAGAGCTGTGTTTTGTAAACCAGTGCAGCTCAGCATTGACTCCCTCTCTAAGTGAAAATTGCAGACAGGCAAGTCTGTTTTCCCTTGCCACCTTCCTTTGGGTTTGGTTGCTCTTTGGATGAATATGATGAGGTCCCACATTTCTGAATTTATTGGTTTGAGGGGAAAGGCTGGTTAGACGTCTTTGTATTGTCAATGGTTGGTTTTTCTCTGGCAGTGTCAGTGTTAGAGCTATCATCTTCCTTCTTAAATGGCATGAGCAATGAGCAAACTTCCCTCCTTTCAACATTCTCACCTACATCATGTGCCCCTTGGCTCACCTACTGAGCTTGCCAACTTCTCTCAAAACCAATGCTGCATTTTGGGAGAGCAGCTGTGAATGGGCACTGCCTAAATTGCCTCTTGGGGTAATCTGGAGGGTGGAGGTGTTAACTCAAACATAACCCTATGACTTGACTCAGAGATATCCATTGACTTTGAGGATTAGTGTGTTTGCTCAGGCCAGTTGTACAGCCAGTGTGCAAGAGATTTGGTACCTTTGCACTAATGCACACACCAGTGTCTATTTCATTGGGTTTGGAATCCACTGGACTCTGTTGACCTAAACAGTTAGGGTTTTGATTTTTTTTGATATGCAAATTTATATTGAGATCATTTTCATATTCCTGTCTTTTGGTTTGTCTTTACTAAAGCTTGGCTGGTGGTGCTGTGTCCCTAGAATTATCCCTGCAACCAACTCCCAAGTTACAAGCTTCATTAAGAGCCTTAGACTCACTTTTTTCTAGCATCTTCTGACCTGAGAAAATTCCACTGGGAGTAAAGGATAGTATCTTGTGTCATATGGGTCTTACTCTCCCTATTTTACCAATGAGAAAACAAAACTCAGAGAAAGATGACTTGCTAATACATCAAACCCATGTCCTTTTTATTGAACTATGCTGCCATTTAATTAACCGCCCTTCCCCTCTGAGGGAGTAAGGAAACAGATCCTGAGTTCACTTGAGCACTTTCAAAAAAGCAAGCAGTTGATTGAATTTGGTGTCAGAGAGGAGCATACTTTGCAAATCAGGAAGAGTGACAGCTTACCCTGTCCTGGAACCCTTATCCCACTTCCAGGCTGACTTTAGTTGATAATGCACTTCTGGCTGTAAATGTTGCCAACACTTCCTGGTTTTGCTTAGGTACAGTGAAAGGGCATAGTGAGAGCTATTTTTAGTGATTCTGTTCTTTCTGTCAGCAACATGAAGGAGGGACGTTTGAATAATTTTTGTTGTAGAATATTTCTTCATGAAAGGCTTTTGGGTGTCTTTAACAGGTGTTGGGCTAGAGCCCCACCAGGAGTTGAACTGCCTCTTGGGGGTCAGGTTCCCTAGGAGATCTGTCACCTCTTCAGGAGTATTTGAGAACATTGTGTAGTTACAGCTTCACTAAATGCACGTGACAGGCTTCTGTGCCTTGGGAGCCCTGGCTTATGCTGAAACTTCTGGCTGACCAGAGCAGTACAGCAACTTTGCCCTGTCTGTGTTCTGCTTCCTGGATGCATCCTTCAGCCACTAACCAGCATTGCAAGATGGAGCAGGGTGAACAAGCTGGAGACTGAATAGTCTTTTGGAGTTTGCGTTTTGATTATTGCAGGCGTGTTACAATATACTGGTGATTTACCTGGTACTGTGGCACCTCCCAGAAAGTCTGGTTTTTGCCCCATGTTTGATATTTACTAGGCAGAAATTCTTTGTCCTGTTAACTGCCTCCTGGGAGAAAAAGAGGCAATACAGAGTTAAATCCTTAATTTGCCCACTGAGACAGATGAGCTGTGGTATTCCAAAAGACAAATTCTATGACTAGTGTCTCCTGTTCAATGTAAGTGAGACCCTCTTTGGCCAATCTGCTTCTAGTCAAGGCTAAATGGATTGGAATAACCCTAGTTGGCCAGGCTACACATTGCCAGCATGTCCCGTTGAGTTTTAATTGCCTCATGTGGCTGTGGACTTTATGAGTCAATCATTTGTAGGCTCCAGTTTGCACCTAGTTTTTTTTTTTAAAAAGTGCATTTACACGCTTTTGGTAGTCCTGTTTTATCAAGAATCCATGGAGGGTTTTGGTCAGTACAGCTGGTGCAGGATCCTCACGGAGAAACAGTGGAGTTTCACATTGAGTTGGTTTGAAATGGCACCCCAGGACTTTGGGCCTGCCTTACTTGATAGCCTCGTTCAGTGAGCAAAGACTTAGTGAGCAGCTCTTGTATGCCAAGTATTTTGCTAAGCTCTGGAAAAAAGATAAACAAGACATGGTTCTTGCTTTCAAGGAGTGTGTAATTCTTTAGCCAGATATGGAAACCTGGACCCTGAGTGGGAGAAAGGAGACAGATGAAAGGAGTCCGTGATTTTGTAACCAAGAGCTGCCTGCATGGTTATGAGTATCACTGATTTTAGGGACGCCCCACAGAGCTAAAGCATTTTTTTAATCCGAGAGGACTTTTGTAACTCATATTAGTTAATCTTCTAGCTCTGAGATAGCAACACAGCTCTTAGAATTCTGTAAGTAGCTTGAGGCCTCCTCCTCTACTGTACATGTTCTTGCTTTCCCAAAATTGTAAGTTTGGTTTTTCCTATGAACAAGACTGTAATTGATTTTTCTCTCCCTGAGGAAAAAAGTTCGGAATAAATGAGACATGGATATGAAACTACTTAGCACAATGCCTGGTACATATTAGGCCCTCAGCAAATGTGGCTACCGTGTCATTATTTCATGGTGAGACTCAAGGCAAAACAAGATTCTTAATTTATGCTCCGTAAATGCTAGAGGCTTGGGCAATACGGTCTGTCCTGAAAAACAGGACTCTGTGTCTCATTGCCTCTAGAATCCTTAGGTAGCAGTTTCTGTTCACTGTCTTTTCTTTTTTAAAAATATCTGCTGGACACAATTACGGCCATTACATGATGCAGGTGATTCTACCTATTTTTTAAAAAGAACAAAATTTCTTTTATATTGTGACAGTACATTTTAATAAAGGAAAATTATTTTCTTCCCCCTACTCCCCCTCCTTTTTTTTAAAAAAAAAAAAAAAAAAGAAAGAAGGTCTTGCTCTGTCGCCAGCCAGGCTGGAGTGTAATGGCGTAATCATAGCAGCTCACCACAGTCTCAAACTCCTAGGCTCAAGTGATCCTCCTGCCTTAGCCTGCTAAGTAGCTACGACTATAGGCATGTGCCATTACGCCTGGCTCGTTTCTTCCTTTTTTTTTTTTTTTCTGGTAAAGACAGGGTCTCACTCTGTTGCCAGACTGGTCTCAAACTCCTGGCCTCAAGTAACCCTTCTGTCTCAGCCTCCCAAAGTGCTGGGATTACAGGTGTGTGCCACATGTCCGGCCAGGAAAATTATTTTCTATCTTAAAGAAACATAGTTACATTTTAGAATGTCAATTCAGTTAAATCTTTCTCAGTTTTTACCTTTAGATGGCTCCTGGAAAGGCCAGCGTTCCTTTTCCCCTCTCTGAATTGAAAGCACTTGACCCCATGCTGCCCCTGCTTCCAGGCCTGTCTCAGTTGTCATATATTGTGAGTCCCTGGCACCATTACTGTTTTCTAAGCCAGTCTTCTAGGTCTTACTTTCAGGATGCTGCTTCATGGCATGAGGATATAGTTTACAGTGTTGTAGTTTTTTTTTTTTTAAAGCTTTGTTCTTTAAAAATACTTTTTAAAAAGAAATCTACTGGTTAGATTTATTGTCTCACAAAAATGTTTTTAGAGATTATTTTTTTCACAAATGTTTTCTTTCTCATGCTGATGATCAACTGATTTTTGTCTACAGGTGTTAGCTTCTCACAGTATTTTTTCATTTTAGAGTCTATTTACCAAATGACCATTTTTAGTGTTAAAAGGTACTGAGGAATTGAGGTATGTAAATCAGGTGACATAAACATGAAAATTATGTGCCTAAATATTTTTGTAATGGTGTAAAATAAATACTTTTTCCTGAAAACAAGTATTAAAATTCCTTTGTAACTGCATACAGAGACTAATCCAGAGCCAGAAGTCTGCCCATATTTTAGAGGTTGGCATCCTGTTAGGTGATTGAGACTCCATATGTAGAAAATACTGTTTTATATACAAATGCTTTTATGAATAGTATGTATGACTGAATATCCAGTGTCTTGTGGCATACTTGTGGTAAATTAGAAGGAAGGAAGTGCTAATCTTTCTGTTTTCAGGGTATTTCAACTGCATTATCAGGTTTCCAAGCTCCTGAGTAGCTTTACTCATCAAGTAGAGGCATTTTGGTACAAGCAGACTCAGCAGAGGTGGAAGCACATTAAGGTGTGTCAGAGGGAGAAGCATATTAAACCTTTTTTAAAGAAAAAGATTGTGGTAAAATACACATAAAATATACCATCTTAGACATTTTTAAGCATACAGTTTAGTAGTGTTACATATATTCACATTGTTGTTCAACCAATCTCCAGAACATTTCCTTGCAAAATTAAAACTCCATACCCATTAAACAGAAACTCACCATTTTCCCCTCACCTCAGTCATCGATAACCACCATTCTTTATGTTTCTATGAATTTGACTACACTAGGTATTTTATATAAGTGGAATCGTACCATATTTGTCTTTTTGTGGCTGGCTTATTTCACATAGCATAACGCCCTTGATGTTATTCCATGTTGTGTAACATATGTCAGAATTTCCTTCCTTCTTAAGTCTGAATAATATTCCATTGTATGTGTACCATTTTGTTTATCCAGCCTTTGGTTGATGGGTACTTGGGTTGCTTCTACCTCTTGGCTATTGTGAATAATCCTGCTATGAACATGGGTGTACAAATACTTTTCAAGATCCCACTTTTTTGTGTGTGTTTTTTTAGACGGAGTTTCACTCTTGTTGCCCAGGCTGGAGTGCAGTGGCACCATCTTGGCTCACTGCAACCTCTATCTACTTCCCGGGTTCAAGCGATTCTCCTGCCTTAGCCTCTGGAGTGACTGGGATTACAGGCATGCACCACCACGCCCATCTAATTTTTATATTTTTAGTAGAGACGGGTTTTCATCATGTTGGTCAGGCTGGTCTCGAACTCCTGACCTCAGGTGATCCACCTGCCTCCGACTCCCAAAGTGTTGGAATTACAGGCATGAGCCACTGTGCCCAGCCAAGATCCCACTTACTTTTCTTTTGGGTATATACTCAGAAGTGAAATTGCTGTATCATATGGTAATTCTAATTTTTTTGAGAAACCACTAGACTTTTCCATTATGGCTGGCCCATTTTAGAATCCCACCAAGAGTGCACAAGGGTTCCAGTTTCTCCACATCCTCACCAACACTTGTTATTTTCTGTTTTTCAGATTGTAGCCGTCCTAATGGATGTGATATGATAATCTTGTTCTGGTTTTGATTTGTATTTTCCTAATGATTAGTGATGTTGAGCATCTTTTCATATGCTTGAGGTGATGTTTAGTTGTAAGAATTCTTTATATTCTGGATTTTAACCCCCTTAGATATATATGTCTAAGGAGATATATATATATTTTTTTAACAGTAACATATAATATATAAATAACAATATTTATATTATTAAATTAATATATATATTTAAGGATATATATATATTTAACAGCTTTCCTCCTGTTTTCTAAGAATTTTGTAATTTTATGTCTTTAGATCTTGAATATATTTTTGATTTCTGTATATGTTGTAAATACATATTTAACCCCTTTAGATATAGGGTATCTGCATATATATACAGATACATCTTTATACATCTCTATATCTGTGTGTGTATATATATACACACACAGATATATCTATATCTAAAGGGGTTATATATATATATATATATTTTTTTTTTTTTTTTTTAACACAGGGTCTCACTCTGTCACCCAGGCTGGAGTGCAGTGGCATGATCACAGCTCACTGCAGCCTCAATTTCCTGGGCTCAAGAAATTCTCCTACCCTAGCCTCCTGAGTAGCGGAGTAGAGGTGCATACCACCACACCCAGCTAATTTTTTTGTAGAGACGGGGTTTTGCTATTGCTGTCCAGGCTGGTCTCAAACTCCTGGGCTCAAGCAATCTGCCTGCCTGGGTCTCCCAAAATGCTAAGATTCCAGGTGTAAGGTGCTGTGCCCAGCCCCTTTATCAGATATGTTATTTGCAAATACTTTCTGTCATTCCACAGGTTACCTTTTCACTCCTTTGATTATATCCATTGACTTTGATGCACAGCAAAGTTCTAAATTTGTATGTAGTCCAGTTATTTACTTCTACTCTTGTTGCCTGTGCTTTTGGTGGCATATCCAAGATATGCTGCCAAATCCAATGTGAGTTTTATAATTTTACGTCTTAAATTTAGATCTTGAATACATTTTGAGTGAATTTCTGTATATGTTGTAAAGTAAGGGTCCAACTTCATTCTTTTGCATGTGGATATTTCATTTTCCCAACACCATTTGTTGAAGAGATTGTCCTTAACACATGTGTTTTAATCAACTTTAAAAAACCCTCTTAGAGTCTGATTTTTTTCTAATTTGTTGAAGTTAGAATTCATCTTTTTGATAGCTTCTTGTCTCACTTGGCTTCCTTGAAGCATAGGCTGTCAGTATTGGGCAACGCTATAGATGATGCACTGCTCAGAGGAGAAAGCACAGAGCTAGTGCCATTGTGTACCCACAGTGGGTCAGCATTTACCAGGTAACTTCAATTCTTCTTTCCTACAGTTCTCATCACTTGGGGCCTATGTATACATTGGTTCATCCATCCATCAAGCCAGACTGAGTTCACTGGGGCCAGCACCCATCCTCTACTAGAGGCCTGGCATCTACAGGTGAAGCTCAGAGAGGCACACTTGCCCGGTGTGGTCAGGGAACCCGCATTCAAACCCCCATCAGTCTGACTTCAAACACCCTTGCTCTTCGCCACCATGCTAGGTTCTCGTTTCTCTTAAGTCTGTCTGTAATAGACTTGGCAGTACCAAACTCATCACCGCTCTATACTTGTCAAATGTTATTTTTCATTCATTGTTCACCCACTGTGGATTTAAAGCTTAAGCATGAGATGGTGGCTGGTTTAATCTGAGAAGGCAAAGCAGCTATGCTTTTCCAGCTGTGCTAAAAGTGCCCTCTTGTGGCAACACCTGCTTTTGGCAGCTAAATGATGGAAAGCAGTTTAAGAGGAAGGAAAAGCAGTATTTACTGAGGGCCGACTATGTGTTTTCACTGGGTTCGGGCTAAAATGTGCCTTCTCATATTTGGTCCTTCCAGCACTTTACTGGTGCATAAATGGTGGCTTTAGCCAGGCTAAGGAATTTGTCCAACTTCACTCACATGAGAAATGTAAACCTGGACTTTGATTTCAAAACCCCTTTCTTTCTGAAGAATATATTTCATATACCATCCCTCGTTGTTAGAGAAAGAAATAGGAGGGTTTCATCAAGAGTGCTTTATCATATCTGCCTATTTATCCTTCAGATAATTTTTTTCGGTGAATATTTTTGAGGACAATGTTCACAAATGATGACAGAATTATGAAAGTATAGCTGAGATATGCATATGAATGTATGGGAGGAGGAATTTCATTCCACCTGGGAATGGTAGGAAAGGTTTCCTTGGAGAAATGGCATTTGAGCTGATTCCTGAAAAACAACTAGGATTTGCCTGAGAAAATACTGGCGGGGACAGCCCACCCACCTTCTAGGGCCTCTGTCCCACTCCTTGATTGGAGTGCATCTTTCGTTATAGTACGTCCCCTCATCTCTGTGGGTCTTCCTTGACCAGCCTATCTGAAATAGGCTCCCCTGCCCTCACCACACCATGTTCTCTTCTCTCCCTTATTTCATCCCCATAGCACTTCAAGCTCTATGAAGACAGAGGTTTTGGTCTGTTTTTTTTTTTTTTTTTTTTTTTTTTTTTTTTTTTTTTTTTTTTTTTTTAGCGTAGCAGGGCAGAAGCATGGCCTCATTTGCGTTTTAGAAAGATCACACCAGCTGCAGTATTTGGATTGTATACTGTAGGTCAGAGGTTGGCAAATTCAGATGTCTCACAGGGGCCAGGTGTGAATGCCTAGAGTGAATGGTGGGGCTTGGGGTACATACCTGCTCAAAGGCATTGAAATAAAACAAAAAATCTGCCAGCTAGACTTAGCCCACTGGCTACCAGCGTGACTAAGTTGAACTACTACAGATGAGATTTGCACTATGACAGGATCACTGGGATTGCTGCGTGGATGACTGTCAGGTGGGGATCACGGAAGGGCAGAACTGGAGGTGAATGCATCAGATAGAGCAGGCTGTTGTGCTAGTGAGAATGATGAGGTCCTAAAGTACAGTTGTTTCTTTTTACATAGAAAAGAAAAGGGATTTGAGTTATTTTAGGAATTATAATTAACAGGTGATAAGACTGTTTCTCTTTTTTTTAAAGTTGTTTCTTCTTTTTTTTTTTTTTTCTTTTTTTGCCTAAATGTGTGTCTTCAGGAGACCATTTTAACTTTGGGAACATTTTTTTAATTAAGCATTTTATTTAATTATTTTCAAGAAACCACCTTAAATACTTAATTAAAACTTGAGGCCTATATTGAAAACAGGTTTCCTGATAGTTTCCAGAACATTATTTGAAACACCTGTTTCCTCAACTAAGATTTAAAAATTTAATAATCCACTGTAGGATGCTGAATAGACTTCACCCATTATCACTTTGGATTTTTTTTCTTTTTTTTTTCTTTTTGAGACAGAGTCTCGCTCTGTCGCCCAGGCTGGAGTGCAGTGGCGCGATCTCGGCTCACTGCAACCTCTGCCTCCCGAGTTCAAGTGATTCTCTTGCCTCAGCCTCCCGAGGAGCTGGGGCTACAGGCTTGTGCCACCACGTCTGGCTAGTTTTTGTATTTTTAGTAGAGACAGGGTTTCATCATGTTGGCCAGGCTGGTCTCGAACTCCTGACCTCAAGTGATCACCCGCCTCGGCCTCCCAGACTGCTAGGATTACAGGCATGAGCCACTGTGCCTGGCCTGGATTTCTTAATATCTTATTGTTTTCATCAGCCATCAGAATTATGAGTTCAGCTTCTCTCTGGATCAAACTGGCAGTTCTCAGGGTGCTGCAGCGCTAATAGTGACAAAGTAGACTTAAGATGGCCATGTGACACTGACGGTGAAACTAATCATCTCACCGGAGTCGTCAGGTGAACGGAACCTTTCCCGAAGGGCTCATGGCCCACCTGTGCTAGGGCTGAGAGTCCAGTGCTGGACATGGCCATCCCATGACCTAATGAACATCTAAGCATGCATGCTTGCAAACCTAAATGTTTTTAAAGCTGATTTTGATCTACAAGAATGCTGATTGTCCTGCATTTTAGGTAAGCCAGTAAGTTTTGATCCAATTATTTTCACTTACAAAACATAATGGTGTACTTTCACCTAACCTCAATGCTTTCCGAGTATAAAAGCAGGAGGAACGTCTTTGAGGTGACTAACTTATGTTTCCAAGAGTTTTCCAAAAAGGTAATATTTGAAGTGTAGCAAGAAACAGAGTGCCTGCTATACCACAGTAAAAATACATTTATTGAGCCATTTTTACATGCTACACATTTTTTTTTAGCACCTTGTGTATTGACACATTTTAATCCTCTAAACAATCCTTTAAAGTTAGTCCTAGTGTTGTTTTAGAGGTGAAACAAGCATGGGAAAGTTTCATTGTTGGACAGTGGTATTTGTGAGACAGTCTTTGCTTAGAATATAAATTTGCCTTTCTGTAAAGCCTATCTTTTTCTCTGAGGTCATGGAGCTTCCTAGAACAAGCAGTAAAGTATATGATGTTTGAGGGTGAAAGAAATGTCACAGTACATATTATTTTATATCAAAATATATCTGAGTCCCCATCTTGCCACCTACCGGGAAATTCAGTCCCAGTTCTTTGCTAAGGTTACACAAGATCCAGGAGAATTGCCTGTGCGCAGAAGATACAAGAGGGACTCTTGTCTTCAGTCCATCATGGTCACTGCTGAACTCCTTAGTGACCAACTCTAAGGTGTCCTTTGAAGGCAGATGGTACAACAAATTGCAAACTTTGCCCTGGTAATAGTTTCTACTACTGGAAGTTCCAGTGCGTAGAGTCCAACCTGTTTTGTACTCCATGTAGTTATTCCTCTGATGTCTTTCTAGAGAATGAAGCTCACATTCCTGCCATTCTCAGAGCCTACTAACGTCTTTTTTCCAGCTGGGGGAATTTCTCTTTTCTAGAGTTCAGAGTTGTGGGAAAAAGCTAGGAGAAAGATTGTTTGCAAGCAACATGTTTTCTATTCTACAACACACATCTTCCCTAAACACAAAGACCTGACTTAGAAAAATAGGTAAAATCCAGATCATTGGAAAGAGCAAGTCTTACAACTTCTCAAGGTAGCTCAGTTTTATTTGTAAATTGGGGAAAATAACGTTGTGAAGATTGTTTTATAATTAGTGCTGTGCTTTTAATAGCAATCACTTAACAATGGTAGATAATATTTGCAATAGACTTGTTTTATCTGCCTAATAGTCTTTCTCTGTGACCAGCCTATTTTCCTTTTGAGGGAATGCATCTTCCCCAACTGTTGTAGCCAAATAAACCCAAAGGGTGCTGCCATCTTATGATGAAGACCTACCTGCCTAACCGCAAAGACAAGTTGGGTAAAGCGTAGCTAATAGTATCCTACTTTTCTGGCCATCGGGATTGACTGGACAAGGGTTAAGCCCATGGCTCTAGCCATGAATACGTGTGAGCCATTCAGTGCCATGAAGGAAAAGGATACAGGCATCCGACATTGTCAAAGCAGCTCAGTCTAAAGTTGTTGAACCTCGGACAAGTCATTTTTCCATTTTCTGCCTTGGATTTTCCCTTCTGTAAGACAAGAGGATTGAGTGAGAGATTCCAGAAGGACCGCATCTGGGCTTTGGCAGCCTATTCTCACTCACCGGCTTCATTTATAGGCTTCCGG
The DNA here is from genome assembly GCF_000001405.40 of Homo sapiens. NCBI lineage: Eukaryota > Metazoa > Chordata > Mammalia > Primates > Hominidae > Homo > Homo sapiens. The sequence continues at coordinate 66,992,402 of NC_000001.11, read as the reverse complement.
TTGCTCTGCAGAAGGCTCAGAGTGTGCAAGGTTCTGTTGTTGCTGCTATACAGGTTAGAGTGCACCTGCTAATTTGTCTCTGCCAGTTATGTAGAAAGTAAAGGCAGTTGGGACCAGCTGCCAAGTGAGCACCAGCAAAAATTTGAAAGCCACTACAAGTTTGCAGTTCTGAAATCCACAGGGCTCTGAAAACCAAGCTTTTTCTTGTCGAATTTGGCTACAAAATCTGACCTGAAATTCATGTCAATACATTTTATTGTGGCCATATATCCAGCCATAGGTTTGTTCGAGAATGTGCTGTGATGTGTTTTGAAATACCGCTAGTCACAAGGGTTTTGGATAAGGGATTGTAGACCTGTACTATTACCTACCTGATCATTAGCCAGCACTCTCTAGGGACAAAATATTTTCCCTTTAAGGTATCCCATTTATAATCTCAACAGACCTACTGGCACATTGGTATCATCCTTATTTTACAGATGGCCAGTTTAGAGGTTTTGCTTACCACAGATTATACAGTAACGGCCAGATGAAGAGGAGAAATCTTGAAACGTGGCTGAATTTGGATGAGTGGGTATGGAAAAAGGTGGTATGATATAAAAAAAAAAGCTGTAAATATTTTGATTGGGAGGATTCTGAATAAAATAATATTTTAGGCTATCCCTTGGTTGAAATGGAGGAACAATAGGAGATATAGTTGGAGATAAGGAAATGCAAGGCCAGGTACTGTGGGCTTTCACTCCTCGTTCTGGAATAGTTAGAAGGACTAATAAACATTAATGTGGCTCCAAGCATCAGATGAATCTACTGCTTTCCCCATCGAACTTACAGGATATACCTTGTGAAGACTAGCATGGATATAAATGACAGTGGTTCAGAAACACTTCCTAAGTTTGTCACATAGGTGATGAGTTGACTTTTTGACAAACTTTAGGGATGGAAATAAAGGGCTCTGATACTGCTAGTATTCATGCCACAAAAATGGGACTGTGACTCTCTGTGGAACCCAGAGGGCAACTGGGACTCAGGCTAGCAATGTGGTCACTGACATCTATGTAATTGTTTCTTCTCTTCTCCCCAGCCTCCCCCAAATCAACAGGCTTTAGAGTGGGAGAATGTGTAGGTATAGGATTACACAAGCAATGGGAGATGCTGTTTTCCATAATTTAACCAGGCAACCCTTTGAAGAAAGAAAAGTTTTCAAAAATCCTAGAGTCGGAGCTCCCCCAAAAAGCAAGTAAAATGGTACCCTCTACCAGTGATGCAGTAACTGGATGAAAACACGTTTATACTACTACTCAGATGGAAGTGAAGAATGGCAGCGGTACAAAGGGCAACTCAGGATGTATCCCCAAAGGCAGAATAGAACAATCACTGGAAAGAGTAGCCAGAGTTAGGCCCTAAGCAGGAGAGACAAATGATTATAGGCTATGCTATAACCTATATGCTAATATGTTCAGTGAGTAAGGGAAGAGGCACTGTGCTTGGATGTGGGTGTATGATGGTGAGGAAAACAGACTCGACCCTCCCCTTCAGGAGGCTTACTGTCGGAGGGGGAAATAGTCATGCAAAACCAAATGGCACCTGGGACAAGTGCTATGAGACTTCTTTAATAAGGGGGTCTGGCCACTCTAAGTCCACCACTCAAAAACAACCGTTACTTTTGGCATATGACCTTCATTACTTTTCCTAACTAACTATACATATACACGAAAATAGATCCCTTTGCCAAAACTGGTATCATTGTTTTCAAAGGTTCTACTACAACTCCCATCTGCTGCAATCCTAAGTGAGTTGTTTTATTCTAACCTACTAGCACTAGCTACAAGAATTTTGTGGCCAGGTGTGGTGGTCACACCTGTAATCCCAACACTTTGGGAGGCTGGGGCAGGCGGATTGCTTGAACCCAGGAGTTTGAGACTAGCCCTGGCAACACAGCAAAACCCTGTCTACAAAAAAATAAAAATTAGGGCGTGGTGGCGCACACCTGTCCCAGCCACTTGGGAGGCTGAGGTGGGAGGATTCCCTTCAGTCAGAGAGGTTGAGGCTGCAGTGAGCAGTGATCATACCACTGCACTCCAGCATGGGCAACAGAGCAAGACGTTGTCTCCGGAAAAAAGAAAAATTGCAGATGTAGTCCACGTATGTTCATGGTGTGTTTTTTAAATGCAAACATTTGTCTACTAAACACTAGAGGCAAATGCATAAGACAACAAAGGAGGCCACACAGCAGAGCAGTTCATAAAGCTTATAATTCAGGATGTTTGAAAGCTCAAAACCACCAGCCACCCAAGTAAATTTCTGTCATGTACAAATATGTGCTTAGAGGGGATTAAGGGAGTACCTTTCAAAAATAATAAAAAAGGATACACTTAGAATGACTGGCACCACTATTAGCTCCTAAGCAGAACTAGTTTCTCATGTTCACTCAGCTAAAGCACAGCTGGTGACAAGAGTAGACTAAGGAATTTGAAAAGCCCCTCTTGGGAACAAGCTCTTAACCTAAATCTAGATTTTCTGGTCAAGAATTTAAAGTGGCTCAGATCAATCTATTCTGATGCAGTTCTCTACCTGATCTTGTTTCTGGAAGAAACCACCCCCAATTTAAGGCCCGTATGTTTTCTTTTTAAAAATGTTTAAGCTCAGACATGGTGGCTCACGCCTGTAATCCCAACACTGGGAGGCTGAGGCGGGAGGATCACTCGAGCCCAGGATTTCCAGAGTGGCCGGGGCAACATAGTGAGACCTCACCTCTACAAATAATAAAAAAAATTAGCTGAGCATGGTGGTGCACAACTGTAAACCCAGCCACTCAGGAGGCTGAGGTGGGAGGATTACCTGCGCCCAAGGAGGTCAAGGCTGCAGTGAGCCATGATCTTGCCACTGCACTCCAGCCTACGCAGCCAACTGAGACCGTCTCAAATAATTTTTTAGAAGTTTATATATTCCTCATATTAATCCAAAGTCAATTTCAGGGATCATCTAACTTTGCTGAGTGAAACCATTTATTTTAGAACTACCTGAACTCTACAAATTCCAGTCAGTGTGCAGAACAACACAGCCAGCTCTACATTCAGTCAACCATTCATGTTAACAACGATGAGAATACCAAAAAGTGAATGTTCTATAACCAGGCCAAATTTGCATTAGGCGTCCTCTCTTCCAAACTTCAGAAAATCAGGCGATTCTCCACCTAATAAATAGTAGTGCTCATGGAACAGTGAATGACAAGAAAAAAGGGATGAGTCCTAAATAATCCACAGCTGCTGTTATGGTAGAACCAGCTCTGCAGGAAATTTTTTTTTTAAAAGACAAAATTTCTTAGGGAAAATCATGCATTTCATGTTGGTTAATTTCCAGCAAATACGAAGTTTGACAAAAGAAAAATATTTAGCTAGACTTACATGGCAAAGAGGAAGGTAAACTCATTTTCTTGAGATCGTGCCTATTCCTCTTTTTGCTGTCTCTGTACTCAGAATACACTTTACTTTTCTACCATTAACACTTTGCTGCCTTCTTGAAGAACAGGGCATGCCGCATCTCTGAAGCCACAAGCCAAGCAAGCATAGTACCTGGTACAAGTATAGGCCGAAATATTTGCTGGATATTAGAGTATATGGAAACATAATGAAAGCTTGTCATCATTGACATTTAAATGTGAAACTGTCACCATCAATTTGGACAATTAGAATCCATCTCATCTCGTTTACATGGCAATTCTTCAATATTCTTCACAGAATAAGTAGCCTTTAAAAGTGTGTTCAAATTACTTCTTACTCAAGAGCAAGCAAAATGACATTTTAATTACATTATACATTCTATAATTCTTTATACTAACTAAAGACAAATTGAAAATAATCATATTCTGAAAAGGAAAAACTCCACGTCCGTATAGTTGGCAAAAGATCAGCACAATACTAAGGGTACATGACAAGAGTTTATGGAAAACTGGTATTAGAAAAGAAAGGTTAATCAGATATTCAGATACATGAAATCAGTCTGTAAGTGGGTGGATGGATGTGTGGAAAACCCTTTAAGATTCTGCAAAGGATGAACTTGATATTAAAGAAGAGAGTTAATTTTTACGGTAAAAAGTTGTATCAGTAGAATTATGTGATACAGAAAAAGTCATTTTGAGAGAAGAGAGTCATTTTTAGAATAAAAGGTTAAAATTTGGAAACTCCTGTTCTTCTGTATGTTACATGGTTTTCCACACTGGCATTTTTCATGAATATGGATTATAGTTGGGAAAACCTTACTATCTGATTTGGTATTTAGTTACACACCCCATGTAAATATTGCCTATTATATTCACCAGCCCTCAGTTATTCCAAGTGCCCACTCCTAATTATCCATCGATAGCAAAGAAAATATTGTGACAAAACAAGTTTTATTTTGCAAAACATAATGTGATATGAACTCCACTACAAAATACGGGAACACATTATTTTTAAATTATATAATCCAGCAGAAGAGAAACAGAGTGAATGGAGGTCTAGGGACTGAAAGGATCTCTTGTGGCAAAGGGGAAGAAGACAAAAATACATCACCCAAGATGTGGTAAAGGGGACCAAGAACCACTGAAAAAGTAGTGCAATATGTCTAGGAATAGAAGAAACAGACTGTGTATATATATATATTTGCCTTGTCAATAACATGCATCATTCAAACAATCTCTAATAAAATCTTAGTGAATTAATCTAATGAAAATATTCACACAGTATTATGTAGGCAAATATGTTTAAAAAAATATTTTAATAAGCATATTCAGAATGGCAGACAAGGAATGGGAGAAGGGAATTATTTTACAGTGCAAAATTACTATGCATAAATTTAACATCTAATTTGAAATTTTAAATGCCTATTTAAATATTACTTCAAATACATTTTAAAGCTCAACAAACTTGTGTTGAACTGAATTGCAGATCCTGAACTCTATTTGAAAATACATCATGAAACAGAAAATACCCATTCCAAATGAAAATGATAGTGCTTTGTTGGGGGTGGGAATGAGGCGGGGAGACTAAATCACTATTAACAGACTTCTTTTTCCAATGCAATTTGTCAAAAGTTCAAAAGTTCTGAAATGTACTAAATCTTAAGCAAATTAAATTCATGATATTACTAAAACTTTTTAAATAGTGCAATGACTTATCAAGTTATAGTGGCTGCATTAAGAACAAATTATTGTGTGAAATACCTGTATAAACACAAAATACAATTAAATATTTCTTTACAAAAAGCTGAGCATTACGCATAATAGTGGAATGTCTTTCATTAGGTGTATTTTTTAAAGATTAACAAAAGTAACATTTCCTAAAATGTATACATGTGCCATATTTTTGCAAACATGCCTGAGAATGTATTTAAAACATTTCTGTAGTAAGAGTTTGCAAGAACTTCACAAACCTGCAAATAAAATGCATCTTTTTAAAAAGGTGAAAATGGCATCTCCAACACTGCAACAATTCAAAAAGTACAGCATCCCTAATCTTTAAAAACATTTCTACAGACCATCTTTGACAAAGAGCTAGGATACTTTGGATTCATTTAATAAAAAATGATTTAGAAAACAGATTGTGACCATCTGCTTGCTAAAGCTACTGCCATTCTGGATAAATTAAAAGTTTTAAGTAAAACAAAAACAACAAAAAACTCATACTTCTCAACACTTCCACCCAAAACTTTGATTTACTTAGATATGTATGTAACAACAGTGAATGTACATTAAGATGAAGTCAAGTGTTGCAAAGTGGCTTTTAACACTGTTTGGGAAAAAAAGTTGTTCACATTGGTGAAGGGAAGCAGTCCGAACATATGTTAACAGTAATACTTCATGGGGGTAAGGCCTGAATGCTAATTTCTCAGTGCAAACCTTCACTCAATTACATCAGACAGTTGAGCCATTAAAAACAAGACCACAGAAGCTTTATTTTAAAAAGGCATTGGCTCTTGAACTGATGGCTGAAAAATGAACTGGAAGAAGCATTTGGAGTATGCCTGTGTGAGAAAAACAAGAATAATTAATATTTTATAAAAGTTTGGATATAGGTTGGTCTATCAGCTATATAAAACTACATTATTTAACAAGAATTTAGCACTAAAAATAAAATGGCACTTTTACAAGGCTATGCAGATGGATAATCCTATCTGTAATCACACAGAGCAATGATTATTGTGTATCTTATTTTCACTTTGGAAAAGCATTATCAAATCTGAAAAATTGGATTGTAACTAGAAAAGTTTGAAAAGTTTTCAAACTTCACTTTCTCTTCATAAAATCGATACTGCCTGCCAACAGTTGTTCCTTGTGTGTGCCAATATCTAAGTATCACTTGACCCCCCTCCTCTGTTTATTTAATGCAGAAATGGGAAATTTTATGATGCATATAAAAATAACAGGATTCTGGTCAGCATGATATATTTAAGCACTTAAGCTGACATTAAACTTTTGTCTTGCTTCAAAAATAATTTTGAAAATTATAGCAAATGCAAAACAAACTGCAATCTAAGCATCATGCTTAATTTCAGAATTCTCAAATTACTTGCCCTTAAGTAGAAATTTAAAAAAAAAAAAAAAAAAAAAAATTTTATAATCCTTTATGAATGCTTTAACCACCTGGATAAGAAATATGACTTAATTACTACACAAACACTTAAAAATTCATTAGAAAAACCTTAGCAAAATAAAATGAAAGCTGACAGACTCAGAATAACAATTCCTCTCATAAAAGTTTACCAACTGTACAAGTTAAGAAAATTATACACGCTTTTGTATTAAGAAAGGACAGCTCAGTCAAGACATATGTACTGTAAAAATCTTTCAAAGGCTACAAAGAATCTGGAAAAATACAGAATGTATTTCTTAAGCCCAGATAAGAATATGGAAAGACATCATTGATGTCAACAATTTTACATATACAAACCTGACCTGGTTTATTTTTAAACTTCTATATATAAAAAAATCATGCTAGCATAATTTTCAGGATTCGTAAGGGTTTCCTTAATAAAGATACTCAAACTGTTTGGTGAGAAAAATGTCTGTTTTAAAGACATTTCAAGAAACTCAGAGAAATTGGTATTAAGCAGAAATTTGGACTTGAGTTTCCCATTCATCCATCAAACTAAGCAAAAATTACCTTGTAGTGAAATTTTATGATTAATACATCAAATGAGAAGGTACAGATACATCTTTAGTTCATTCAGATTTACCAAAATTAGTAAATCTGAATGAACTAAAGATATTCAAATGAGAAGGTAGAGATATATCTTTAGTTCATTCAAATTTACTAATTTTTAAAATACCCTTAAAAGAGTCTGACAGCTTTAAAGTAAAAAAATCTGCAAAAGGCAGAATTATGAAACCTCATTTCCTAAAGTTAAGACTCAATTCAAATTTTCAAACTGCTTCAAGGAAATCAACTTTTTAAGGTAACCCATCAACCCTGAAAATTTTAGTCACACCAGAATTTACTCCAAAGAAAGTAAAATAGGTCTAAAATTTAGTCATCTGTGTTTTCAAGTTCTTCAAATTTCCCATGTGAGACTGCTTCTTGGAAAAATTCAGAAGAACCTGGACTTTCTTTTCCATTGCTGTTTACCCTTCGCCTTTTGGCAGGTCTCTCACTTTTTTCATCAAAATCATTTTCATTTCTTGCAGTCATATGGGCAAGTTTTGGGTCAGTGGTAAGGTTATCTGTTTCATAACCATTAGTATCCATATCTGCATGAAGTGGTTTCTTATTTCCACCTGTTGGTCCATTAATGTGTAACCCTTCAACTTTTACTTCCTCTTTGTTTAATATTTCACCTGGTCCATTAGATGACACTCCTAAGTTGAAAGAAATATAAATGAAACCACAATTAGAAAAAAGTTAAATTTGCAAACTATTATAAAACAGCTTGTAGTTATTGTTATCAAGGAAGCAAGGTATCAAATACATAGTCTAAATTCTTGCTCTATTACTTATAAGCTATGTCGCCTTAGGCAAATTATTTACTCTTTCTGTATCTCCATTTCATTACATATATACAATGAAGATCATAATAGATATTCCTCACAGGGTTGTTGTGAAAATTAAATAAGTTAATAAATGTAAAGAACTAAGAACAGAATTTGGCATATGTTAAAAGCATATTAGGTATATGTGACAGCAAACAAGCACTGGATCCAGCAGTCTAACTAAGCTGAATTAATGGAAAATGCAGTAAATTACTCAGATTTAACAAAAGGTTTTCAACATTCTAAAACCACGTAAAAGCAAGATGAATGCTCTTTCTTTAAAAAGCTTGAGTAAACTGCCATATAAAAGCAAGATGTCATGACTTTTTTATTCTTAATGTAAATCTATGGGAACTGTACTTTAAAAGATCACACAAGGCTGGGTGCAGTGGCTCACGCCTGTATTCCCAGCACTTTGGGAGGCCAAGGCGGGTGTATCATGAGGTCAGGAGTTCAAGACCAGCCTGGCCAATAGGGTGAAAACTTGTCTCTACTAAAAATACAAAAATTAGCCAGGAGTGGTGGCGTGCACCGTCTCCCAGCTACTCGGAAGGCTGAGGCAGCAGAATCACTTGAACCCAGGAGGCGGAGGTTGCAGTGAGCCGAGATTGTGCCACTGCATTCCAGCCTGGGCGACAAAGCGAGACTCTGTCTCAAAAAGAAAAAAAAGATGATCACACACTATTTACCTAAGTAGACTTAAATAATCTGTCATAATGTTAAAAAACTAATGCCGCACTATCCAAGCATATACTTGAAAGTGCTAAATTATTTACTTAAGTAAATACAAATTACTTAAAAAGTAAATACAAATTCTATAGTAGGTGAGAAAAGTAAAAGCAAAATTATTCTAATAAAAGAAAACAAAAGTTCATTTTAGAGTTGACTGTAAAATGGAATGCAAATTTTGGTGATAAGAAGTAAAATATAGGGTGCATCACTGAATAATTACAATTTAATTGCTTGAAAAATATTCGGCATAAAGGATGAGCCTCAAATACTGTATTCTGATAGAAGAAAATATTCTATTTTGACCAACTCAATGCACTCAAATCATGAATGCACATGGGGATTATGCATCATAATATATTGAAGAGAACAATTCTGTAGGAACAAGTCCAAAAAGCTAGCTGACGACTGTGATTAGGTCAAAAATAACTGTAAGATTTCAAAGTACTAATTAAAGCCCCATATAAAAAAGTAATATAACATTGGGATGAAAAGTTCCTTCCTTCCTTTGAAAAAGCTGGCAGTTTTGACTGTACGTAATGTTGAGTGGCTTTTGAGCTACAAGTAATTTATAAGTAACTTATGAACACTTTCCTAGCCTAACAGCATGTTCTCATCAAATAGTTTCTTAAAAAGGAAAAGAAAATGATTTGGTGTTAATATGTTAAGAACAAACAGGAAAAACAATAGTAGTACCAACTGTCTGCCTCCCTTGAGCCTATACGGTTAGTCCCAAGGTCAGAGTCTCAGCATCTTATTCTACTTCAGAATGGACGTGACAAACATTAGACATCAAGTCAATAAACCTTCTTGGACCAGGACATAGTTACTGGGCCCTAAGTTTTGTTTGTTTGGTTTATTCCTAGAAGTAGTGAGGGAACAGAGAGGGGTCATGAAATGAACTAAGCATATACACTCCAGCAGGACCAATGTGAGACCAAAGGTCAGAAGAGGATCAAGGCTTTCACAGTGTTTCTCTTCCAGTTTCTGTCAGGAAGAAGTCAGCTCTTCACTGGTACTCTCCTATCACCAGTTTCCTCAGAGGAGCTGGGGGTGGCGCTTATTACTTTCTTCTTGGAACTCTTTTACTTAAAAAGACCATTTAATCAAAGAAGAAATCAAAATAATTCTCTGGCTCTTACTACTGATCAGCACAGTGATCTCTGGTCCACTGTATATTTTAAACGGAAACACTATCTGAACCTCAAACAATTGGTATGCCTTTTTCTTCTCTTTTTCTTGGAGAGAAAAACAAATATTTCTGTAGAATATTAATATACAGGTTGATACCGGCTTTATCTTTTCTCATTATTCAAGGTTATTATGCTATCAAAGAGAACTTAAATATTCAAAACAGTGCACTTGTTACCTTACATCAAGGTATTTTGCAATGATCTGTATATCTCATGTGAAACTGCAGGGTTTTGACCTAAGAGTTAACATAAATACTTGTATCTAGGCATCAACCCAACTAGACAAGACAGGAAAAGAGATGCTACTGAAAAAGAACAAATTTCTTACAAGAAATAGTCACTGTTGACAGTAGGCTTTATTAAAATTACTTTTTAGTGATGTCCAATCACTTTGTATTCTGTTAGTATATATGTATGCTGATGTTATGTTTGTCTCATGTGTTATCATTTTTTACTTTCTGCTCTGGAAGTTTAATAGAAACCCAAACGGAATTTCCCAAGTCACTGCAAGAAAGTGTCCCTTATTATGAAGAAAGAGAAATGTTTCTCTGGTTGCTTACCATTTTGATTAGCAGTGCTTACAGTGCCATCTTCTTTCTCAGACTGGCTGTTACTACTGTTTGATGCAGTTGGGGGAGGGGATGGTGCTCGACTAGATGCAGCACTTTCACTTTCGTCTAGAAGACGATCCATGTAATCCCTTAAAATTAATAAAACAATTTTTATATTAAAAAGAGCTGAAAATTAAAAATTAGTTGAGGTTAAATTCAGAAGGCTTTCTTAACAAATATATCCTAATATTCACTTAACATTCATTCCAGTGCTTCATCTATCATACCAGGATCTGAATATTTAAATGAAAAGCTCCTTTTGGTTACATGTTTATAGGAAAAATGCATAACGGCTTTAAAGTAACAAATTTTAGAGACCCATAGGAAATTTTAAAGCTTGTAAAGTTGTAGGCAGGTGCTCAGAGTGGCCCAACTAGAACTGGAAGATCTCTTAACTGAAGTGATAGGGGTGATGTCTAGTAAAAGTACAAAAGAATTTCTGTACAAACATAGATTGAATTTTAAAGCTCCTAAAGGCGATACCTAAAAGACAAATTTGAGCCTAACAAAAAGGACTGATTACCTCCTAAAACCTTCCTGGATATTTTTGGTATTATATTTCTGCCAGATCTGAGCTATAAGATGCTAACTAAATTCCTGGGATTATCTGCTGGTTTTATCCTGTCACTTTCTCATTGTATGTGAGCTCATTTCTTCTCTAAATCATTCCTGAACTACGTAACTGTGGTTAAGTGACATTGGTGAGCAGATCTGGGATAGAGATTTGTCTCTCTCAGGTTTAGTGTATCACCTACAAAATGTAGATAAATCATATGTCTAACACACATGGTTATTGTATTATATATGTACATAAAAATGTTTCATAATCCAAAAAGTGCTACTAAACCACTAGAATAAAAGTCAGCCAACTATAGCCTGTGGGCTGGCCATCTGTTTTTTGTAAATAAAGTATTATTGGAACCCAGCCACACACCTTTGTTTACATAGTGTCTATGACTGCTTTCCTGCAACAACTGCACAACTGAGTAGTGTGATTAAGTCCTTTCTTACTACAGAGCATAAAATATTTATTCTCTACCTGTTACAGAAAAAGTTTGCTGATACTAGATACTGCACTAGAATTCCCCAAGGTCAGGAATTTTTAGTCTACTTTGTTTATACCTGCACCACTGGTACCTAAGTTGTGCAAGGCACAGAACAGAAAGAAACTCAATAAAATTCTAATTGTGTTATTTATCTTAAAATTCCTTCAGCATAAGTATGATAGAAATATTAAGACAAATCTCTTAGAATTTTGTGAGCAGGGTAAATAAGAAGGAAACAGTGGAAGCTCTGAGGAATTTTCTGAAAGTCTGTGTTAATAGTCTATAATATGCTATTAATTGTAGTTATCTCAACCTATATGGTCATCACTGTCTCCTAGGTTATAGGGATTTAACAAATATAGGGATGTGATACCTGACTTCAAGAAACTTCTAATAGTCTGAGGTATAAAACTAATACATATCTCAGAAATGTATATGACCATGACCTATGCAATTTACATTCTATGCCTTATTTTCCTCATCTATAAATGAAGGGAATTCAATTAGATGGTCTTGAATACCTATAAATCTATATAGAATTAAATTAGATGGTCTTGAAGACTTCTTCAGCTTTATGCTACTCATCATAATTATAGAAAAATTACATAACAAATTTGAAGCACACAGAAATAAGTGTGGTGAGTCCCAAAGGGACTTCAGGTGCTAAGGCTAACAGAAGACACATGATGAGGAATTGTTGGAAATAAATACGTTATAGTGGGAATGGATAATATGAAGGAAGTTAAAAGCCAAAGCAAGGCCGGGTGTGGTGGCTCACGCCTGTCATCCCAGCACTTTGGGAGGCCGAGGCAGGTGGATCACCTGAGGTTGGGAGTTTGAGACCAGCCTGACCAACATGGAGAAACCCTGTCTCTACTAAAAATACAAAATTAGCCGGGTGTGGTGGCGCATGCCTGTAATCCCAGCTACTCGGGAGGCGGCGGCAGTAGAATCACTTCAACCCGGGCGGTGGAGGTTGCAGTGAGCCGAGATTGCGCCACTGTACTCCAGCAGCCTGGGCAACAGGTTGAGACTCCGTCTTTAAAAAAAAAAAAAAAGCCAAGGCAAAGGAAACAAGAGTTGATATCAAAATTATTTTTAATTTCTGGATATAGTCATAATTCTGTGAAAGGATAGTAATTATTATTATCATTGTTTCCTAAAGATTAATAGCATCCAGAATATTCAGGAAAGGGCAGAATCAGACAAACCATCCAGAAAGTTGAAGCAGCATTCAGGTAATCAAAGTTATGCTGAGTTAATGTTTAGTTTTTGGAAAAATTATTTGGAAAGCTGAGTATTCTACAATGAAATCTCCAATAAGGTTCCCAATTCTTCCAGGTAGTAAATAGGGACAATGTGTAGCAGAATCTTTCAAAGGCTGTTTGTAGGCAGAAAAGGGGAAAATGTGTTTCATCCTGGTGAACAAATGACTTTCAGGATAATGTGCTCTGAATTATGGATTTTGACCTAAAAAGAAGGATGAGAAAATTCACTCAAATTTCTCTCTAAACACATTAGCTTAATGTTTTATGAAGTCACTTAAAGTGCAGCTATTAACAGAAAGAGATGGTAATGGAAGCAAACCAGAAAAATTTATCCCCATCTGGAAAGAAATGTAGTTTGGTCACTGCTTCTTACAGAAGACATAACACAGCTAAAAGGGAAGAGTCTCAGTAAAAAAGTATGATTCTTTCAGTTAAATAAACTTTATAAAAAAAAAACAACCCAGTGGGGCTACAACTGAAGCCTACAAAACCATGGTATTCCTGCCTAAGGGAAAAAACACATTAGTTCACGTCATACCATTATACCAGGTGACCACTATTAAGATATTGTTTATTTTTAACTGTGGCCACTCTACCTAAAGAATATTTAACCTTAAGAGTCATTAAAGTTACAGATAAAAGTATCTTCAAAAAGTTTTCAGAAGCTATGGGGAGATCAATAGAGAAATTAGAACATTTGGTGGCACATCCCTACCTAACCTGTTGATCTTGACATCACAGAGGACCAACTAAGCCAGCCCACACTTTGGTGATGCTTTCTGAAAGAGAAAACTGGATGAACCATGGGTCTGACCCAGCATGGCCATTCTTATGTTGTTACTGCTGATGATTACAGACTGAATGTAGCTCACGTGTGAACATTATTTCTGAAATGGTTGAAAAAAATAAAAGATGTTACTATTGCTTTTCCCTATATAATACCTTGAAAATCATGACTATTTTAAGATATATCTGCAGACTAGATGCTGTATCTAATTCTATATTATTATGCTTGAATACTACCAATGGAAAAAAAATTAACTATAAATTTAACATTAAGCAATTAGATAAAATTTGCAATACTGCTATTTATGAAATTCCACTTTAGCAATCACCAGCTTTGAATAATGGGGGATGATGTACACACTCCATTGTCCCATGATTTCCAAGGGTGAATCATACCCATTTATTCTCTTTCAGATTGTTTTACTGTGGGCTTTAGAGCATTTGACCTTCTAAGGAAGTGACCAGCAGAGATACCTACCTATAAATGAACTTGATCAAGAAACAGTGCAGTTTAGGAGTCTGAAGAGCAAGATCAAATAAACATACAAGCACATCTTTTTTTTTTTTTTTTGGAGATGGAGTTTCGCTCTGTTGCCCAGGCTGGAGTGCAGTGGTTTGATCTCGGCTCACTGCAACCTCCGCCTCCTGGGTTCAAGCAATTCTTCTGCCTCAGTCTCCCGAGTAGCTGAGACTATAGGCGTGCACCACCACATCAGCTAATTTTTGTATTTTTAGTAGATATGGGGTTTCACCATGTTTGTCAGGCTGGTCTCAAACTCCTGACCTTGTGATCCACCCGCCTCAGCCTCCCAAAGTGCTGGGATTACAGGAGTGAGCCACCGCACCTGGCCCAAGCACATCTTTCGAAGGTAATTATTTGGTCAGCTTTAAGAACATCTTTACTGGAGTACATTGACAAAGTCAATTTTTTTTTATTTTTATTTTTTATTTTGCATTATTTTTTTATTCTGTAAACATTAGGGAATAATTAAGGATAGCACTGTAAAGTTAATTCCATCATAACAATTAATCACCATTTTAAAGCAATTCATGAAAGACAAGGGGTTCAATACTCTTTTCTGTTTAAGTAACAAATTGCCAGTGGTAGTGGAATGTTTCACTCCAAAGCTAGACTGAATGAGGTGTAGACAATAAATTCTCTTAACATGGGAATAAATTAGGCATATCAGACATTTTACATAAAGAATGGATACAACAACCCATATCTGTGTCAATGGGACTACACTAGAGTTACATTACTAATTCTTAAATATTACTTGTTAGAGGAAAGATTCAGGAAAGCTAGGAAAAGGAAAGTCACCATATACATGTTTTTTTTCCTCTATAAAAAAACTGTATGCTGGGTACAGTGGCTCACTCCTGTAATCCCAGCACTTTAGGAGGCTGAGGCAGGTGGATCATTTGAGGTCAGGAGTTCAAGACCAGCCTGGTCAACACAGTGAAACCCCGTCTCTAATAAAAATTCAAAAATTAGCCAGGCGTCATGGCAGGCACCTGTAATCCCAGCTACTCGGGAGGCTGAGGCAGGACAATCGCTTGAAGCCGGGAGACGGAGGCTGCAGGGAGCTGAGATTGCACCACTGCATTCCAGCCTGGGCAACAGATTTGAGACTACATCTCAAAAAAAAAAAAAGAAGATTAAAACTGTATGTGCTTATACTGAATGGAACTGAATTTAAGAAAAACATGCTTTCACAGCTGTTCTGATCCATTTCTTCTCAACAGTGTATTAAAAATATACATTCTAAATCTTGCTTTAATGATATGCTTGTCTCATACATAATATGAACTGTAGTTTACAATATTTCATAAGACACTGAAAAGTCTAAATGCCTTATTTATGAAGATATAATAGATGGTAAAGTTTAATGTGTATTATAAAAGCAAGATTTTATCACTCTCGGCCTTCTGGTTAAGATCAAGTATATAAAAGCAAGATTATCAAAATAATAATTAACTCAAGAAAAATCTAGAAAAGCTTAGCAAAAATGTATATATAGCTCTTAAGGAAAAAATTAACTCACGTTACACCAGGATGAAGATTATATTTCTTCTTTCCAAATCGTGTTTGCTGAGCAAAGAAATCATAACGTTCAGATTTTTTCCACATGTAATAGAATGCTACACATTCACCAACTGACCTTGTTCGGACCTGTAAGAAACAAATGCTTGCTTTTAAGAATCTCCTTTTTAACAAAGTTACTTCATGATAAACATCTGAAGTTTGAAAATAAATTTGGCTAGTCCTTAACTGAAATATAATCCTATATATAACATACAACAGTGTAGCAGCTATGTTGAAAGCTATTCTTTCTAAACATCTATTAAGAGAAATAATATATTGGCAACAGGTCTTCAGATATACAGCACTGTGCTTTTTAAAATGCTACCATCATCCTAATTTACTAGAAAAATATATTCCTGTATTAAAAATGCTTGGAAGTTGGCCGGGCACGGTGGCTCACGCCTGTAATCCCAGCACTTTGGGAGGCCAAGGGGGGTGGATCACGAGGTCAGGAGTTCAAGACCAGCCTGGCCAAGATGGTGAAACCCCATCTCTACTAAAAATACAAAAATTAGCCGGGCATGGTGGCAGGTGCCTGTAATCCCAGCTACTCGGGAGGCTGAGGCAGGAGAATCACTTGAACCCCAGCAGGGGGTGGGGGTGGGGGCAGAGGCTGCATTAAGCTGAGATCACACCACTGCACTCCCACCTGGGTGACAGAATGAGACTCAGTCTCACACACACACACACAAAAAAAAGGCCTGGAAGTGGCATTCATGTTAAAATAAATGTTATAAACAGTTTGCTAATACTTTTACTCACAGAGTACGGGTACCTAGGGAGCGTATCTTTAAATTCCCTTTTGAAAGATTCTCTTACTAGTCCCAACAGCAACCCAGACTCAGTTAATTTACTCTCTAGAAAGTCTGGGAAGATGCCACAGTGAGTTAAAAGTATCATAATAATGCTAATGCTTTGTTTACTAAGTTACTCTTGCGGCTTACTGTGCTGTACCTATTTGTGCAACTGAATGGCTCCCCTCACATAATGTTAAATGCCTACGGAATTAAATGATGCTGACAGAATTCCTTTTTGTTACTTAGCCGGGAGAACTGGTGGTAGGGTTGATGTATATATATAAAATACTGAGGATTTAGGGCTGATGTATATAAATAAAATACTGATAACTTTTTTCCTTTCTTTTTCTTTTTTTTTTGAGATAGTGTCATGCTCTGTTGCCCAGGCTGGAGTACAGTGGCACCAAACCGCTAACTGCAGCCTTGCCCTCCCAGGCTCAAGCAATCCTCCTGCCTCAGCACCCTCAATAACTGGGACCACAATTGCATGCCACCAAACTCAGGTAATTTTTCTATTTTTTGTAGAGATGGGGTTTTGCCATGTTGCCTAGGCTGTTCTTGAACTCCCAGGCTCAAGCAATCTGCATGCTTCAACCTCCCAAAGTACTGAGATAACAGGCATGAGCCACTGCACCGGCAATACTGACCATTTAAAAGGAAATCCAGTGTCTGTATGTGTTCTGGATGCAATATACTTCTTTATCCCATAAATTTCTGCTCTTGAAGTAAATATTCTGTAGCACTGATTGCACCTAAAGGACAAATGTTGATGATACCCTCCCTTACCCAACATATATTTTGCTTTCTTCCCGTTTGCACTGTACAGCTCTGATCCATATTGCTCTGAGACTGACAGCAATCAGGACTTTAAAAAAAATCATCCTCTCAAGCTGTTTTTTGTCTCCTCTAGGATCTTATTTCTAGATAGATTCGAACTAAGTCAACTGTACTTTACTGAAAGCAAAAAGATAAAGTCATTTTGGGGCATGCAAAGTTAAGATTATGAAAAATCTTCAACAAAAGCCCTCAAAATAGAACTTATGATTAAGATCTGAACTTTAATTCCAGACATAAAAACAAACTCGATATTCTCACTAGAGTACTCGTCTCCCTTTTAAAGAATTACTGTCCTCTTTTTGTGCACTAGAGTAATTTAGTGTATTATGTAGAGGTCAGCTGACTTCTACCTTGTAACATTTAAATGCCACTGTCCCAAATATTTATGAGAAATCAAGGTTATACTTTTAATACTTATGTTACTTGGCTCTAAGTTTCAAGTCACCTATAATTTCTTAACTCCTTTAAAAAAATCATATTGGTCAGGGTTGTTGCTGCTGCTTGTTACATAAGCTATCATTCCAGGGGTCCCTTCCTTAGGTAATTCAGCATGGTTTGGTTAAGAGTGTTTTAATTCAAGCAGAAGTGTTAAAAAACAACAACAACAACAACAAAAAAAAAACCTCATCCAAAAATGTTGTCCCTTTCAACCATGAAACAACGAACTTTTTTCTTTTTTAATCAAAAACATACACGGCCAGTCACATAATGCACTCCTTTTCTTGAATGTTAACTATATTTGAGGTTATCAGATGATATGAACACAACATTAGGGGTATACATTTTTGAAACTAATTACATTGTCTTCTAAGTTATCCTAAATGCTAAAACTAAACATTTCTCTATTAGTGTTATCTGCGGTAAACTGCCAACATTCAACAAAATAATTAAGAATGAACTAATTGGGAGTGGGGCTCTTCACTGCCCAGTTCCCACTTAAAAAAAAAATAATAAAAATAAGAATAAACTAGTTAATGCACGACAAAATTTAAGAAATGAACCCACAGGATTTGTAAATATTTTATTAATAACAAAAAATATTAAATATGTGTCAAAAAAATCAACTGGATACAATCCAATCACATCCAAATGTATAAAAAGAGAGCTGTGGCAGAAGACTATTCAGAGCCTCAGACATAAGCCCAGGTACTTTCAACAAGGTCCTGGACAAGCTACGACACAAAACTTAGAAGCTATCTTTAAGGAATTACATAAACCAATACCCTTGTCATTTCTACTAACTAAAAATAATGTGATAATCATAAGCCTGGGAATTAATTTCCTACATTTAATCTCCAAGACTTTAATTCTGCCTGTCCTAATCTGTTGTCCTAATGTGTTGCTCATGGAAACAACACATTTTTCTATTCTATATAATTATATGGTTACTATTAAAAATCATACCTAATTTCAGTTATAAGAATTAAGCCCCAAAACAAATCTGTAAGTAATTATAAAGCTATTTGGAGTATAAATTACATGACTGATATTATCAACATGAAATGATAAATGATTATGTTAAATAAAATCCTCAAATTATAACTATAAGAATATAAAGCTGATTTATCGACACAGAAGCTCCTAGAAAATTAAATGTTGACTAAAACTAAGTTAAATATTAAGTATTTGATTTTAGACCACTCAGGACTTAAGCAAATGTAATAAATATTTTAACTGCAAATAATGTCATATTGAAAGTGCTTTAAAGTTTCCAAATCATTTCAAAGGCCCTCCATAAAACAGTCACAGACTGTGGAAAACAGCTATAAAGAATTGCATTGCACATACACACCCCAACTAGAAGTTGATTAACATGCTTGTAAATGAGTACAATTCTTAAACACCTGCAATATGATGCACTGAAAACAGTCACCAACAGGTAATTATAGGTTAGGAAGTATAGGCAGCCTTACTATAATTACTCACTAAATACCAAAATATTGTCATATTAATTATGAAACCTTTAACACTAGACAATATAACAAATTACGATACATGACCATTTGAGTTGTTCAACTAAATTTCTTTTTGCAAAAAAGAGATTATCATTACTTACTTTATTAGCCTGAATCAAATGAAAATCCTTTCCATAGGCCTTCAGCCCTTGTTCAAAATTTCTACACTCTTCCTCTGTCCAAACAGATAATTCCTCTGACAAGATGGGAGGAACAAACTGTTAAGCAATATTCCCCCAATTATTGCATATAACAAAATTACAAATGAAAACTTAACCTTCTCGTAAAAATGAGGGAAGCATTTTACTCCTGAGCTCTATTACTAATTGTTGCAAAAGATAAAGTGACAACAATTCCTTATTTAATAAGATTTTGAATGATTTGGTCCCTACCTCTCCAGCTTCAACTTGTGCCACTTTCTTCTTAATTCTTACTGATCAAACTATCTCAGCCACCTTTCAATTCCTTAAATTTGCCATGTTCTTTCTTACTTCAGACTTTGTGCATGGTGTCTCTCCTTTGCTTAGAATTATTTCCTGCCTCATCCCCTTTCACTGAGATAATTCTTTTGCATCCCAACAAAAATATTACTTCATTCTGAATGCTTTCCCTAAAAGCACTACCCTCTCTGCAAATAGGTTAAGTCCCATTACTACAGGTTTCAATAGCACCCTCTAATTTTCCTTGAAGAATTCATCAGCTATTTTCCAGTTTCCCTACCTAAGCTCTAAGCACCACGAGGGGAAGGGACTTTGTTTATAGTTACATCCTCAGAATTCAGAAGGCACTCAAATTTTTGTTAAATAAATATCTCTCATTTGTTACATATCTATATATATATATATATATATATATATGTAGTGTATATATATATATGTAGTACTCTTAGTGAAGGGGGGTAGGAGCCAGATATAGTATAAAAAAGAAAAATCCAAATTTTAGTCATGGCTTCATTACTGATGAATTATGTTTGCTTTCGCCAAGTTACTTTAGTTCAGAGATCTCAGGCTCATCAATTTTTACCTTTAAGTAAAGGTATTATCTGTCATACTACCTAGTTCATAGGGCAATTATCAAGATCAAATAAGAAAATATTTATAAATATGCCTTGAATGCATAAGGCAGTATAAATTTTTACATTTTTACTTACATGACTGTATTTTCCCACAAAGGAGGAAGGGACAATCTTAATCCCACTCCCCGTAACGATTTGTTTAGTAATACTTGGTATTTTGTAAATATTTATCAAACTCAGAAAAATCAGTATTATTAAGTTTAGGCTATACCTAGGTAAACTGAAAAGCTTAATTTTAAAATTTCTGCCAAATCATGAAAATGAATAAAAACTATACTTACCTCTAGCTGCTTTTACATTAAATCTTAATCTTCTCAATGCTTCTTCTGTATCAAAATTGCATTTAACCAATTCATATAAAGCCTAGAAAAATAAAAGGCTTGAATATGTGACAAGGACTATAAACAGTTCAATGCTACAATTTCTTAAAAGTTTTTCAAACATCCAGTGTTTTCATCCTTTTTGAGGGCAAATAACTTTAGTGAATGTTATATATAGAGAACTCCAAAGAAAAACAAATATGAATTCGATCCTGATAAATCAACTACCTTTAAATATGTACAAAGTAGGATATGCATAAACTTGGTGGCCATAGTATCCCTAGGACTAAAAAGAATTCATTTTATATCAATGAAAATCCCTTCTTTGTGGCTTCTTGAGATTCCTATAATTTTAAACAAATCAGAAAAAAACAATGATTAAAAAGGTAAAAAAGATAGGTTCATGGTAGGCACTGGTCTTACCATGTACATAAGATAATCCGAGGTGAGAATTCCAACTTGATATACACAGATTCTTAGGGATAGCCAAAGGAATTTTAAAAAGCCTAATGAAAAGTATATACAGGCAAAATAAAACAGGTTTTTGTTTCGTTTTTGAGCTTCACACCAATGAAGTCACTGTGGTAACAACGGATATCTTACAGGGATTATAACCTCAGATTCCCTGTCAATAATGTTATAAAAAGTTTGGTGGACAGAATAACAACAATGCAAGTGACAGCATTTACATGTATAAATGTGTATGGCAAAGTTCTAACAGTTGTTTCTTTCACAGACCTGTTCATTGTCTTTTATGTGAGATCCTTCAGGAATTGCTTCTACACCCTTCTCATCACCTGTTCTTCTAGATGCATCTTTAAGAAATATAATCACTTTATCTTCTGGTAAGTACTCAGGGTCCCACAGGAGCTGATCATCATTTTCATATACTAAATTAGTAAAAGACAATGTTAAACAAATTTCTAAAAACTGATAGAGTTTGTGTTAAAACATATTACTAAATAAACAACTCAGAGCCAAATGTTGAGAACTGAGGTACAGTGTGGTTCTACTACTTGCCTGACTTCGTTCTTGGGCAAAAACTATAGTTTAAGTAAATTAAACAATTTAAACAGAGAGGAGGTACCACTTTATGCCCCCTGCAGATCCAGTCTGACTTTATCTTGAGTTTACCAAATTCCAAGCTCTCTTGGTTGAATACCATCTCTACCACTTATTACATGTATGATGACCTTGGGCAAATTATTTCCCTTCTGTCTCATCTGTGAAAGGAGGTAACAATAACTCTACCACATAGTTTTAAGGATTTAAAGCACTTTACAATCATTCTGGCACATACTAAAATCCTGTAATTGTAACTGTAACTATTATTTTTGAAAATATGTCTAGAAGAATGCTCACCAAATGTTAACACTGCTTAATTCCTGGTGGTGGGATTTGAAGTAAATTTTACTTTATGTTTTCTGTGATGCTTGAGTTGTATAATGTATATAAATCACTTTCACAAAAACAAGTCATTACTTTTTTAAAGGTATTTAAGTTTCATCATAATTTCCATTATAAGAAGATGAAAGCCTAAATCTAATTAAAACTCAAAAAGTAATGAAAGGAGGATGACCTAAGACAAAGCCTGTGGAATTCCAAATGATAAGAAGAAAACATGGATAAAATTCAAAAGTCACAAACAGAAGAAATACCAAGAATGTAACATCACAGATGCTAAGGGAAGAGAGTGTTTCAAAGAATAGCTTCAAAGACTGGTTAAATTCTGTTGAGTGATGAGGATGAAAATTGAAAAAGGTTATGCCAGCTTTACTAACAAGGAGGTGAATGTTGTGAGAACTTTCTGTAGAGAGATGGAAGCAGAAGCCACATTGGATAAGACTGAAGAATAAATGGAAAGTGAAGAAATAAGACTCTTGAAAAGTTTAGTTATGATGGTGGAGATAGGGGAGTAGCTAGAGAGTAGAGGTGAAGAAAGTTTTTATGTTGTTTTGGTTTGTTTGTTTTCAAAGATGAGGCAAATATGTAAATGACAACAGGAAGGAGCCAGCCTGAGAAACATTTTAAGAGACAAAGAATAACTAACAGCGTCAAAATTTCTTTTATTATGAAAAGAAATTAACAGCTAATTAAGCATATCCTATGTACCAGGCAATGATTTTTTTTTTTTTTTTTTTTTTTTTTTTTTGGAGACGAAGTCTTGCTCTGTTGCCCAGGCTGGAGTGCAGTGGCGCGATCTTGGCTCACTGCAACCTCCGCCTCCCAGGTTCAAGCAATTCTCCTGCCTCAGCCTCCAGAGTAGCTGGGACTACAGGCATGTGCCACCATACCTGGCTAGGTTTTTGTATTTTTTAGTAGACAGAGTTTCACCGTGTTAGCCAGGATGGTTCTCGATCTCCTGACCTCATGATCCACCCGCCTCGGCCTCCCAAAGTGCTGGGATTACAGGTGTGAGCCACCGCGCCCGGCCGTATTATTTTCACATGAATTATCTTGTCCCCTCACCCACACACACTTCAAAACCTTCTTCTATCTTCCCTTGTTTCCCAAAATAGATACTTTTGTTTAAAGTACAGCCCAAAGGAAAATATTTAGAAAATCTTCCTTAATAAACATCATTCCTTTTCTAATCTGCTGGTACAATCCTAGTTATATCCTAAATTATAAATACAATAAAACTACCATGATAAAATGAATCTGGATATACTGCTATTGATTTCTATTCTCTGCTCAGCCTCTGTTCTCTGCAGACGAAAGTTCTTATATTTTTGGGATCTTTGGGGTAGACAAGGCCATATAAGGAAACCCTAATTCGGAAATAATTCACCCACCTATTCACTTAGGCACCAAATGTTTACTAAGTGCCTATGGGGCAAGGATCGACCTACTTACCAGTAATGCTACAAAGATGAGTAAACAAAAGGTTAAAATACACTGTGGTTAGTATAAATGATAACTTACATGAATTTAGGAAAAAGTTAAGGGTAGCTCAGGAGATTTTGTAATCAAAACAGATACAAGTCCAAAGGAGCATGCCTGGAATGTTATTATAACTAACAAATCATGTTTATTTAACTGTTTGAATTAGGAGTGCTAACCAATGAAGAATATATAATCTGCATGGTGCCTAATAAAAAAAGTCGGATGGCAGAGAGAAAAAATTTGTCAATGTCTCTCCAAGATACTAGGTAAGGAGGTTTCCACGTATCAATGAAAAGGAGAATTCTGATCCATCCATTAAGTAATCCCTACAATAAAGATATCAGGATATCTTAGTTTTGTGGCACTTAAAAAAAAAAGTCTGTGTTCACAAAACTGATGAAAAATATCCTGTGAAATGTTTTCCATAAGAATGCACTAATCAGCACTGTCCCTTTGACAAGTTTTATTTCTAACAGCATAGTTTACCTAATAGTTTCAAGAATTTGGTTTATGGTATAGGGTATCTTAAGAGGAGACAAATTCTGGGTATCCTGACAAAAGTCTGAATTTCTAGAACTACAAAGCTGAGGAATGCCCCTTTACCACAGCGATCCCTCCAAAGCAATCTCATTCTGCTAAGTTTAGTCTGATCCTCCTTACACAAACTAATATACTTAAATTCTCAAAATGAGAAAGCTTCATAAATCACTCGTCCCTGAAAAAAATTACATATGCATAATTACTTTCTAAAATCATGTTAAAATGGAAAATATTAAGTTAGAATTTAAACCATGAAAAAATCAGAACAATTAGACAAGAGAAAGATATAAAGGCAATCCAAATTAGAAAGGAAGAAGTCAAATTATCCCTGTTTACTGATGATATGATCTTGTATTTGGAAAAACCTAAAGACGCCACAAAAAACTATTAGAACTGACAAATTCAGTAAAGTTGCAGGATACAAAATCAACATACAAAAATCAGTAGCATTTCTATATGCCACCAAGTCAACATTCTGAAAAGGAAATCAAAAGACTAATCCCATTTAAGATAGCCACAAATAAAATCAAATACCTAGAAATTAACCGAAGAAGTGAAAGATCTCCATAATGACAACTATAAAATATTGACAAAAGAAATTAAAGAGGACACCAAAAAAAAAAAAAATGGAATGATATTCCACATTCATGGATTCAAAGAATCAGTGTTGTTAAAATGTCCATGCTACCAAAAGCAATCTACAGATTCAATGAAATCCTTATCAAATTACCAATGACATTCTTCACAGAAATAGAAAAAAAGTTCCTAAAATTTATATGGAACCACAAAAGACTCAGAATAGCCAAAGCTATCCTAAGCAGAAAGAACAAAACTGGAGGAATCACATTACCTAACTTCAAATTATACTACAGAGCTACAGTAACTAAAACAGCATGTACTGGCATAAAAATAAGACATACAGAACAGAACACAGGACCCAGAAACAAGTCACATACCTACAGTGAACTCATTTTTGACAAAGATGCCAAGAATGTACACTGGGAAAAGATAGTCTCTTCAATAAATGGTGCTGGGAAACTGGATATCCATATGCAGAAGAATGGAACTAGACCCCTATATCTTGTCACACACAAAAACCAAAATAGATTAAAGACTTACATCTAAGACCTCAAACTATGAAACTACTACAATAAAATATTGGGGAAATTCTGCAGGACACTGGACTGAGGGCAAAGACTTCCTGAATAATACCCCACAAGCACAGGCAACCAAAGCAAAAATAGACAAATAGGATCATATTAAGTTAACAAGCTTTTGCACAGCAAAGGAAACAATCAACAAAGAGACAACCTACAGAATGGGAGAAAATATTTGCAAACTACCCATCTTAGAAGGCACTAATAACTAGAATATATAAGGAGCTCAAACAACTCTATTGAAAAAAGTCTAATAATCTGATTTAAAAATGGGCAAAAGATCTGAAGAGACATTTCTCAAAAGAATACATACAGATGGCAAAAAAAGTGTCCATCAACAGATGAATGCATCAAAACCACAATGAGATACCATCTCACAACCGTTAGAATGGCAATCATTAAAAAGTCAGGAAACAACAGGTGCTGGAGAGGATGTGGAGAAATAGGAACACTTTTACACTGTTGGTGGGACTGTGAACTAGTTCAACCATTGTGGAAGACAGTGTGGCGATTCCTCAAGGACCTAGAACTAGAAATACCATTTGACCCAGCCATCCCATTATTGGGCATATACCCAAAGGATTATAAATCACGCTGCTATAAAGACACATGCACACGTATGTTTATTGTGGCACTACTCACAATAGCAAAGACTTGGAACCAACCCAAATGTCCATCAGTGATAGACTGGATTAAGAAAATGTGGCACATATACACCATGGAATACTATGCAGCCATCAAAAAGGAGGAGTTTATGTCCTTTGTAGGGATATGGATGAAGCTGGAAACCATCATTCTCAGCAAACTATCGCAAGGACAAAAAACCAAACACTGCATGTTCTCACTCATAGGTGGGAAGTGAACAATGAGAACACTTGGACACAGGAAAGGGAACATCACACACCGGGGCCTGTCGTGGGGTGGGGAGAAGGGCAAGGGATAGGATTAGGAGATATACCTAATGTACATGACAAGTTAATGGGTGCAGCACACCAACATGGCACATGTACACATATGTAAGAAACCTGCATGTTGTGCACATGTACCCTAGAACTTAAAGTATAAAAAAAAAAATGTGGTACTTATACACAATAGAGTGCTATTCAGCCATAAAAAAAGAATGAGATCCAGTCATTTGCAATAACATGGATGGAACTGAAGGTCATTATGTTAAGCAAAAAGTCAGGCACGGAAAAGACAAGTATCCCATGTTCTCAATTATGTGTGGGATCTAAAATCAAAACAATTGAACCCATGGAGATACAGCAGAAGGATGGCTACTAGAGGCTGGGAAGGTCAGTCCGGGAAAGGAGTAAGAGAGAGGTAGGGATGGTTAATGGGTACAAAAAAATAGAATGAGTAACCCCTAATAGTTGACAGCACAACAGGGTGACCATAATCAATAACTTAATTGTACATTTTTAAAGAACTATAAGAGTATAAATGGATTGTTTGTAACACAAAAGATAATATGCTTGAGAGGATGCATACACCATTTGCCATGATGTGGTTGTTACACACTGCATGCCTGTATCAAGACATCTCACGTACCCCGGAACTATATACACCTACTATGTACCCACAAAAATTAAAAATTAAAACTAAGCATAAATAAGAGAATGTGATCATTATTCACTGTTGATATATAATACGAACATATTAAAATAAAAAACAAAGTATACTGCAATAAAACTATTTTCAACTATAATATAAATTTATAATATAAATACTAAAATATAAAATAGGCTCTATTATCTTTCATTGTCAAAATTTAAAAGAAATTTAATAAAAACAAATGTCTTTCAGTTCATTTATTTGCAGAAAGAAAAACCTCAATGGTGAACATTGCTAACTACTATACGAGTAAAGCACAAAACTGACATTTCAATTACAAAAATAAATACAAAAGCCAACAGATCATTTATTTTGGCACACAATTATACGTTCACAGAACATACCATATGTACAGAATTTCTATATGTAATAAAGTCACTCCATACTGCTAGCTTCAATGTTCCTATATCTTGCAGGAATTACCTTGAGAAATAAGTGGTAGCTATTAAACATTTAAATGATGTATTAAAACATATTGCTATCACAAAAACCGTACTGGCCTGTGATGTTCCCTTGACTGCCTCTGACCTGCTGCTTGCCCTGAGAGTAGGTGCATACTTAGAATATAAAGTAAGTTTTTGGAGAGAATGCTAAAAAGAAATAAACAACAAAAAACTTCTATTAATACAACTCCAAAGGCCTTTGTGTATATTAAGTTGAAATGTGAAGAAAACTGAAATAAAAGAAATAAAGATTTCTAGTCCTGAGTGATGTCACACTGCACATGAACTCATTAAAAGCACACATACGGCCAGGTGCAGTGGCTCATGCCTATAATCCCAGCACTTTAGGAGGCTGAGGCAGGCGAATCACCTGAGGTCAGGAGTTCAAGACCAGCCTGACCGACATGGAGAAACCTCATCTCTACTAAAAATACAAAATTAGCTGGGCGTGGTGGCGCATGCCTGTAATCCTAGCTACTTGGGAGGCTGAGGCAGGAGAACTGCTTGAACCTGAGAGGCGAAAGTTGCAGTGAGCCGAGATTGAGCCATTGCACTCCAGCCTGGGCAACAAGAGCAAAACTCTATCTCAAAAAAAAAAAAAAAAAAAAAGGAAACATACACAGCATTTTTTCTGGAACTCAAATGAGGTGAATAATCTGAAACAGACTCTTTAAAAAAAATCTTCAGCCAGGCATGGTGGCTCACACCTGTAATCCCAGCACTATGGGCGGCCGAGGCAGGCGGATCACGAGGTGAGGAGTTTAAGACCAGCCTGGCCAACATGGCGAAACCCTATCTCTACTAAAAAACACAAAAAAATTAGCTGGGCGTGGTGGTGGGCACCTGTAATCCCAGCTACTCAGGAGGCTGAGGCAGGAGAATCACTTGAACCCAGGAGGTGGAGGTTGCAGTGAGCCGAGATCATGCCATTGCACTCCAGTCTGGGCAACAAGAGCAAGACTCTGTCTCAAAAAAAAAAAAAAATCTTCAAGTATTGTATGTTATTGGAAGTATGACTTACTTCAGGACTTTCAAATGAAATGAAATGGAAAAAAAAAAACATGTAAAATTTAAGTATACAAAAGTTGTTTTCCCAAATTATTTTTAAAA
Organism: Homo sapiens; assembly: GCF_000001405.40. Taxonomy (NCBI): domain Eukaryota; kingdom Metazoa; phylum Chordata; class Mammalia; order Primates; family Hominidae; genus Homo; species Homo sapiens. The sequence continues at coordinate 66,963,947 of NC_000001.11, read as the reverse complement.
CACAAGCATCAAAGTAATCCATTTTCTTTATTTTTTTCCTCAGACGGAGTCTTGCTCTGTCACCCAGGCTGGAGTGCAGTGGTGCGATACTGGCTCACTGCAACCTCTGCCTCCTGGGTTCAAGTGATTCTCCTGACTCAGCCTCCTGAGTAGCTGGGATTACAGGTGCGCGCCACGACGCCAGGCTAATTTTTGTATTTTTAGTAGAGACGGGGTTTCACCATGTTGGTCAGGCTGGTCTCGAACTCCTGACCTCATGATCCGCCTGCCTCAGCCTCCCAAAGTGCTGGGATTACAGGCGTGAGCCACGGCACCTGGTCCAAAGTACTCCATTTTAATAAGCACTCCATTTTGCTTAGTGAAAGTTTCAGGAGCAAATAAGCTGTTTATATCAGTTATTTACTCTCGTTTGTTTTTATGCCTTTCATTGATATAAAATGGACTTCTAAAAACTAAATTATAAAGATTAGAGAAGGGTTAAAGTTTAGAGCACTGAAAATACGGGGAAAAAAGTAAAAAAAACTGTTGAGACATTGTAAGTCACTTTAAAATGAAAAAAAGCATTCACTTTTTCCTTTTTTGGCTAGGCTTCTATAGACCAAACTGAAAAAATTGAGTACACACATTCTTCTCACAGAAATAATGAAGGGTCCTCTTTCACAAACCAATGGGGTTACAATGGGGTTACTTAGTAGGCTGTCATGTTCTTATCACATTTTACATATAAAGTAACAGTTCATTACACTGAAAGCATAAATTCAGCTACGTAACTTTACTAATAACCCACCTTTTTCATTTTCTTTGTATCTACAAATGCCAACTGGAATTTCTGCTTGAAACATGGAGCCCACCATAATCTCCTATTTTAAAAATAACATAAAACATTAGTAAGATCTAGTAACAGATTTTATATCCATTTTCTAGCCTTACCATCTTAGTAAACTGTTCCTGGTTTCTCTGTCATAAAATACAAAAACAACCAATTAACTACCTCAGAGGTACCTTTGTGAAGATGAATGACAAATAATGACTGGATGAAAATATTAGTAATAATACTGAGGTGAAATGCAACGTAAACAATAAATACAAACTTTATTTCAAAATATAGAGACAAAGAAGTGAATTCTGATAATTCCATTAGTAAGACAACTGCAAAACATGTAAAACACAAAGTCAAATTCAGATATTTTCAGAGTATCTACACTTAAGACAGTGGTCTTAAATATGATCCCTATATGAGCAGCATCAGTGTCATCTATGAAATTTTTGTTTTTTTGAGACAGGGTCTTGCTCTGTCACCTAGGCTGGAGTGATCATGGCTCACTGCAGCCTCGACCTCCCAGGCTCAAGCAATTCTCTCACCTCAGTCTCTGAGTAGCTGGGACTACAGGCACATGCCACCACACACAGCTAATGGGAAACTGTTAGAAATGCAAATGCTCAGGTCCCACCCCAAACCTACTGAAACTCTGGGGACAGGACTCAGTCATTGGTATTTTAACAAGCTCTCTAGGTGATTCTGACATAGACTGAAGTCTGAAAAACAGAGCTTCAAAGTAGGAAAAATAACAAAAAGGGTTTGTATAAAGCTCAGTAGGGGCCAAATGAAAGAAACTCTAAATGAAATAGATAAGCAGGTTATGGCTTGACTTTCATTAAAACAATACAAAATGAAAAAGTAACCTCCTCCCACAAATATAATTAAATAGGAAATCCAGTAATCATATCTATACAGTCAAATCACAGATTAGGTGAAACTGGATGTTCTCAAAAGCAACTGCAAACTACCACTGGTGAAATTTCACAATGCAAGGAGACCAAGATTACATGAACCCTCTTTTGTGTGATGGCTAAATGTTAAGAACACATTTACTGACATTTTCAAAATTGGGCATGAAAGGTACAAAATCATGGTCTAGAAGTTTTGGTAACTCTTAGGATTTGGAAAGTCTCTCTCCTGCTATTGTTACCTCACTGATGTGAGGAGCTCATTTTATCCAGTACAACTTCAAAGACGTGCTTTATGTAATAAAGTTATTTCTATACCCATAAGAAAAACCAATCTTTCTCATGATCAGTTTTCTAAAAAGAATCAAACTTACAACAAATTTTCTCTACCCTTACAATGGAATTCTCTTTATGTCTTCTACTATAAAAAGAGTCCTTTATTGTCACATCTTGTGCCTCTTTTAACTTAACTCACCTAGGCCTACCAAAGAACATTGTCAAGTTACTAACCCTGGCTGGGGTGCTTCTAAACCATCAATGCCTGGATCCACTGCAGGACAATTAAATTAGAATCTATGAATGAAGGCCCTGGTAGTCAGTACATCTAAGTTATCCAAATGATTCTAACATAAAAACAGGGTTGAGAACATCTGGATTAGTTTAAAGATAGGTACTTCCTTTTTCCTGTTCAGTTCTGAACATTTCTTTTCATCTGTTAATTTGTTCGGTAGTACAGGGAAGGGAAGGGAAATAGCTTTGAAGATCATTATGTGTTAACATATCATATATGCAATTTTCCTTTAATCTTTCAGCAAGCCCCATAAGGCTGACATTGTTATTCCCATACTATATGTAAGAAGATGAAGCTCAAAAATTTGATTTTCTCAGGAGCACACAATTACTAAGTTCTAGAGCTACAACTAAAATTCAGGTTTGACTTCAAAACTGTTTCCCCTACCTTAAGTTTCTATAAAAACTCAATTTCATCTTATAAGTCTTAAAAAAAAATGAATCTCTGAACCTTGACAATTATTTAAAACAACAAAATCATACTGAAAGAAAACAATCTGCATTTACTCTGGCCTGCTTTATTACATAATTTTTTTCTGAGAAAGGTGTGGTTAATTAATACCCTTTCTGAGTAAGGTGTGGGTAATTAATACCCTCCAGCAATGAGAGGTGTTCTACCTCTGAGCTTTTGTTCTTTCATTTAAAAAAAAAACACTGAATGCTTAATCAAATACTCTACTGAACACTCCAGATTAAAAAACAACACATGTTGAAGATACATAAACTTGAATATGAAGTGGGACAGCAATTTATAAGGACTCCCAAGGTTTCTAGCTTTTTTCATCTTAATTTCTGCACACTGTAGGAATCAGATTAAAAACAGGATGAAAGAACCCTTGCCCAAATAGGCCACACAAATTAACTTTTGTGATTCTTGTTTTCTGTCGAGTCCCATCATTTGCTCAAATTAACACATACCGTAAACTGGGCTAACCTTGTCTCTCAACAAAAATAACATTATTTCTTTGTTTTAACCAGTTCTACATAAAAAATTTTTTTGAAGACATGGGGTCTCACTATGTTGCCCAGCCTGGTCTCAAACTCCTGGGCTGAAGTGATTCTCCCTACCTCAGCCTCCCAAGTAGCTGGGACAACAGGGGAAACATCACTGCAACCAGCTAATTCTACATAATGTTTAGATAGATTTTTCCTAAGAGCTCAGTTCTTTTACAATAACTTACAATTCTTTAACTTAACTGTATGATTAATTATATGCTATATAATTTTATAATTAAAAACTAATCTCAATATATTATCTTTAGATTCATTTCAGAAATTAATTGTATATAGTTACGAAGAAGCCAAATCTGTTTCTTCATATAATAAGCTTATCAGTTGTAAATGTCAACATTAAATTCAATCATTTGGAGAGTTTTTCTTTTATAAAGTAATACAGAATGAAAAACTTGCAATATGAACTACTAAACAAAATTTACTTAACAAATATCAAAGCCTCCACAAATGCTTTCCATAATATTGAAAAACATATACGTGATACTTTTTACAGGGCAACAAATGCCTAATTTGGCACTAGTTCAGGACTAAATCAGAAATGTGGATTTCTGTTTTATTTATTTTTTGTTTTGTTTTATAAAATGAGACAGGGTCCCGCAACGCTGCCCAGGCTGGTCTCGAACTCCTGGGCTCAAGCGATCCGCCTGCCTCAGCCTCCCAAGTGCTGGGATAACAGGCGTGAGCCACCACACCCCGCCAGAAATGTAGATTTCTAATCTAACCTAGATGTGTTAAGAAGGAATCTGAACATTTACCAAACATTTAAATGTCATAAAAGGGCTTACATCGATTTTATCAATATACATAGTTAGTAAAAAAAAAAATAATTACACGAGGCTTTTTAAAAAAATATTAATTTATCTAAATTTTGGGAAAATATTGTTCTAACTACCTTTTTCCAGTCTTCTGATGGAATATAATCTTCATCTTCTTCAGATTCTTCTTCTACTTCACTATCTAGAATAAATAAGACACCAATACTATAAAATGACTGCTTATCCTGTCTAAATCTACATATTATTTTTACATCTACCATCAAATATTTGGATATGCTCAAAGATATCTAATGAATTAAGCCAAGATATTTCTAACCAAATAATTAACACCCTATCACTTAAAAAAACAAAACCAAAAAAACCATAAACTTTCTACATAATTGTATTCTCATGAAATGATTTCCTATAAAAACTTAGGGGAAAAAACTGATTTAGAATAAAGATAATATTATCTTACTACATATTTCATGACAGTTTATTTTTCTTCAAGTGTTTTTCTTCCTTTTAAAGTAGAGAAATTTAGGTGTATTTATGAATATACCTAAAAAAGGCTAAGAGGCAAAGAAAGTAAAAAATGGAAACTAAGGGAAAGACTATGAGAAACAAAAAGATGACCATGAAACAAACATTTAAAAACAGGGCAAAGAAAAAACAAATACACCCAAAGTCAAGTAGTACATGACACAATTACCATAGTATATTCACTAACAACAGGGACCCTGCATTGCTAAACTAATAACTTACAACAAAATCCATTTACTGTTGAAAAGAATTTCAGACTAAATGAATTCAAAGACCAGTTTAAAAAAGAGGATTTTAGGTAATACCTAAAATAGTAAAAATTATATTCAAATATTATCAACCAGTAACACTTACTTGTATCAAAATATTTACATCGACGTGGGCGGATTATTTCCTGGGCATCTTGAGAAGCAACAGATTGTGATGGATCATCATTGGAAGACTGAGTTTCATCCTCCTGACCTGATGAATCCTTTATATTCTCCTCCTGTGGAATAATAAATTAAATTTCTCTAAGATGTAAGGAAAACAGTTGCAGATGAAAGACCATAGCATATAAATTTTGTTCTAATATATGCAGAAGACTAAAATGAATATACTAGATGTAGTATCATCCTCTGGGTTGGTTCCTGCAACAGGAAAAAGTACATTAGCAGAAAAACTGGTATAATTCAATCTGCAGTTTAGTTAATAGCACTGTACCAAGATGTTAACCTTAGCAGAAGTTGAGGTAAGAGTATACAGGAACGTTCTATACTAACTTTAAACCTTTTATAAATCTAAAATTATTTCAAAATAAAGTAAGAAAAATAAACACAAACTGCCAATTAGCCTTTATTATTTAAAAGCAATAGCATTTTTTTAGAAAGTTGGTATAAATTAATTAGAATAAGCACTGGAAAAAAAGAAACCTGAAATGACAAGACCAAACTGTTACCTCAGGAGTAAATTACAGGGGATTTCCAATTTTTATATTATGTATTTCTGTAATATCTTAATTTTTAACACTTTTAAAATCAGGAAAAGATTATAAAGACAAGTAATCAAAATATATTAAGCAATTTTAACTTCAACAAGAATAAAGACTACAATCTTAAATATATGTATATAGACTTACTTTATTTTCCCCACTACAGCCACTGTTGTCATCATTATCAGCATCTTCATCATCTTCACCTTCTTCTTCCTCTTCTTCCTCTTCCTCATCTTCTTCAGGTAGTCGAACAGTACTACCATAACCATAAAGGCTGAGAAGTTCATGAATTGGCATGTCGCCTTCCTAAATAAATCAAAATAAAAGGTAATCTCTGAATCAGTGATATTTCTGATTCCCAGGCTATAATCCACAAATCTGTGGAGTATTCATTCTATAGTGAAGAATAAAAGCTGTGTTACGAATTCTCGGATCATAAAAAGTAAAACTGAAAATATTTCTGAAACCTAGGAATATCCCAATCTTTTAAGTATTTCTATAAAATGAACCAGTTATAATTGCTGACAACAAGATCTTTAAGTATAATTAAAAAGTGGCCTTGGTCTAACATGGACTATTCTTTTTGCAATCAATTCAGTATATGCACAATGACAGTTAACGCTATGCATGGATGCCCACTCTTAATAAGAGTACCATACTTAACTTGAGGGTGGAGAAATAGAACAATGAGAAATAGACTATAAGTTAACAAACCCAGAAAGGCAGACGAAAATTCAGAGCTCAGCCCGAACACATGAAAAAAAAAAAAAAAAAAAACACAAACAAACCAGTAGTAATATACAGAAATGATAATGGACTACATTAACCATATATTCTTCTCTATGGTTATCTCCATTTACATATAAAATCATCTCATGAAATCCTTACCATCTATCATACGGACTTGTTATATTATTTCCATTTCATAGATGCGAAAACAGAGGCTGACAGGTTAAGCATTTCTTCACAAATCACACAAGTTACAAGTAGTAGAGCCAGATTTAAACAGTCTAACTCCAAAAGCCCATATTCATATCAATACACCATGGTGCCTTGGGCAGGGACTTCCCTCAATCCCCACAAAAATCAGACCCTCCGTGGATGAAAAAGAAATGTCCATACACAATGAAATGAAATCAGCTTTCTATACAAACTACTCACTCTAACCAGTAAACAAGAAATGCACAGCATCAGGGAAACATAACAGAATTCTGATTATAAAAAGAAAATTTAATCCAAATCATGTGAACATATTATACACTCATGCACACCCACATACAATGCACATGGTCTGAAGCAAAACAGTCAGAAAACAATCAGTTTAGAAGCTAGAAAAAAAAGGGTAATCATGAAATAAGACATGGTTTATGTTTCTCCAGCAGTCATGGAAAGAAGTAAGTCTAGCTCATGTGTTAAACACATTGCTACAATGGATATGGGTAAATCAGACTGGATTAGATGATACAATTAACCTGCATCACTCAAAATCCATGTGTGGGAAGAAATTAATGATTATCATTTGAAAAGATTTTCTTAGGAAGAACTAGGAAGAAACTGTCATCCAAAACTTCTATTTCCCATTACAAATGGATATTCTGGTTATGAATGAGTTTGTGAATCTATTTCTGAAAGATAAATCAATTCCAAGACCCCTAATGATTTGCAGAAGCTACAACCTGAAAAGCGGTAACTTTATCAAGGCAAGGTATTGCCACTCTAGCTAAATAACCAGCTGGCAAACAAATGACAGCTCTTACACTGTGTCTCTCAAAGTACAACACCAACAGTGCTTTAAGTGTTCAAGTATCTGGTCCATGTACCAAGAATCTGGTACAGGACATTGGTATTTGGGAATCTGGAGAGTCAATACTCAGGAACTAAAACAAAACTTCAAAATAAGAGATAGAAGTGTAGTAAGAGAAATATAATGAAAAGGCTAGATTTATTTTTTGAGACAGGATCTTGCTCTGTCACCCAGGCTGGAGTGCAGTGGCATGATCACTGCTCACTGCAGCCTCAACCTTCAAATGATCCTCCCACCTCAGCCTCCCAAGTATCTGGGACTATACATGTGCACCACCATGCCTGGCTAATTTTTGTATTTTTCATAGAGAAGGGTTTCACCATGTTGCCCAGGCTGGTCTCAAACACCTGGATGCAAGCGATCTGCCCACCTTGGCTTCCCAAAATGTAGGATTGGAAACATGAGCCACCGTGCCCAGCCTAAAGCTAGTTTTATATACAAGAATAACAAATAGCTGTCATAAAGTATCTTCTATGTGTCAGGCATTTATGATAGATGCTTTGATTTCACTGTCTTTTTCTCTTGCAACCATGAAAGCAGTGTCAACACACACAATTTCATTAGATCTTTAGAAGTACCAAATGGAGTGCTTGCTACCTTTATTTGCAAATAAGGAAACCAGGCAGAGAAACGTCAGGCACTGATACTTTATTATAATACCCAGACCTCCTAATCTCAGGTCATGTAACGTTTCTTAAGCTCATATCCTGCACCCCAAAATCAGAAGCAAGTTTAGCAACTGATCACTATTGTGAATAAAAGCCACTGAAGTCACTAGTATGAATAAGGGCCCCAAAAGGAAAAAAACATAAGCGTTAACAGTTTGCAACTGAAATTTACATAGGCCTTAAGAGTTCATGAAAAGCTTGTTTCATTATTTATTTGATCCTCAAAACTATCCTGTTAACCACTACCTTTAATTTTTATAACTGTGTTATAACTAATCCTTTGAAACCACACAGCTAATTACATAGCCATGCTCTATTTTGAACTCATCTTCTGACAAGATCATGGTACTTCGTTCACTCCAAAAAAAGGTGTATTAGCAACCAAACAAATGCCCTCAGGCTCTCTACGATTGGTCTGTCTTATTAAGGGTATCAGAATTACCTTGAGGGCTTACTAAAATGGGCTGCTGAGCCTCACCCAACTTTCTGACCTAGTAAGTCTCCAGTGAGGCCCGAGTACCTGCAATTAAAAAAAAAAAAAAAAAAAAAAAAAAAACTCAGGTGATGCTAATGCTGCTGGTATGAGACTACCTTGAAAACCACTGATCTCACAGGTCTGGGATAAGATACCTGCAAATCACCCTTTCCAATGGGAGGTAATAAAGCTTGAACATTAACTTTAATAAAGCTTATCGTATGACATATGATATCCAGCTCAAATATTTGTCAAAAGGATAGGTGACATACTAACTACATGGAAAAAGAATTTTTCTTTTTTAACCATTATCAAGAATGTAGAATGTCTGACAATCATAGATTAAGGTTTTTCCCTCCTGGATATACAGATAAGAAGTGTGACTCACTTTGTAAAAATTCATTTCTCAGGCCAAGCGCAGTGGCTCACGCCTGTAATCCCAGCACTTTGGGAGGCTGAGGCTGGCAGAACACTTGAGGTCAGGAGTTCGAGACCAGCCTGGCCAACAAGGCAAAACCCCATCTCCACTAAAATTACAAAACAATTAGCCAGGCATGGTGGTGCACACCTGTAGTCCCAGCTACTGAGGAGGCTGAGGCAGGAGAATTGCTTGAACGCAGGAAGCAGAGGTTGCAGTGAGCTGAGATCATGCCACTGCACTCCAGCCTGGGTGACAGAGTTGAGACTCTGTCTCAAGAAAAAAAAAAAAGGAAAAAGAAAAAAATTCATTTCTCAAAGAAAAATTCTCCAACACCTCCAATATTGACTAAGCAGAGAACAGAGAGAGTCAAAAGTAGCCTGATCACAGTGCATTTAGAGGGGAAATGCTTGAATTACAATCGTAATAGAACTGGCACAGATGGAGAAAAGTCATTCAAGTCAGAGCAAATGACAAATGTATGGTACAGAAACAAAAATGAATAAGCCAGTCACCCTGATTAGAGCAGACATACCATTTACAGTAACTAAAAACAAAGTATCATTTCAGAAGGCCATACATTACTGAAAGATCAGTTATAGATTAATGAAAGTCAGGATTACTATTTTTACCTACTTTCTCTAGTTTTACGTAATTTTTAAAGGCTTCTGTTATACTCCTGACTCAATTTGAGCGTACTGAATAGTTACTGACACTCTGGAAGTATTTAGGGGAAATTACACACACAACAAAACACTCAACGTGAACTTAGGCAGGGGAAGATTTAGTTTGCTTGCCATGTGGGAATCCACTGCTATCATTCACTACACATTCACCTGTATTATGATCAGAACCTAAATTAAATTAGTGGTTGTGGAAAAGAAAAAATTGAAGAGATGCAACAGGATTCAACCAGGGATTAGGAGAGATGGAGGTCCTGGTGATGCTGAATCCCTGGTTCCATATATTCCTTGTACCCAACTACACTTTCATATACCTTCTAATAGTTTATTTTTACACAACGTTATTTTTAGATGGGCTTTATCACATGGAAAAAAAATACCCTTACTTATTCAATCAAGAAAATGCTTACTTATGCTGGGTGCAGTGGCTCACACCTGTAATCCCAGTACTTTGGGAGACTGAGGGGGACAGATCACTTGAGATCAGGAGTTCAAGACCGGCCTGGCCAACATGGTGGAACCCCAACTCTACTAAAAATACAAAAGTTAGCCAGGCATGGTGGTGTGGGCATGTAATCCCAGCTACTCAGGAGGCTGAGGCAGGAGAACTGCTTGAACCCAGGAGGCAGGGGCTGCAGTGAGCTGAGATTGTGTCACTGCACTCCAGCCTGGGCAACAGAGTGAGACCCTGTCTCAAGAATATTAAAAAAAAAAAAAAAAGGAAAAGAAAATGCTTACTTACTAGTATTAAACTTGTAACTCAAGCTGTCACCCAATATCAAGTGAGTAATATCAGCTTAGTAAGCAACAAAGAAAAAATCATCACCACCAAAAATACAAGTTGAAGCACGACAGTATAAAAAGTCTCTTATTTAATCTAAGGTAAAAGTGAAAATCTTGCAGCAAACTCCGGGCTACAACTATAATAAAAATCAGAATCAATTTTGCTGAGGAATCCTGTTTCAAATTGCAATAGCATGTATTTGTGTTCCTGCTTTGTGCTAACTGAAGTAAAGATTTAGCAAGCATAAACAAGCATCATGTAAGGATTATTTATTATTTCCCCTCCAAGCCTCTCCTACTCTCTACTTCTGTACTTGTCTTCTCACATGAAATGTTCTTTCTTCCATTCCAAGCACTTATTTTTCTTGAAAGTTCACCTCCTTGACCATAGTAGCTGACATAATTGGAATAACTGTATTCCCTGGCCGTAGATTTGGAGTGGACACATGACCCAAGCTTGTCCATACTTTGTTTCTGGAGTTTTATCAACAGCAACTTAAGAAAGAAGCATAGACTATCTCAAGTAGTAAATGTGGGAGACCTACAAACTGACAGCATAATATGAAGAAAGTTGGTCTGAAAAGACAAGTCAGGTGGGACACGGCTCACGCCTGTAATCTTAGCACTTTGGGAGGCCAAGGTAGGCAGATCACTTGAGCTCAGGAGTTCGAGACCAGCCTGGGCAACATGGCGAAACACCGTCCATGTAAAAAATACAAAAAGAATTAGCTGGGTGTGGCAGCGCATGCCCGTAGTCCCAGCTACTAGGGGGGCTGAGGCAGGAGGATGGCTTCATCCAGGGAGGCTGAGGCTGCAGTGAGCCAAGATCGCACTGCTGCACTCCAGCCTGAGTGACAAAGTGAGACCCTGTCTCAAAAACAAAAAGAGGTAAACCATGTAGAAAAGCAGAAATAGAGAAAATAAATTCTGGTGGCACTTGAGTCCCTGGGAGCAGATATATCCCTCCTTTAATGAAATTCCATGAGACTTACATGAAATTCTTCATTTTGTCTAACCTAGTTTGAGGTTAGACTGTCTGTAATCTAGTTACAGACAGATTTCTGTCTCTGCACCCCCAAATTCTGATGCTATAAACAGTAATGATATCGTGTAACGCAAATATTCCGTTATTTCCCTCTGAAAAAAGATTTAAGGATGAATAAAACTTGGCCAAAAGTAGTATACTATTGTACCAGGGCCTGTCAGTCACCTGTTCCAGAGAATTTCTAATTAGTTTATATTACCAAAGTCTGCATTCTACCAGTTACTCAAGGGCTTACTTCAACTTAAATTGAAACATCACAATAAAGTGGCACAGTGTTTTATTCCCATTCACGTAAGTGTTAAAAGAGTATAAAAAGGCGAGAACAGAGTGAAAGAAAAAATTATGTGGCAAGTTGTACATTTTCAGTTATAGGTCAGAGACTTTTTTGAGAATCTTATGAATGACATTAACTAAGATTTATTTTGTGTTTATTATGTGCCAAATATTATGTTAAGCGCTTTAGATATATTATTCTTGTAATAACATCTGAAGTTTAACAATGTTAAGTAACCTATCCTAAGTCCCACACTGAAATAAGTAGTAGAACTGGATTACGAACCCAGGCAGTCTAACTCACTGCTTTACACTGCCCTTCTGTACATATGCATATATACTGCCTTCTTCAAAATCTAACGTCAGGTTAAGTATACAGCATCCTGTTACAATGTGAAATAAGAGGGCTGATAAACTGTGAGAAATAAGGAAAGTGGGCATAGTACATGATGAATAAAAATACAGGAATGTAGCCAGGCACGGTGGCATGCACTTGCAGTCCTAGCTACTCAAGAGGCTGAGGCGAGAGAAAGGCATGAACGCAGGAAGTTAAGGATGCTTGAGCTATGACTGCACCACTGCACTCCAGCCAGAGCGACAGAACGAGACCCTGTCTCTAAAAAATTAACTTAAAAAAAAAAAACAGGAATACACACTATATTTGCAGACTGTATTTTAAGAAATGAGTTGTCTTACACTGTAACAAAAGGAAGGGCAATCATGTCTGCATAAGCTAAAGGAAGGCTGGCTGAAGGTGGGAGAAATGGACTTTTTAAAAACATAAACCGACCAGACTCAGTGGCTCACGCCTATCATCCCAGCACTTTGGGAGGCCGAAGTGGGAGGACTGCTTGCACACAGGAGTTCAAGACCAGCCTGGGCAACAGAGCAAGACCCCATCTCTACAAAAAAATAAAAAATTAGCCGGGCATAGTGGTGCACGCCTACAGTCCCAGCTACGTGGGAGGTGAGGCAGGTGGATCACATGAGCCTGGGAAGGTGACAGAGTAAGACCCTGTATCAAAAAGGATAAACACTATATACTATATCTCAAGTTAAGTCTGCCCTAATTTCAAGACAATAGGGTAAAGTTATCAAACACTAACATATTATAGGTTGGAGTGGCATCCAACTCCTAGCTGCAGAAGAGGTGCTAGTTCCTAGCTCCTTCTCCCTCACATCAGGAGGTTAGTCATTAAGAAATGGCAGATGCTGACTTTCAAGTCAAGGCCATTTGGTGGATGTAGATAGTACTCTTACACCTGTTGTACCAAAACTGACTTACCAATAAAATGCTAATGAAGATAGGAAGAAGGAAAGAGGCAGATTTCCAGCCAAAAAGGCCTAAGGGACCACATCCAGACTGAACTAGAGAGATGGTTCCTAAGGTAACCAATCTCTTGGGGCTGGGGCTTGACTAGAAGATAAAACTATATAGGAATGAAGGCACTGAACTCTTCTTTATAATCCTCACACTGAGATTTCTTTTCTATCTATATAATTAATTTGTGTGTATACGTCAAAATACTGCAATCTCTCACATTTTAATCACACATTTTAATTATTCTCTAGCTCTGGATGGAACACATCTAGCACTTTAAAAGTATGTATTAAATACTGATACTGTTATAGTGTGATTTTTATAAAATATATCTAAATACATAAATATATTGCAATCTTGATCTTTCTTTTCCCAAATGGACTGCCACAATTGTGCCCATTTAGAGTCTCTGAGTTTAAAGAGTTCATTTGGAAAACAGAGTTAAACTAGAGTGTTTCTATTTGTAGCAAACAAAAATGTATCTATGGCCAGGTGCAATAGCTCACGCCTGTAACCCCAGCACTTTGGGAGGCTGAGATGGGCAGATCACTTGAGGCCAGGAGTTCGAGACCAGCCTGGGCAACATGGTGAAACCTCATCTCTATTAAAAATACAAAAATTAGCTGGGCTTGGTGGCACATGCCTATAATCCTAGCTACTCAAGAGGCTGAGGCAGGCGAATTGCTTGAACCCAGGAGGTGGAGGTTGCAGTGAGCCGAGATCGTGCCACTGCACTCCAGCCTGGGCAACAGAGTGAGACTCTGTCTCAAAAAAACAAAACAAAACAAAAGTCTATTTATTTACTATGAGAATGATTCTGACATTCCCTCTAAGATCACTAATCACTACAATAAATAATAACCTATACACCCAATTTTATTAAAACACTTATCTTTTATATTGTCATAATCCATGCATACAAATGTAACAATACACATCAAAACTTCTTTCGAGTTAGTTTTCACTGAAAAATTCTAGAATTCAAATTGAATGAACTTAAAACCACATGCTATACAGTTATTGATATTTCCTGAATGAATGTCAGAGTTCTGCCACAATACATCAAAAATTCATTTCATGCAACCAAGGTGTAAGGTGAAAAACACTATCAATCCCTGACATAACTAATGTTTTGCTTCTATAAAAGCAAATCAATAATCAACACAACAAAATCTTATTCACTTTTTCAATAAACACAACAAGAATTTTGTTTGGTTCAAACCTAAAGAGTTAATAACTCTAGGAAATCCAACAAATTGGCCCCAAAATATTGCTTAGCTTCAGGTTACAGATGAAAAGCATTCTATGCTACTTAAAGCTTTAATTGTTTCTGGGAGAAGTCAGAGAAGAATCTGAGAAGGTATAAGGCTGTCTAGTTGAAAGGATGATAAAGGATTGGTTCAACTGTCTTTTTTTCCCTATCTCTATAAATAATTCTATTTTAACTTCTATTTCCTAAGGCAGGGTCACTTGAAAGCAAGTTTTAAGGCACTATATGGGGCTGGGGAAAGGAATAGGAGAGAAAAACAGGAAAAGGCAATGATATAACCAAAATTTTAGCACAGCCCATTAGTAATTTTCTACTAATTAAATGTAATAAATATCTCATTTTCTGAAATAGAAAAAAAATAACTAACTCATAACCCATTATGAAAACTACTTATTTCCTCTTGCTAATTAGTATTTTAGCTAATATAGAATATAAGACAGAAAATACAAGATTTTATTACTGTACCTTTTATCCCACAGATGGCTATTCAGAAGCAAAAAATATAAAGTGATAGATCTTCTCTGAATATAGGCAAACTGAAAATAATTGTCTTCTCACTTCACAAATACATGAAGTGACTATGATTGTTAAATCAACTGTTTCCCTTATAACTGTTTTTGAATCGCTTCCCAGCCTCCTACTTTTAAACAATAGTTCTGACTTCAAGTTCTTCAAGTGCCCTGTTTTCAGACACACAGTCTCTGAAAAATAAAACAGGGTAAATAGTAGTAACATTTTTATTCTGTCACCCAGGCTGGAGAGCAGCAGTGCTATCATAGCTCACTGCAGCCTTGGATTCCTGGACCCCAGCAATCCTCCCACCTGAGCCTCATGAAGTGTTGGGCCTACAGGTGCATGCCACCATGCCTAATTAACCTTTTTAAAAAATTTTTTGCAGAGATGGTGGTCTCACTATGTTGCCCAGGCTGGTCTTGACCTCCAGGCCTCAAGTAATCCTCCTGCCTTGGCCTTCTGAAGTACTGAGATTACAGGTATAAACCACTATGCCCAGCCCTTCATATGCTTTTTAACCCATTCTTGAAAGACTTTTGTGATAGCCAATATACACCTTTGACACATTAAATTATTCAGACATTGTGGATTAAGTCAGCTGTAATCACTAAATGATCTAATCCCAAAGCCAGCTCTAATCCCACAATGGGAACACCTGACAAGATTTCAATAAACAGTAATAGAACTCCTTTTTGAGCTCTTTAAATGTATACTTTAAAAAGTTACAAACTAAAATTATGAGACATAGGTCTTTATTACCATAAAAGTATAAGCATTCATTTTTCATGATATTATGTATTCCAAATCCTTAAAGACTGGCACTATGTCTTATTTCTTATGTTCTTTTTATCATGGAGTACAGGAAATCATATGCATGATATATTTTATTAGAACATACCAGACTGATATATCCATTCATTCATACAATACTTTTGAGTGAGCACTCTTGCAAGGTACCATGAAATACACTGGTGAATAACAGTCATTTTATTTCATCTTCTCAAAACCAGTGGAGGTACAGACAATAAATTAAACAAACAATTACAAATTGTGTCCTAACACTAAAGAAAGCATTGAATAGGGGACAGTGGTTAAAAAAAAATAAAAATAAAACAAAAAACTAATTAAAACCTAATTAGGGGACAGGAAAGGCTGCTATTCTGAGGAGGCAACACCGAACCCAGAGGATAAGGAGCCGGCCTTGGGATGCATATACCAGAGAGTGAGAATGAGCTGAAAACCCTTGAAGCAGAAGAAACTAGCCTATTTAACAACAAAAGCAGCTAGTGTGGCTATAACAGAGGTAGTGTGATACATGGGTAAGAGGCCATTATCATGCAGGTGGCCTTGCTGGCCTGGTTGAGGAGTTTGGGTTTTCTTTGGATATAACAGGAAGCTGGGAGGTTGATATTAATTGATTTACATTTTGAAAAGAAGATCACAGCTGCTGGGTGGAAATGTATCAGGAGAAAGATGGTAAAAGAGGAAATGGGGAAACCAGTCAGGAAGCTACTGCAATAGCCTAGGCTAGAAAGAATGGTAATCTAGGCAGCAATGGATCAAGAGTCGGCTAAGGGATATTCTTGTGGATACAAATGATAGGTTTATTTAGAAATAAGATATTGAAAGAGAAGGAAAATGACTCACTGGTTTCTGACTTAGGCAACAGGGTAAATAGTAGTACCACTTTTTACTGATAGGACAGGGAAAGAACAAGCAGAGAAAAAAACAACAGTCAATAGTTCTGTTTTGGACATTTATAATTTAGAGATGTCCATTTAGTTAAGCAAGCAGAAATGTCAAGGTGGACAAACAAAACTGGAGACAGGAAATAGGTTAATGCTAGAAATATAAACTAAAGAATACTAAGGATATACACACCAAGGGAATAAATTAAATCACACAGCTTAGTGATTTTCAAATTTGGTGTACATATAATGCCAACTTACTTAATGAAGATGTGGATCTGAACACCACCTCCAGAGATTCTGATTCAGTATGCCGGGGGAGAGGTCCAAAAAATCTGCTTTTTAAAATAAGTACAGGGTTGATTCTGATGCAACTGACCCTCATACTACATTTTGAGGAGCACTGATCCAGACAGAGACAGGAGAGAAAAAAAGAAGGTCCAAACTGAGAATCACAAACTGCCAACATGTAAACCTTGAGTAACGGAAGAAGAGTCTGCAAAAGATACTGAATAGAAACAAAAAGATAAAGAAAACCAGACAGTGGTGTACTCCAGAATTCAAGTAAAAGAAGGGAATGTTAAACTATATTGAATACTGCTGAGAAAAAGTAAGGTAGTGAGAGAAAAGTGAATATAAAAATGGATGTAACAAGGAAAGTTCACTGGTCACCTTGATAGGAAGAGGTGGAGATAATCTAGAGCACTTTATGTAGTGGAGATAATCTAGAGCACTTTATGTAGTGAATGGAAAATGATACTTCAAGAATTTTTGGCTCTGAAGGAGAATAAGTAAAAGATATGGTAACTGGGGAAGGACAAAGGATATATGAGGCCGTGTAGAATCCTTTTATAGTCCATTTTTGACCAGACCTTTATAGCAGAATCATTTAACAGTCTATGTTTTACCAAAGTAACTATGTGAATTCTGTTATTGCACATAATAAAGTTATTGTTTTTAAATCCTTTCATTTCAAACTTTAAATATCCCACCTATGATCACACAAAATTTTTCAGTCATTAATATATAACACAATTTCTCTCCTAATCAGAGAATCAAAATTTCAGATCTTCCCTTTCCACAAAAAAGTCATAACCAATTCATACCCTAGCTCTACATGTTATTTACCCTTGCAAGATCTTCTATTTCAGAGCTGAAGTTTGTTTCTCCTTCCATCATTTCTTCCTCTTCTAATGTTCGTTCATCATCAAAATCATGAACCAGCATGTCAGCTGATGGATCAAATTCATGGTCATCTGATGTTGCTGAACCTCCTGGTAAGGAATATTTCAAAAAGTTTGGTAAACCAAATTAAGTGGATCTTATTAATATTAATGTATATATTTTTATTTGATGCTGGATGTAAGTCAAAAGTACCAAGAAAAAGCTACGCACAGCAACTATTATGTATTGCTTTTTAATAGTTACAACAGAAAAATGGAAGGAAAATGTTTATAGCTTTAAAAGTGTTTATAATGTTATAAATATGAAAAAATTGTAAATAATAAATGGTCATATCAAATAAGAACAGGCTTTTCGTGTGGAAAAAAGTCTCAATTCTTTTTTTTCTTCTTCTTCTTTGAGACAGGGTCTCGCTCTGTCCCAGGCTGGGGTGCAGCTCACTGCAGCCTCGACCTCCTAGGGCCAAGCGATCCTTCTACCTCAGCCTCCAAAGTAGCTGGGACTATGACCACAACACACAGCTAATTTTTTAATATTTTTTTGGTAAAGGCAGGGTCTTGCTATGTTGCCCTGGCTGGTCTTGAACTCCCAGGCTCAAGCAATCATCCTGCCTTGGCGTCCCAAAGTCCTGGGATTACAGGTGTACCTGGCCCTAAAAATCACAATTCTTAACCATTTGATTAATGTTTGATAGAACCAATGAGTATGAACTCCTCTGGCCCATGAGGAGACTGTGAGTCAGCCCTCCATGTCCATGGCTTCTGTGTATGTGGATTCAACCAACAGCAGATTGAAAACATTCAGAGAAAAAAACAAAAACAAAAAAACCTCTGTCTTCAACACGTACAGGCGTTTTTCCTTGTCATTATTCCCCAAACAACACAGTATAACTATTTACATAGCATTTACCTATATTAGGTATTTTATATATATATATATATATATATATATATATATATATATATATATATATACACACACCAGATTATTTAAAGCATATAAGAGAAATGTGCATAGGTTACACGCAAATACTATGCATTTTGTGTCAGGGATTTGAGCATCCACGATTTTGGTATCCGAGGGAGGTTTACAGGTATCGAAGGATGACTGTATAGTCATGTGAAATATACAGTCATCTGAATACACAGTCTAGTGAAGACACAGCTGCACTCAAATATTATTATTCTATAAGTACTTCCTTGAAAATACATTCTAGTGGCTGGATGTAGTTGCTCATGCTTTAATACCAGCACTTCACGAGGCCAAGAAGGGAGGATCACCTGAGCCTAAGAGTTTGAGACCAGCCTGGGCAACATAATGAGACACCGTCTCTACAAAAAATTTAAAAATTAGCTGGGTGTGGTGCTGTGTGCCTGTCATCCCAGCTACTCAGGAGGCTAAGGCAGGAGAAGTGCCTGAGCCAGGGAGGTCAAGGCCACAGTGAGTCATGATCACACTACTGCATTCCAGCCTGGGAGACAGAGCAAGGCCCTGACTTTAAAAAATAAAAAATAAATAAAAAAAAATCTAATATTTGAGTAGCTGTCCTTAACTTAGTGGATTTTGATCAGAAATAACGCCAAAGACTGAGTAGAAGAGCAAAATTTATTAAAACTGCATAGAGAACTCCTATCAAAGGCATTAAAAATAATCTAGTCTAATAAACATGTCTAACTGACATGTGGTTGGGGAATATTGCTGGACCCTATAGGGTCAAGCTTTGTAATAGTAGAATGCAAAGGCTGGGCATACATAGTCTGTAAAATATTGTCTGTAAAATATTGTACTACATTGGCAGTAGTAAAACTTGGGGATATTTTACAGACTATGTAAAATATCCCCAAGTTTTACTACTGCCAATGTGGACCTAGATTTGCAAAAGCATTGTTTACTGATAAACAAATGAGTTA
The DNA here is from genome assembly GCF_000001405.40 of Homo sapiens. Classification (NCBI taxonomy): domain Eukaryota; kingdom Metazoa; phylum Chordata; class Mammalia; order Primates; family Hominidae; genus Homo; species Homo sapiens. Next base: position 66,944,331 of record NC_000001.11, on the reverse strand, counting down.
CTGAACATTGAAAAAATTAACAATTTTTAAAGTTTTAACTGTTGATGGTTAGACATTAATAGATGTACCTATTCTTTCATTTCACTCCAGAAAGATAAACAATAAGTAAAGCAAAGAGATAGAGCTGACTTCTTGAAAATCCGACTATTATGAATAAGGGAATGCCCAAAGCTTAGGGTTCTTCAGTTACTCACAATAATTTTCAAAAGAATCATTTTTTTGAGTGCTTACCATATGCCAGATACTATGTTCAAGCATGTCATATACATTATCTCAATTAATCTTCAAATAATCCTACGAAGTAGGTATTATCATCCCATTTAAAGAGGAAAAAAAAAAAATAAAAACTCAAGGCTTAGAGATTTCAAGTAGCAAGTCTAAACTTACAAAGCCAGTAGATGGCAAAGACGGAATTTGAATCCTGGGTATACTAATCCTAACACCTATGCTTTTACTGGACTCCAAGCCTCCTGTAAATTATTTTAGTATACTGCCTCAAAGAATACTTAAGGAGAGTCTATGTACTAAGACGAGTGAATGCAAGCCAGGTCACATGGCAAAGCACTTAACATCATTGTGCCCTTTCAGAAGCACCAGAAAATATTGGTATTAGGCCAGGCGCAGTGGCTCATGTCTGTAATCCCAGCACTTTAGGAGGCCAAGGCAGGAGGACTGCTTGAGCTCAGGGGTTCAGGACAAGCCTGGGCAACACAGTGAGACCTCATCTCAAAAAAGAAAGGAAGAAAAGAGGAAAGGAGGAAAGGAAACGAAAGGAAACAAAACTAAACGAAAGGAAAGGAAAAGATAGTAAGGAAAGGAAAGGAACTGATATTAAATAGAAAATAACTAAAAACATAATTACATGCCAAATCAGATACCTTATACCAGATTATAGTAAAAATGAGTTATTAACACTTATCAAAGTTTTAGAATAATTTAAATAAAAACATTTAGAAAAGCATATTATCTTAATTTTCTTCCAGAAATTAAGAAAAGCTTAGTACAATTTTAGCAGTGCATCTTAGTACTGCTTGAGGCAATGGACACAAGGGTTCCATAGGAGCACAATTTGAGAAACATTAATATAGGTGTAGTTTTCTGTCCCAATCCTTTTCTCTTCTGAGTTTTCAAGAGAAAACTCTCCTCAAACTTTTTAGTTCACCCAGCAATCTTCTGGGATACTGAGTAGTCAGTCAGTAATCATGTATCCCTACAAATAATGCTATACTTTTCTCCCTTGTAGGCAGAAAGACCCTAAAAAATCCCCACACCATCCCTTTGTATACTATTATCCAATCAGAATATAATTGTAATTAGACACAGGTATTATCAAAAATAATTATGCTTAATTCTTTGTTATACTTGTTACACTCTATTGACTTTTAAAAAAATTCAAGTTCATAGGTATATAGCATCAAAGCATGTGTTGTAACTCACCTGAAGTCCATTTTTTGTTATTTGCAAAGCCAATTATATATGAAGACTTGCCATTTCACTCCCTTATTACATCAAACAACAAAGTGTAGGTGAACTACTTCCTGTCTCACTCCAATTTCTTTCCCTACATGCACACTACGCTTTTTTCTATAAACTTTCAATTTTCAGTTTTTCTCTTTCCTTAATCTGACCTGTTCTATCTGACTTCTTTTTGCCTTGTTCCTTAGAACAAACTAACCATCTTATTCTTGTCAATAGCTAGACCCACCATTAGGCTGTCTCCTAGGAAAAAAAAAAAATTCCCAATAATAAATCATTAGAGGTAATGGCTCTGGTGCTTTGTATAAATTAAGTATTTTGCATCAGAGTTAGGCAAATGTGACTGCTTTGTCATGAAATCCTATCCTACTGCAGAAAAGGTACCTTACATCTTTTCAAAGGTAAATTCAGTTTGTATCATGTCTACTCATTTAATCACTTTTTAAATTATCTTCACCTCCATTAATTCCCCACCTCTAATGGCTACTAGTCTTACAGGTAAAAAGCCTTACATTGTGCCTCTACTTTGTCTTACACTGGTGGAGACTACAGACAAAGCAATTAATGTGGTCATGTGACTATTATTACTAGCATTGATTGCAAAGTACAGATGCTACAAAGGATATAGCCTTTTCATCAGGGGACTGAAAAATTTTTTACATGAGTATTTCTAATTTTCTCTACTAACTTTTATAACTGGCTGTAATTAACATTATTTATAAGAACAATAAACACTGCCCTGGGCAGAAGCCTCAAATGACAAATACTGTCTAACTCAAAAGATCTATTTCAGTCTGAAAACAAGCTGAAGAAATATAAACATTCTATCTGTTAAGTATTCAACAAGTAGCAAAGCTATCAAAGACTGTTTTTTTTTTTTTTTTTGAGAGAAGGAGTCTCGCTCTATAGCTCAGGCTGGAGTGCAGTGGCATGATCTCAGCTCACTGCAACCTTCACCTCCCAGGTTAAAGGATTCTCCCACCTCAGCCTTCCGAGTAGCTGGGATTACAAGCATGTGCCACCATCCTGGCTAATTTTCGTATTTTTAGAAGAGACGAGATTTCACCATGTTGGCCAGGCTAGTCTCAAACTCCTGACCTCAAGTGATCCATCCGTCTTGGCCTCCCAAAGTGTTGGGATTACAGGCATGAGCCACTGCACCTGGCCAACATTTGTATTCTTCAAACTCCATTATTCTTCCAGTTCAGCCTAGGCTGATTCAAATGTAATGGAAACTGAGAAAGCCACTTACTAATATCGCTTTCTGAGTAATTATTTTATGTATCTATGTACTATCAGATGAATGCCTCAAAAATTCATCAGAAATATCTAAATCTCCTCAGTTTTATTTGCAATATCACAATACTATAAGAAACAAGTAGGATCTATTTTTTCTATGAAAACAATTTCTGCGTTTGAAAAAAAAAATCGGAAATAATTCCATGTCCTAAAAATGAATATGGTGATCTAACACTTATCTAAGACCAGATTACTCCCAATCTTAACCATCCAGGATATACTTATAAAACAAAGTTCAAAAAAAATTGAGTTTCAGAAATGCACAAAGCCTAATGTACTTTACTCTCAAGCATATTAAAAAGAGTAAGATGCTTTCAGCTGAAATCAAAAGGACAAAATCAACGTCAGCTGAGCACACTAGTCATTTAAAAGGGATGTAGATGTGATCTAGTCCAACCCTCAGAGTCCAGTGATTCATGTTCATAGAAAGGACCTTGCACCATGAAAACAGGCTTATCTTATGTTAAGCATTTTTAAAAGCTTTCTTTCTAAAACTTTAAACACAGAAAGGTGATTGCTTCAATAATCTGGAAAATTCAGTAATACAGAATACATCCTATCTAAGTATTCAATACATGTGAGATGTTTTCAAATAAAACATTACTATGCCTCAGAGGGTTCACTTTCTCACTCTTCTATATTGGACTACTCTTTAACCCACATATCCCATGCAGAAGGCAGTCCCATTTCTCTTGACAGTCACTGGACACTGAGGATAAAAGACTAGTACTTGACTCTTTCCTCACTGCTTCAACTCCAATGAATTACTGCCATGTAGAACTACTGTACCCAGTGGTGCCAGACCATGGGAACCCTAAATCCAGATTTCATATATAAAATATTCTTAAAGATCACTACAGTGGCCAAACAAAAATTTGTGGCACAGATCTGATTCAAAGATCACAGGTTTGCAATCTCTAAGTTAGGAAAAAATGAATATGTACTGTATTTGAGAAAGAATACAAAAATCCTAGATGTGTGCTCAGAACCTAAAACTTGATCCTATTCAAATCTAAGAATGATTTCCTTATTTAGAATATTCCTTATTTACATTAAATATTCACTTGTTGAATCGTTTGCTTACTTTATTTTTCCCCTCCCTCTGTAATGCACTAACAATTTTTTCTCAAATAAAAATACTTTGAAATCCCTACACAAGCAAATATTTCTAAGCTAATGATTCCTTTTTAAAAAGCACAATTTATATATATACTACAAGTCAAACAATAATACAAAACTGTGAGAAATACATATGGCAACTCACCAAAAAAAAAAAAAAAAAAAAAGAAAACCCAAAAATAGTCATTTTTAGGATGAAATCACAGTAGCCTCACCTGTACTTTCATGGGCAGTCAAACCTTTCATCCATTTCTTTTTCCCCAGAGAAAAGAAGCATTCAGAAGAAAAGCAAGTCAGATAATAGTCTAACTCCTCTAGTCTTTATGCAACTAGTAGGACAAATGTTACTCAAATCGAGATTATAAAAAATATGGAAAATACTTACCTGGACTTGAAGATTCAACAGATGGCTGAGAAGGGGAGAAAAGAGGAAAAATTAGTATTTCTGTATAATGTATCTTCACAAACATTACCGAAATTATTCAATGACTACTATGATGCCAAAAACTACAGTAAGTTTTAATGTCTGCATTTTAGTTTTAATGTCTGCATTTTCCAAGACAAACTAAAACTTCCCATATAATCCCTTCCCTTTCATTATATTTAAGCATAAAGAAAAATTCCAAACACTCCTGAATCCAGAAATAAAGACAATAGTATAGAATTCAGATTTTAAAGGTACATGTGGGCTTCATAACATATGTGGTTTAAGTAGTATGATTTTAGATCTTGGAATTTTCTGAAATAGATTTTCTCCTATCAACACAGAACTATGAACAAAGTTTGCTATCAAGCTGGTCTCCGACTTAAAAAAAGTGAGTGTAAGATGGGAGACAGAAACAATTTAGGACACTATCTCAAATAAAAATTAAGTTGTAACAAAGCAAAAGGAAAAATTAAAATTCTGTTTAAGCACCAAATACTATATTAGGTTAACTTTACAGATAAACAATATATTTTTAAGTTATAACAGAATTAGCAAGCATTCAAGCTAATGCCTAGAAAGTTTAGGTTATCTGATGCAAGACTGCACAGATTTCCAATTATAATGCTCCTTCCACTCCACCATTCTACCTGTCATAAATTTAACCACAAACAACTTGAAAATTTAAAGATAAAATTGGTAGCAATTTATTTTAGTAATGTTACTGCTTGACAATGCGCAGTTGTGTTTTATCTTAGTTCAGTTAATTCACAATTATAAACAAATAATCTACAAACATAAGACTCCCACAAAACAAATATTAAAAACTCAAAAGATGCTTCAAATAACATGAACTAAAACTTCACCAATTCATTCAGAAGTATCTATTTCATGCCCATTAGAAAATACAGATGGTGGGAGGCCAAAAGCACTAGCAAAGGAAAGATAGGGATCTTGCAGTATTTTCTTTCTGCTAAGTAATGGGGAAGAGAGGCAAGAAGAAAACAGAAAAGAGGGAAATTCTCTATTTTTCAAAAACAATGTGTCTAAGACAAATTCCTATAAAGTATTAAAATTTGTTTTTAAAACTGTACATATTATGTAATTGTAGTAAGTATGGGATTCTAGATTCCATATGGTGACTCATTCTTTTGTGGCACACTTTTTCAAAGGTCCTACTTTTTCTGTTAAATTCTTAGAATAATTCCTTCCTATAGCATTGTCTAGCAAAAATCTGACAATAACCAGTATTGCATATTTCCAATGGTACACCACTACCATTATTTTAAAGTTACTCTGCCAGAACACAGTCAATACAGTGCTACTTTTAAATCTCATTCCTCTAATGGGAAGCTTGGAGAGTAGGGTGACATGACAAGAGTAATGCAACCACAAAAAGGGTTTCTAGCTTGCTTAACATCTTTTGGGCAGAGCTACACATTTCTGGTTCAAAATGGAGTTAACCACCACACAAATTATTACATAGTAAATCAATATTTTAAAATATTAATCCACTTGTGTTTCACGCAGTTATACTTCCCAACTGTAGGCACAATCTTCTCTGTAAGGCTACAAGCAATGTTAATGATCATCTTCATCTAATCCTAGCTCACTATCCACACAAAATAAGACTTATGAACACTGGAATAATTATTCCATTTAACAGTTCTCTGATTTAAAAAAAGGCTTTCTAATTACAAGTTACTGAAGAATAAAAGTTACATTTTTATTGATGTTAGATATTAACAATAGAGATTTTGAATTGTAAATGGTGTCCATATATTTCAGTTTGTAAAAGGCCTCAGGAGCACTGAATGCCAATAAATATCTTACTGATTGTTGCTTCATTGGTAAATAGTTAAAGTTCTGAAAAAGGCTGCAAACACTTCCCAATGATTAAGATACCAAACGCTTGAGGACTAGTAGCATTTGTAAGCATAGCTGATACAGAGTAGAACACCCAGTGTTCAAAGGTAACATTAGTGATTATGTCAGACATACTAGAATGTTTCAATGACTGATTTAAAGGCATATCTAGATTAGCACAAGTGGAGAACTAGGAGTGGTCTGCCTACAGATACATTTAGTATCCATACATATTTTAGTATTTTACTTCCAAAATAAAATTCTGTTCTATATGTTTGGGGGTAGGATTGAGATTAGATTCTTTAAAGTTAAATACATCCCATTAAATCAAAGATGAGTTTCTAAAAAATTGGTATTTGAAAACATTTCATACTGTAAAACATTACTTTGTATAGCTAATTATCAAAAATGATGATCTTTCAAAATAACAAGTGAGTTTAGCATCTTAATATAGGAAGTTTGGGTGTGGAATAAGGGTAATTTTTATTTAGATATGAAATAAAATAGTACATCCAGCTTACATTCATATAGTGCTACACATTTTCTTTTCTTTTCTTTTTTTTGAGATGGAGTCTTGCTGTGTCACCCAGGCAGAAGTGCAGTGGCATGATCTTGGCTCACTGCAGCCTCCATCTCTCAGATTCAATCGATTCTCCTGCCTCAGCCTACCAAGTAGCTGGGATTACAAGCGTGCGCCACCATGGCTCGCTAACTTTTGTGTTTTTAATAGAGACGGTTTCACCATGCTGGCCAGGCTGGTCTCGAACTCCTGACCTCAAGTGATCTCCCTGCTTTGGCCTCCCAAAAGTGCCGGGATTACAGGCATGAGCCACCATGCCCAACCCAGTGCTACACATTTTCAAAAGCATCTAGTTAGCTGATCATAATCATAAATATAGGAATAATACCTGCCCTGCCCACCTCTTTTATAAATTAGTAAACCCAAGGAGACACACTGACTAGATCAAGGTTCCATGGTAGGTGGTGAAGGCAGGCCTGAAGTCTAGACCCTGACTCTTCCTTCTATACCTTTTATAGTGTCCTTTTGTACCTTCTAGAGAAATAACTGCTAAAATTTTCCACTCTTCACTTCTCTCCTCCTTCACCCTCACTTTTTTCTTTTTCTCTTTTTTTTTTTTTTTTTTTTTTGAGATGGAGTCTCGCTCTGTCACCCAGGCTGGAGTGTAGTGGCACAATCTCAGCTCACTGCAATCTCGGCCTTCTGGGTTCAAGCAATTCCCCTGCCTCAGCCTCCCGAGTAGCTGGGACTACAGGTGCACACCACCACGTCTGGCTAATTTTTTGTATTTTAGTAGAGATGGGTTTCACACATGTTGGCCAGGATGGTCTCGATCTCCTGACCTCGTGATCCGTCCGCCTCAGCCTCCCAAAGTGCTGGGATTACAGATGTGAGCCACCGCACCCGGCCTCTCTTTTTTGAAATGATTTTCATCAGTTCAAAGTATGTTTAAAATGTGACTGCAAGTAGTCATCTGTCATGTCAGACTTATCAGTCTTCAGAAACTGTTATCTTAACAATACCTTCCTGGAGAACCCACAACATCTACCATTAATTACTACCATAAACTAGAAAGGAGAGAGAAAAACAAAACTAAGGTGGGCACGGTGGCTCACGCCTGTAATCCTAGCACTTTGGGAGGCCGAGGCAGGCAGATCACCCTAGGTCAGGGGTTCGAGACCAGCCTGGCCAACATGGCAAAACGCTGTCTCTACTAAAATACAAAAACTTTTTTTTTTTTTAATAAAAAATTTGGTGGCGGGCGCCTGTAATCCCAGCTACTTGGGAGGCTGAAGCAGAAATGCTTGAACCCAGGAGGCGGAGGTTGCAGTGAGCCCAGAAAGCGCCACCGCACTCCAGCCTGGGCAACAGAGACTCCGTCTCAAAAAAAACAAAAACAAAACAAAACTAAACTAAAGCTAAGTAAGTGCTTATTTATAACAATACCTATTTTTAGAAAAAATACCTTTTTTAGGAAAGATGATTTAAAATTGGGCATTAAAATATATTTAACATGTACTCATAACCTTATCAGTAGAAAAAAGTTATGTCAACCACACTGGAGATCATTTTGCTAACCTGAACTTATCCTACTGATATATTTTAAAAAAGACACCAAGACATATATATATAAAACATTCACTACCACAAAGTTGTTCATAACAAAAAGGTAGAAAAACATTTAAAGTCCATGCATTAGCTGATTAGAAATGATACATAGTTCTTCCATACATAGTTCTTCCAAACAATAGAACACTATGACTCCATTAAAAATAGAGATATCTGTTTGTGTTGATAGAGAAATAAATGCCAAAAAAAATTAGGAGTATAAAGAAAACTGTAGAACAGGGCGTAAACTGGGCTGGAATATGAAATAATATGGAATAAATTTTTTTTCCTCAAAAGGACATACAAGAACCTGTTAACAATAGTTACCTCTAGGGAATGGGGTCAGGGAGAAGAGGCTTTTTTCATTTAATACCTTTCTGTACTGTTGAAATTTTCTAACCACTTTCATGTACTATGCATTCTTTCTTAAAATGAAAGTCACTGGGAACTGATTATCTTGTGGAATTATGAGACATTTTCATTTTCTTCCTCTAAATTTTGATTTTTAAGAAAACCTAGTACTTGTTACTATTTTTTAAGCTGTAATTTTGAAAAATTCAGTGTTTTAGGGGGTACATATTTATCTTATCTGAGATGGAAAACAACACTAGAGAGACAGAAAGACTGTACACAGAGTATGAATGGGCTAAAACAAATTAAAAACAAACTCTAGCAACTTTTATAGCAAGTTGACCCTCACCCACATATTTGTATGATTTAGTTGATAAAATTGCTAATAGTTGTAACGAATATTCAATGCCTCAGATTTGCTGAAATAATTCTCTTTTATATTTTTCTAGAACATGGTGGGAAATGTCCCATACAACAGAAGACTATAATTTGAGAGAGAGTAAAGAAATAACTAACTACAACATTACCATTATTTTCACCAAAAAAACCCTAACAACAACATAGTAAAAACATGAAGTAATTACTAGATTTTTTTATTCCAGGCAATCAAAAGCTTATTTGCAATGAGTATTACCGTCTGAACAAATTTTTCCCCTCAAAACAATTCTACCACCATTTCTTTTAAGTATTGCCGTCATCTACTTAGTTATGTAGACTCTAAGTCAGAGATTCTCACAGCAATGGAGATGGGGATAGAAGCCTGGAAAGAGGGGTCCTACTTTAGGGTGAAAGATGGTTACCGTGCCAAGGGCTGGCTCACCATCCCTCTCCTCCAATAAAATTAAGTTACTTAACTTTGTTATTACTCTCAGGAATTCTGGGGTATAAAAAGGTTAAGAATGTACTGAAATTAAAATTAGCAATTTACTACAGTATTAATAATTCAGAAGTAAAATGATATCATAGAAAATAAGGACTGGGAACAGTGGCACACGCCTATAATCCCAGCACAAGACAGGAGGATCACTTAAGGCCAGAAGCTCGAGACCAGTCTGATCAACATATCGAGACCCTGTCTCCACAAAAAAAAAAAAAAGCCGGGCATGATGGCACATGCCTATAGTCCCAGCTACTTGAGAGGCTCTGAGGGAAGGATTGATCACCTGAGCCCAGGAGTTTGAGGTTGTAGTGAGCTATGATTTGCGCCACTGCACTCCAGCCTGGGCAACAGAGAGAGACCCTGTCTCAAAAAAAAAAAAAAAAGAAAGAAAGAAAAAGAAAATAAGCACTAGGAATCTAGGAATACAGAAGGCTGGGTTCCAGTCTAAACTGTGCCATAGATGAATTGCACGACCTAGGACAAACTACGTAAACTCTCTGCTCACTTTCATTTTCTCTATGATCAAAAGATTTAGATTTCTTCAAGACCTAACTTTACTTTTATTATAAATTGCTCTAGAAACCTAACACTACTAAGGAGTATGCAGCTAAATGCATGGGATATGTTTAAATTTATTTTTTTAAATCTAGGACTGTTAAAAAAATCTCAATTTGCAAAAACAATTTTTTGGGGTGCTACTTCATGAATTTCATACCTACATAATAAGTTATTGTTCTAAGCCACAGAATAAGACAAACAGAACAAGCCCCAAGCAATGACTGGTACTTGAACAATTTAATCACTGCAATGAATTTTGAATGAACATCAAGCCAGGCAGGCATTTCTAGATAGCTGATTACTTTTCATAAAGACATGCTTAAGCTTCAATGGCAGTGTTTTATTTCTGAATTATTTAGAAAACTGGTTAGTCTCACTTACCAGAATTATCTTAAAGTAATTCACTTGTTTCTCCCACCAAACCTTTCCCACCTATTAAAGTACCCTAACTCTTAACTGCCAATGAATTAAGATTTTTAGGACTCTCACGCACTGGTGATCTTGACTACTTTTAAAATCTTAATAGCTCTGAAGTATAAACATGAAAAAAAATTCATTATTAGTGTCGAGAATTATTTGAAGCTTAAATTCACTGCAGTGAAACACATTTTGCTTAGAGTAGAAATTAATGTTTTCATAAGTAACATTTAACATAATCCTTCGTTAAAAAAATCCAAATACACTCAAAAAATACTAAGCAAGGAGTCCATTTTAAAGAGAAATGGATAGGTGTGAAAGTGAATAAACAGATTATATACCCTCTTTGAAAGTACTAAAATACTTAAATAGAAAGAAGCAAATCCATTAATTTTCTCTTTATATCACAGAAATGTGGCCTAGGTGAAAAGACAGGTCTTGAATTGTCCATGGATTTTTTTCCTTGAGAAGAAAGTCCCTTACGTGTTTACAAACGCTAAAATACAAGACAAATTGTTCGTTCCCAAAGGTCCCTAGTACATTCCTTATAAAACCCAAAGGATTAACTATTTCTTCCTCTCATTTTTTCTCTCATTTTCCTCTTATTTTTGCAGTTAGTAAAACTGCAACTATCCTGTAATTTCCTTCAAGTGTGACTAGGAGAGCGTCCTTTTAGAAGGTTGGTAAATAATTTTAAGGGATAATAAGCAATGAGAAATATTGCCAAAAAGTATTAAGCAAGGGAGCATATGCTATTTATTCTAAGTACATTAAATACGGCTTTAATGTTATCACAACTGAAGAACCAATATATACTTCCTATTATGGACTAAGATAATCAGATCAAATATAAAAAATTAGTATATCCTATTCTCATCTAAAGCACTTTCTATTCAAGAATTAAATATTTTTCTGGAAAAACATGGTCAGGGTCATGCTCTTGTAGGAAGCATCAATTTTTTTTTTTAAAAGCCCAGAAGCATAATACCTACATTTTTCTCTGGAGACATACTTCTTCAATAACCTGTTTTCCCCCTCAGATTTAACAAATAGATATATACTGTTGCTTTGCACTTACTGTTACTTCACAAGCTATCCTTAAATCCTCAGATTTATTTGATCAAAAGCACAATAATTCAGCATCTGGATTATTTAATCACATGCTTTTATATTGGCTTCATAAAGAATGAATCTACTGAGAGCTCAAAGTAAAAGCCAACCAAGCATTTCTCCTTTGTCTAATTGTTTAAAACCACTGGTCTCAAAAATCGTCATAATTATTCAAGTATTGAGGCCAGGAAAACTATAAATCAATTGTACTTTTCACTTCTTCACCTGTCTTAGATTTTTTTGTAGGACACAGATCACGAAAGTTCCTCTAACTCTTCCCCAATTCACTATACATGAAACTATCTACAAGTAACTGAAGAATATAGAAGATAAATTGTTTAAAGATACCAGGTCATTAAATAAACACTAAAAACCAAATAAAAACAAAATTCCAGTTCTTTCCTTCTTGCAGTTGAACAATCCATGCGTTCCCACAAAACATTCCATTCTCCAACTGATAAAATATTTAAGAAAACTAAAACATACATTAGAAAATATTAGGAAATGATTAGTGAATCAAAATATTTTTTTCCTTTATCTTACAATAACGCAACCATCTTTAATTTTTAAAACAAAAAAGTTAACATAATTTCTTTTACATATTAGATTTTTTAGTTCCCTCGGCAATAAAATTTATTTTTTAAAAACACAGAAATTTTAAATTTAAGTTTTTTAACTTAAATTTCTCTGTATAAGCTATTTTCCTTCAGTAATATCTTGCCTTAGTATATGACTACACACCTCAAAGCTCAAACCATCCTGAGCAACACCATGAAAGAAGAAACCACATTACCTATGTAGCACATTGCTGCTTACCCGATATTCACTGAAAGGGGTCCACTGAAGACACTAACTGACAAAATGTATAAATCCAGCTACACACAACTCCTTAAACATGAAGGAAACAAACACTTAAGAATAAGAACCTCACCAGGACTAAAATCCAGGTACCGATTCTCAGTCTACTGGAACAAACGCAGTCACATTTTGGGGAAACAGAAAGTACTACGTTCTCCAATTCATGTGCCTGGAAATACAATTCTTTAACCACCAAGAGCAAAAGAAATGAAAATAAATCTAAGATCTAAATTTAGTTGTAAATTAGAGATATTGAATGTTTTAAAAAGAATACTCGCAGCAAACAGTCCTGTCTGCTACAGCAAAATCTCACCCTCCTTCCTAAATCTGTTTTGGGGTGCCTGTGAAACCATGAAAATGGCAATTCAAACAAGAGAAATGCCTTATCAATCAAAATTTACAGTGGCTTATTTCAAAGGAGTCATAAAAAAAATCCAAATACATCATCTCGAACTCTCAGGAATAAAGAATACTGAAATTCTTCCACGGGTAAGGAAAAACGGAAACAAAACAAATCCCACAAAACTTCAGATATTTTAAACATTTTTTAAACTTCCAGTTATTTAAAGTTCCAGTAGCGTATACTTAGTTCCGATTAATAAATCAACAGCAGTTGTATGCCCGCCAACTGCGGCCCAAATATGTAAAATCAAAAAAAGGGGCTTTAGGAACTTGTTTACTATAAAACGAGCAAAAAGAAACAAGAAAAAGCTTCTCCAATGAAAGAAAAATTAGAAGAGAAAGAAGACAAGAATAGGTAGCCTTGATTTGGAAAGGGGGTGGGGGGAAGCCTGGAAAGTGAAGGTGGTGGGGGGAGGTGGAAAAGCAGCTCAGAGGTTGTACCTTGGGGAGCGGGAGATGGAACTGTCTGGATAAATGGGCAGACTCCCCCCAACCTGGAGGGCTGGATTGCGGCTGGCCAGATTAATTTATCCACTCTCATTTTACCACGATCATGAAAATTACAGAGTTAATCAAAGGCCGTCAGCCTTACGTTTTCCCCACTAACACAGACTGGATGTCAGTCGCAAATGGATGGGGGTGACGCGGAAGGGCGCAACAGCATCTCGGTTAGGAAGGGAAAAAACTTCGCAAGAGGAAGCAGCAGCTTCTCTCCTGGCCCCTAGCACCGGCCGGCGAAGTTGCGCCACAGGCACCCCTTCCCCGGCGGGCGCCCCCTCCCCCTCGCACCGCACTACTACGCTGCACTACCCTTCAAACTGCCCCCGAAGTCCAAGTACGCCTCCGCTTCCTCCTACCCCCGGACCCATCCCAACTAAGTTCCAGGCGAAGCTCCCGCCCAGAGAATGGCCTGTTCCGGACAACAGGTGGGCAGCGGCGCCAGCAGGGCCGGGCCTCTCCTGGCCAGGCCCACTCCACTCCTCCCCGGCCCAGGGCCGGGGGCGCCCGGCTCCGGGACAGGGAGGGGGAGCTCGCTCCCTTACCTCCGCCATATTTGCCGTACTGCCGGGTCACATCTCCGCGGCGGCCGCAGCTGGGTCACGGCCAGAACCCGGATGTGAGACTCAGCAACGGGACTCCGGCCGCTGCCGTCTCTGCCGCTCCCGCCGCCACTGCCTCGGCGGGAACGCGCAGGAGCCGCCCGAGCGCGCCCACCACACCCCACTCCGCCCCCTCGCGGCGCCCCGGCTGGGCTGGACTGGAGGGAAAAGACCAGCGAGCACGCGCCGGAGCAGGGGCGCGCGCGCGGCCCCGCGGCCAGCCCTCCCCGGGAAGAGCGGAGGGGGCGGAGTCAAGGTGGGTGTGGGAGGAGGTGGGCAACCGCGCGGGGCGCTTCGCTGGCTCCAGCTGATCCGCCACTCCAGGCGGAGGGGGTTGTCTACGGATCAGAGAGGTCAAGGAACAGTGCCAAAGGAGTCACATCCAGCATTGACACAGCAGAGGAAAAATACGTAATATTTTACATGTAGGTCGTTTTTGAAATGCATTTGCTGAAAAACGGATGTTGCTGTGATGCAACGGCGGCAAGAACTGTGCTTTGAAAGCGGTTATGCCTTGACAAATATTTCTCCATCAGTAGATTCCCGACAGGAAATGTAAAATTCTATATCCCCAAATCTCTAGAGAGGTCAGAGCAAAAATTAATGGAAGGGGTTATGATAGGCAGTCCGCCATCCTCATGTCATTTGCGTTTTCTCACACACTTCTGTCATGCCGGTAGCAACACAGTTATGTACTGAATTTTGCACAACTAGACAAAATTTAAAATACTGAAAATTGACTGTTTTATGGATATCATCTATTTAGTAGCATGGAGGGAGAACCTACTTATTTGCAATGCCTGAAATGCCTGTAACTTGAAAGTTTATTTTAATGTATTGGCCTACAGCTGCCAATTGGCCGTGATGCCAATGCTGATGATGGCCAGAACCAATGATTTCAAAGTAACTAACATGTTTCACTTCCATTATACTAAGGCACATACTGAATAACACAAAGGTGACATTAAAACAGTCACTAACATATTTTACTAAACCAGTTTGAAAGTCTTTATTTCAAAAGACTGGGATTTTTTTCCTAATCTTCAAGGGTTCCTCTTAATGCAGTTTCAAAAGTGGCTACCAAAATCAACCATTTAAATACGAGAATTATTCATTCCTTCCAAATAATGTGAACCAATACTACATTGCATAAATGTGTACATATACAATTTTTCTTAAAGTTAATACTTAACTTATAATGCAATATAGGGGAGGCTATTAAATTATTTATATTCCCTTAAAATTCTAGACTCTATCAAGCATTTTCCTATTTCCAAAGATTCAATGTTAATTTGAAACTGTTATGTCCAATAATAATCTGTGCATGAATAAACTGCATTTACAGATATATGAAGTAGCTGCTAAGTGAAAGGACATTACCTGGTAATTTGACAGGAAAAGAGTCCACAGACAGTCTGTAAACCAATTAAACATAAACATCTGATGCACATTTTCTACTGAAAGAAAAGCAAGGGAAAGAAGAGAAAGGAAAACTTTAAGGTTCCCAAATCTACAAACAATTTTTACCATTAACTGTACTGTACAGTATTTTCATTTTATTTTTTAGAAAACTTATATAAAAGTGTTTTTCAGGATTCCTTGGGGGAATAAATATTTTAGCAGAGGTATATAGTTTCTAATAGTTACCCTGTTGAATTATGTCAATCCTCTGGACTTGAAATAAAAATGACTTTTTAAAAGTGTCAGTTCATATCCAAATAGTTTTCAATCAATACACTTAATGAAAAGAGCTGAAGGCAAAGAACAATGGATATACATGGACCTGAGGTGGGTACAGACACAATTAGGGGCCTAGAGGTACAAACTCAGGCTTTATACCATGGAGATGAAGGAGGGTTTTCCATTAACATATGAAAGCTAATTTATGAAATTTGGCTACCAAAGGAAAATTAAAAGTGTTACAATACAAGGTACAGAAATAACTTGCTTAAGTACACTGAATCTTTGATTCTTCAGTTAAACTACCAACAGAAATCCCAACTATGATAAAGAGCAGGGGATCATAGTCTATTAACCTACTGAATGAATCCTAAACTTGTCAGGAAAATGGAAGTCTGAAACATTTCTGAATGGGTATCTATCTTACTGTTAAATAACTCTTTAAGTTTATTAATATTGTGTATCAATATTACTAGTTTTAAATGGTATTATTATTATTGAGGGAAAAAAACTCTCTACATTTTTCCCCTTCCCCTTTTTATAAATGTGGATTCAGTGGGTTTTTTAGGTTCAGATATTATAAAAAAGAAACAGCTCTAATACTGCAATTCATAGGTAACACATTACCACTGAATTCAGTATCCTTCCACTATTATTTTATTTTAGTGATACACCTAACTGTAAAATTTTCAGGAGCCACCTTACGGAATGAAAAGTCTTTCTCAAAACGCTTACTTACCCTCTTCAGTATTAAATATATAAAAATTAACTATTCACTAGTTATAGAATTTTAGTGTTGGATGGGACCTTAGAGATCTTTTAGTCAATTCTCTACCCTGTCAAGATAGTAATCTCTCATCATGCTTCTACTACCAGGCTTTCTGCCTATGTTTAAACCCCTCCAGTGACTCACTATATCTCATAAAAAGGCTGCTCTTTTCAAAAAAAGTTCAAATGTTTAAAACATTCTTTCTTTTATTATGCCAGAATCTACCTCCTTGTTGTTTCCATCCATTACCCTTAGTTCTTCAGCACTTTGGATTAATTCAACAGATATCTTCTTTGTATCCAAATGCAAACAGTTAATATTTATACTTGGGTTAACAAAAAAAAATTTATTTTTAAAGCCTATTCATACTAGAAGAGTTGAAAATAGGACATGAGAGAGCTAAAGGCATAAGAAAATGCACCATTAATTGTGTCTGCTTAAAATTATTACACTTTGTTATTTATTAATGTGATATCCAAAACAGTAGTTCTGTTGGAATTGTGTATAAAATTTTTAAACTAAAAAAGTGTGCTGAATTCCAATTTTATGTGAGGTTTGTGATTAATGTCCCAAAACAAAAAACCACTATACAAAGCCTGAATAAATGCCTCTTCAGCTCCTATTCCCCACCTAAAAGCCTCCTTATTTTCAGGCAAAGTAACATTAATTTTTATGACATTAAGCTACTCAAAACTGCTATTATATTGATAAATCATTTGTAAGCAATTTACTGAATCTTCCATTCAAAAGTTATTGAACAATTCTATAGAGGCTATAAGGCGCACGCACACACAAACCCCTCAGTTATTATTATGCTTTTAACAAAAGCATTTAGGAGCACAATCTTACTTCAACCAGTACCTTAAACGAACCAATGAACAAACTTCTTTGGCAATTTACATATACCTAAGAAATATAACCTTTTATTCAGTACCAACACCTGATTCAAATACAAGTAACATATATATATATACTATATAAACCTATCTGTTATGCAATCCAAAAAGGTACCTCTCAAAATGCACCAAGAAAATACTGTACTTATAACAATTTAGACTCTGGGGTTAGCTGACTGAAATAGATTAATACAACACATCCAAAACTAAAAAATTCTATATCTAACAATTTTCAGCGTCCATGAGTCTCTTTTGAGATTAGTTTATAAACTATTTCCTGAAATTTTTATTTAAAAGCAACAGCCTACACCATGTCTTTATGATGTGGTGGTAAAATTTTATGGATAATTACTAATTTGGTTGAAAATACCTACATCTAAAAAACTTAGCCTATTACATTTGGAAGCCCCACATCTATAGTGACAATCAGCATCATCTTTCGTTAGTTTCATTTTTTGTTATTAATGCCACTCTAAAACACTTATATAGGCTTTTGGTTCTTCAAATAACAGTTTTGGATTTTCTTTTCATAATTTTTACAGTTTTATCCAGTGGCCCCATTTTATCAGAATATTACAAACTATGATTATGGTTTTTACATTGATGACATGTTATTTTTATCTCACCCAAATTCTGGAAATTTTTGGCCCATCAGTTCTCAAACACTGGAACATATAAGAAGAGTAATATAATCTTATATTACTTGAGGGAGTTTGGATTTTCCCTCCCTTAATCTCCAAGTGTACCCCTGCCTACCAGCATCACATCCGTCTTGTCTGCATTGAACCTCAACCAGTTGGTTCTTAACCACGTCCGAAACTCAGCCAGGCACTGGGAGAATCGAGCGACCACACCATCTGGATCAAAGGAAAGAGAGCCTCAGTAGCAAGGAGACAGAAACGATGATACAAGCTCACCATCCACCCTGTTTCGCATTTTTAAAAAGATGGTCGGGAATCAGGACAAGGATCCCATGACAATTTTAGAAAAACATTTAATGAGCCTTAAGTCATGCAATTTGTAACTAATGATAAAGGAATAAAAGCGACCCAATAAATAGGTCGCCTCATTCCACCCATAAGTGAAGAAGGTTCAGTCAACTCCGGGTCATCTTGGTGAAGCGGCCTCAATAGCCAAGTCAATCTTGTAATTACATAAGTTCTTCTGCAGAAATGCAGAATTCTAGCGTTGGAGGAAGCTTTAAATAGGGAAAACTGAAGCCCAGAGAGGGATAGTGACTCGCTCAAGGTTACACAGCATGCAGGGACCACAGATAGGCTCCAGGCCAGGGACCTAGCCACTACAAGCTGAAAGAACAAGAGTAAAGAGCGGCGGGCATCTGTCCCAAGGGATCCTCCCACGCGCTAGGAGGACCTCGTTTCCTTACAGTAATACCCTATTCGAGTCTCTCCTCCCTCCCTGACTCCATCCGAAAAGGGCAAGTTGGCCCAGGGCGCTGCTCACCATAAAGGCTGCAGTGCAAGCGAGAGCCTCCCGGGGATGGGACACAAGTGAGGGAAATACAGGAGAAAGAGGCGGAGCCACAGCAGGGTGGTCAGCTTAGCCCCACCCCGACTGGGATCAGGGACCGAAGCGAACGGGGCGAGGCGAACTCACTCCGCAGCGGATTCCCAGCGCGGCGCCACCACCGCGAAGGCAAAAAGGCGGCGCTGGGAGGCAGTCGATGGCCAGAGGGAGGAAGCTGCGCATGCGCCTTTGGCAGCCGGCGGAGAGCAAGCCAGGCGCGTTCTGCGGCAGCCCCTCCCCGGAAGTTAAGGGTCTTCCGGGCGGTACACTGCCGTGGGGGAGGGGAAGGAGAGAAAGGGGACTGAGGACACCTCAGGAGCCCCTCATCCCAAACTGGAATAGAAGGGGAGAGATGGCTTGTGGAGGCTGCACTTACAGCCGCTGCCGCTGCTGCCGCCGCCACCTTCGCTGCTGCCGCCACCGCCTGAAGAAGCCCCATCCATCCGCCTGCAGCCGGGAGACTCAGAGCCTGGGAGGGGCCTGAGGCCCGGGCCGCCCGCCTCCTTCTTCCAGTCGTCGTCCGGAGCTTCCTCCAGCTCCACCAACCCTCTGCCCTCCCCTCCGCCTCCGCCCTCCTCCTCGGCCTCGTGCCGCCAGCCAACCGCGCGGCCGCTTGTTGAGCCAGGGCTCCACCGTCGCCATGACGCCCGGCAAACATTCCGGAGCCTCGGCCCGAGCCGCTAACGGAGGAGCTTGGGGGTACAGGGACTTCAGAGGCGGCCAAAAAAAGGGGTGGTGCACCACTCCCCAGCTGGTCGCCACCATGCCAGTCTCTCCGGCAGGCAGTCACAAGCAGCAGAACTTCGGGTTGTAAGTTCCGGCGCTAAAAACCGTAGTCCATCCCCCTGGGACCCGGAGGGAGCCCTTCTATTAATAGATACCATTTCTGGATTTGGAAAGGGGCCCTACCCTAACTGGGTTCAGTCTGTAGACCTTGAAGCTCCTAGGCCACAATGTCTCCTTTATCGACCTACCGCAGTCTTTAAAAGAATCTCTACTGGGCTGGGCGCGGTGGCTCACACCTGTAATCCCGGCACTTTGGGAGGCCGAGTGGGGTGGATCACCTGAGGTCAGAAGTTAGCGTCCAGGCTGGCCAACATGGTGAAACCCCGTCTGTACTAAAAATACAAAAAGTTAGCCGGACGTGGTGGCACATGCCTGTAATCCCAGCTACTTGGGAGGCTGAGGCAGGAGAATCCCTTGAACCCGGAAGGCGGAGGTTGCAGTAAGCCGAGATCGTGCCGTTGCACTCGAGCCTGAGCAACAGAGCGAGACTCTGTCTAAAAAATAAGATAAAATAAATCTCTATTGCTGTGCTTGCTGTGTGAGAAAAGACCTGGTTTAGAACCATCGTTCTAGCACTTCTAGTTTGTTAAGGCCTGCAGTCTCTCAAGCTTGATGCTTTCATGCTGTGCCCAGACGTTCAAGAGCCTCAGCTTCTGTGAGCCACCAGGCCGAACATTGCTGTGCTCTGTAGTAGAGGTATTTTATTGTCGTCTCGTCAATACCATCTTACTTTAAAACTAATTCCTGCTTCCAACATTCTGTTGTTATGCAGCAGTTGAACAAGACTGTAGAAAAGCACACAGCTGTGTGGACTTGTCTTACTTTAAATGGTTCCTTAGCGCTGCCCGTAATGCTGCCCACTAAGTTCCCCCAAAATTCCCTAAGTAATTTGTTTTCTCTTCCCCTCTCCAATCTCCTCCACCTCAGCTAATCTTTCTTCAGCGGAACTTGTTGAGAGTTCTTGGGAGAGAACCTTGCATTCTCTCTTGAATATGGTACTCACGCTTTTGTCCATCCTACCACTCCATCAAAACAGCTTCTATGAAAGCCAGCAATAGCCATGCAACCAAATACAATGGCTGATCCACAGTTTCATTCTTTTTGAATGAAGCAGTGTCGGTCGGGTTTATCGCTTCTCGATCTTTGAAAAGCTTTATTTGGGTTCTGAGAAACCACTCTTCCTAGTTCTTGTCTTGGTTCATGGTTTCACCTTTCCCAGATCCTTTGCTGGTATCTGTTCCTCACTACCATAACTAAATACAGTCATGCATCGATGGTGATACCTTCTGAGAAATACCTTGTTAGCCAATTTCAGCATTTTGCAAATATCTTCTAGTGTACTTACACAAACGTAGATGTATGGGCTACTATACACCTAGGCTACAATTGTATAGTAGACTGTACACCTAAGCTATAGTAGGCTATACATCTAGGTTTGTGTAAGTACACTAAATGGTGTTTGCATAATGATGAAAATGCATTTGTTGCTTCTAGGCTACCAACCTGCATAGCATGTTACTGTACTGAATACTGTAGGCAATTGTAACACAATGCTAAGTATTTGTGTATGTAAACATAGAAAAGGTAATGTCTTGTGCTTGAATGTTGTGACAACTACAACGTTGTTAGACAATAGGAATTTTTCAGCTCTGCTACCAGATCACCATTGTATATGTGATTCATTGTTGATGATCCAGGACTGTATTGGTATTGCTGGGTTAGTCCATAAACCTCTTCACTCTGATGTCTTTAATATCACCTATAATGATGATTCACAAATGTTAATCTCTGGCTAAGACCTCTCCCAAGAAAACAGATTTTAAGAAAAAACACCTGCACTTATAAGTTAATAAACATCTCAAACCAAATATATAATATTTTCTGTCTTTTCTAATTAACTGCAATCTTTCTCATTTTAGTAAATGGCAAATTCCACTCTTTCACTTACTCAGGGGAAAAACCTTGGGATTACCCTTGACTTCTATCTTATACCTCACTCTATAAGCAAATTTTACCATTTCTACCTGCCAAATAAATCCAGACTACCACTCCCATGTAAATCACTGTGTTACATTGTGATACCCACCTAAATAGTCTCCTTGCCAACACCCTCCAGGTAGTAATCAATGTGGTTCTGCTCAAAACATTTCTCAAGTTTTTTCCATTTCACTCAGTAAAACTCTTTACAGGGCCCCACAGGATCTCACTATAGACTCTTCCTCTTGCCTAATTACATCCCACGTTGTCCCACAACACATCAGACACACTATATTCCCCCTTTGGAGC
Organism: Homo sapiens; assembly: GCF_000001405.40. Classification (NCBI taxonomy): domain Eukaryota; kingdom Metazoa; phylum Chordata; class Mammalia; order Primates; family Hominidae; genus Homo; species Homo sapiens. The sequence continues at coordinate 66,922,399 of NC_000001.11, read as the reverse complement.
CTGTGCATATGCAGTTTTTTGGAATATTGTGCCCCCAGATAACCTCATGACTCACCTCCTTTAGGTAACTGTGTCAAAGAGTCCTTTACCACCCCATATAAAGTAATAATACTTCACCTTTGGAGCTCTTCAGTCCCTCACCTTTGCTTGAATTTTTCCATAAAATTTATTCCTGCCAGGCACAGTGGCTCATGCCTGTAATTCCACCACTTTATGAGGCTGAAGTGGGCAAATTGCTTGAGCTTGGGAGTTCACAACCAGTGGGCAAATTACTTGAGCTTGGGAGTCCACAACCAGCCTGGGCAACATGGCAAACCCCCATTTCTACAAAACATTGAGCCAGGCGTGGTGGCATGTGCCTGTAGTCCTAGCTACTTTGGAGGCTGAGGTGGGAAGATTACTTGAGACCGGGAAGGTGATGTTGTAGTGATCCGTGATCACTGCCATTGTACTCCAGCCTGGTCGACAGAGTGAGATTCCACCTCAAAAAAAAAAAAAAAAAAATTTCTACAAGTTTATTGTGTACCTGCTTATTCATCCATCTTCACCTAAGGATAGTACTCCAAAAAGGCAGAGATTTTTGTTTTGTTCACTACTGTATCCATTGCCTAGATTGAAGAAGGTGCTGAATAAATATTTGCTGAATGAATGAGTGTTTACTTCAGTAACATTGGTTACTGCTTATCTTGTATGGTTTTTGTTTTCACCTTAAGGTATAGAAATTTTAATGTAAAATTAAATTGAGTTTATTAAATTGAAAAATACAAAAACTGTCCAACTCTCATAGTATGATGTCTAAGAAAAATTCCTTTGGGAGTTTCTTAAATGTTGACAATTTCATAACATCTATTAAGGAAAGAATGGGGTGGGAGACGGGAAGTAGTATAACCTTCACTTTTTGCAGTAGCCATGTTACCTAATTAAAACGAAGTTTCACAGACAAGTTTACAACCTTTTGGTTTGGCCTAATTTGTTATTTCTCATCTTCCTTCTTTTAGGACTTAATCCTGACCTTGGAAAGGATCTCATGAAGCAAATATTTGTCAGTTTTCCACTTTCTCTTTTCCTGTGTTAGATTCTTGCCTTTAGCTTTACAATACTGGACAAGTCTCCCATTGCAATAAAAATAACTGCTGATTGTTCACCTCTTCATCCTATTTCTCTGTCCAGTGCCTTTATATTCCTTACATGTTCTTGTTTCCTTTTGATTCTTATTTAATGTTTTTATCTCTGCTTACATTACTCACCTGTTCTTGAATGTTATCCATTTTTTCCATTAGAACCCTTAGCATATTAATCACAATTATTTTAAATTCATAGTCTTACAGTTACAAAATATCTGTCATATCCAAGTGTGGTTCTGATACTTGCTTTGTCTCTTCACACTGTTTTTGTACCTTTTGATATGCCTTACAATTTTTTGTTGAAAGCTGAACATATTGTATAGATAATATGAACTGAGATTAAATAGGCTGATAGTGTGTTTTATGTTTGTGTGGCTAGGAATTAGGCTGTGTTTACTGTTTAGTTGTAAATGTGTAAGGCATCAGTTTCCTCTACTGTCCTTGTTTCTGTCTTTTACAGTTTCCCTAGGGACTCCTTAAATAGATTCAGCCTTGCAGTTCTTTCCATTGTAATCTAATTATTATACAGGAGCCCTGTAGATATGGTGGTGAAGCAGGATAGTGACTCCTTCACAGGTGGGAACTGGAGTGTGCAGGCGCTGGCAGGGGTGAACTCCACTCACTCGCTGCTCCACCCCTTGAGGGAGGTGGAGCACAGGTGAGTGGGTGCAGGAGCCAGGGTGAGTGCTTTTGGGCACCTTCAAGAGCAAACTACATACTCACTCCCCAACAGTATCTAGGGGAGGGTATCCACGATGCCCAAAACCCCAGAGGAGGTGTTATAGTGCCCTTTTAGCTTTGCCATCTACAGACAGCGTAAGTGTTAACAGCTCAGTGGAGGGTCAGCATGACAGCCTTTTGCACCCACACTCGTGGCACCTGAGTTCTTGTCCAGTGTCCAGGAGGAATGAGGTCGCATGAGAGTTGAAGCTGGTAAATGCAGGGGATTTTATTGTGTGAAAGTGGTTCTCAGTGGGAAGAGGAGCTGAAAAGGGGACAGAACGGGAAGGTAATCTTCCCCTGAAGTTCAGCCGTCCCCAGCCAGATTCCTCTTCAAAGCTACACCATCAAGCTGTCCCTCTGAAGTCAAGCCACTTCTCTCTGACTTCCAACGTCCAGCTGCTTCTCTTTCTGCTGGCTGAGCCTGGGGTTTTTATGGGTGCAGGATAGTGGGACAGGGCGGGCCATGGGTGGTTTTGAAAAGGCAGCATTCAAGCAGGAAAACACAGATGTATGTTCTCACTTTGGGCCATGATTCCAGGCTTGAGGGTGGGGCCCTCGCCAGGGACCTGCCTTCTTCTGCCCAGAATTTCCCTGCTTCCTATTCCTATCAGTGGGAAGATGTAGGGGGAGGGGAAGGGTTGGACAATCCTATGATTAGCTCTTAGTGTTTTAATGGGCCCTTGTCCCTGGGATGAGACTTGACAAGTGCTTTTCAGTACATTTTTTCTTTGGGGTGAAAAGATGGCTGTTGGGGGCCAGAGTTGGGTATTTCCATTCCCACATGTCAGTCAGGCCCTGATAAAACTCTAGTTAGGCTCTGGTAAAGTAGTTGTCCTTGAGGGCAGGTGTTTGTTAAGGAGAACATAACATTCTAGGTATATTTTAGAAAGATTACTTCCTATCCACCTGCTAGAACCATGAGGAAATTTTTCTTTAATCTTTATCCTGAGAACTTTGTGGGCACATGGAGGTAAAGCTCATGAAAGTGTAGGGGCCCCCCATGGGATCCCCAGAATATTTTCTCTCTCAAGCTAGTCTACACTCAAGTCTTCAGTAGTTAGCTAGTTGTCTTTTAAGTTGCTGGCTTCAGTGGCATTTTCTGCTCCCAGTAGGTTGTGATTCTCTGTTTTCAACTTGTCTCCAATTTCCAAGGTAGGTGTTTGTTCTCCTTAAATAGAGGAAGAACTGTTTTATGAGTTAATGTGAGATTATTTTATTGTGCATATATTCACTTTGAGATGGCTGTTAGACTAGAGCTATCTAGTAGTCAATTATTCACATGAGTATGTGAACCTGAGAATTTGAGACAGGTCTCAGTTAATTTAGAAAGTTTATTGTGCCAAGGTTCAGGATGTGTACCCGTGATACAGCCCCAGGAAGTACTGGCAACATGTGCCTAAGGTGGTCAGGGCATGTCTTTGTTTTATACATTTTAGGGAGGCATGAGACATCAATCAATATATGTAAGAAGTACATTGGTTCCATCCAGAAAGGCAGGGACAACTTGAAGCAGGGAGGGGGCTTCCAGGTCACAGGTAGGTGAGAGACAAATGGTTGCATTCTTTTGAGTTTCTGATAAGCCTTTCCAAAGGAAGCAATCAGAATATGCATCTATATCAGTGAGCAGAGGGATGACATTTAATAGAATGGGAGGCAGGTTTGTCTTGAGCAGTTCCCAGCTTGAATTCTCCCTTAGCTTAGTAATTTTGGGGCCCAAAATATTTTCCTTTTACATTTCCCCCATTTCTTTTTAAAAAAATCTTTTGGAGAAAACATTTTAGAAGAAAATGAGTCTCTGGTCTCAGGTTTTATCTGATCTCTCATGGCTAGGACAGTTTGTTCCTAGATGGGTTAGGTCCCAAAGCTCATTTTTAGCAGATTGTGAAGTCTCATGTCCTATGAAGAGGAAACGGGAGGAAGGGAGAAAAACAACAAAAGAACAACCCTGGAAAAATTGATATAGGCTATATTACTCTGAAGTCCATACATCAGTAAGTAGGTATGAAAGTGGCTTATGTATGTAAATAGGTTGCTGTTTATTTTCTTCTGAAGTTTAAGTTGTCTGGCTTCAGTTCACAGGGCTTTAAGAAAGCACAGCTTAGTTTTCAGTGACTCCAACTTAGGAAAAATGGGGCAAAAAAGAAGGAAGAAAATTGAAAACATTATTTTGAAGACTTGTGGCCAAGAAAAATTAGAATTTGGTCCAAACTGTAGAAAATAATAAACATTGAGAAAACATTAGGAAAGACTAGAATCTAACAACAGGTCTACTATAGTTTTGAAACATAATTTTTCTCTCCAGTTTCCCATTTTTACTAAAGACAAATCATGGTACGACTGGTTTGCTTTATTATACTTGGCCTAATTATTTCTATACAATGCAACAAGAAAATTTTTACATAGGCTTTTAAACTGGCTTTTTTGGACTTTCATAGGAGAAATCTCAAATAAGACTCTTTTAAAGCCAAGCCCAGCCATGGATTTATGCAATCAAATACCTATGAGTTGGGTGAATTTCCTCTCCTCTTGAGGTTCCAAGATAAACCTGAGGCTTCTGGGCCTGTCAGAAAGTGACATTCTTCACTTAACACAGGTCAGAAACCCTGTACAGGGACTATGTACACAAAATATGAGGCCAGTTTTTCCAAGGGCTTTATTGGTTCCATAAGTCACGTTTGATTCCTTAAAGGAAAGCACACTATTTCAGTCAAAGCCTTGGTAAAATAACCAATTTCTCCAATTGTATCCTGTTACGAATTAAAACAGATTCTTATTGCACTTGTGCAAATGACTGTATTACCATAAGTTAAGAATACTCACAAATATTTCCAAATTCTGGAGAAATCAGGTAGTGAAAAACAAATATGCTCAAAATTTTGTTCATAGGAGTATACTAAACTCTTAAAAGCTGTCAATAGCTCAAAAGAAAAGTTTGAAGACTAAAAAACAAAGGATAAGCAACATTTAAAGCAAGAGTTAAAAAGATTGCTTTAGTCTCTTGTCAGTTCAGTTTATGGAGTTAACTCCTGTTCTGCTTGATAGTCATGAACACTTCAGCTCTCCATGAGAATCCTGCAAGTTTTTTTCCCCCTCTATTCTAATGTCACAATCTGCAAAGTTATCAGAAACTTGCATTTAAGAACACCTGTTTGAGTTCCATAGTTGATTATAGAACCACCTAAAAAGGACCAAAACAAGACAACAATTGTCCATGGATGACAAAAATTTTAGGGCAGCCATAATCAAAGACACAATTGACAAATGTGTTACCTCTGTGGCACACAATAATTTAACAACAATTACAATTACTGATAACGTTCACTAAGTTAAATCAGAATTACAGGAGTTTCCCATCATTTTGGAACACATACCAATAACATTTATACAAATATAGCCCAAAGAAAACCAAACATCATTTCATATTTGACAATGCTCCCTGTCTAATTTTTATACCAAATAAGCCAAATTATGTCATTTTTGGACTTTAGGGGACCTAATATCTTAAAGGATTAATTAGGTCAGGAAAAGACAATTTATAAATTGATTTTGGAAAGTTTGTAAAATATCAAAGGTTTAAAAGACTTGATACCATGAAATAGGATCATAGGTCATTGTAAAATAAGTCATTCATTTAACCAAAGTGATAAGGAATTAAAAAAAAAAGGCAAAAATCTTCATTCTTTGAGAAAGGAGACATAATTTTCTGAACAAGCCCTAATTAAAACAGCATGAAGCCAATTAAATTTATTTTTCAAAATTTTATAAACTATAAAATTTTAATTTTGACCATAACATAAAGCAATACAGCTTCCAAATGCCTTTTATAACCTTTATTAAGGAGTTGGTTAATGCTTCAAGAAAACCCTGTTAATCTGACACAGGGGCCCATATACTGGTCTTGCATCAGTGTGCCTTTGACAGTAATGATTATAGAGAAACTGAACTTATTTTATCTCTTAAAAGCAGCCCTTAAAATCCCACATTCCAACCTCTTTCACAACAGTCACGGGACCTTGAAGAGTTGAATGGCTTTAATTATTGGCCCTGTGTCTCAGGGATGCCGTTTATTTTGATTAGCATCTTCTATGGGGCCTGGAGATAAGGCTTTAATTGCTGTCAGTGTTAAGATTTAGCAGGACTTGTCCTTTTAGACCCAGGAGTCAAAACCCTGTAACTTAATGTCACAAGTACTTTAGGAGTAGATACAGAAAGATACATGGATGTAATAACCTTAATTTAAAAAAAATTTAATCTCAATTTCTTTATTTGTAAGCAAAGCAAAACAATATGACAACTTGATCATATAAAAGTTTTTTTTAAAATAAATCCTCTTTTGTGATTTACACTGATTATTCATGATATGCTTGAACTTTCTGGTTTGTCCTGAACATCCCTCCTTCTTAAACAACCAGTCATTTTATTTTAGGACTAAATTTACCATATGGGATTCTTTTTTTTTTTTTTTTTTTAGACAGAGTCTTGCTCTGTTGCCCATTCTCCACCTCCTGGGTTTAAGCAATTCTCCTTTCTCAGTCTCCCAGGTAGATGGATTATAGGTGCACACCACCACACCTAGCTAATTTTTGTATTTTTAGTAGAGATGGGGCTTCGCCATGTTGGCCAGACTGGTCTCAAACTCCTGGCCTCAGGTGACCTGCCCACCTCAGCCTCCCAAAGTGTTGGATTACAGACGTGAGCCACTGTGCTTGACCAAAGATTTTTTTTCTCATATAAAATTATTCTCTTTAAGCTTTCTTACCACACAAAAACCTGTTTATTTTTATAACTTTCTTTACATTTCTGTTATTTCCTGGTTCCTTTTACCTTGTTTTATATATAACCTTTAAATAAACTTTGAATTAGACAAAACTTGTTCACCGTTTTTTTAAAATGATACACTCTTTGTTATTTTTACCAAGAATGTTTTTCTACAATATAAACTTTTTGGAAAATAAATAATGAAATATCAATTATTGAATTTAATATAACCTTAGATTCTAAATTATGACAAGTTTGTCTACAAGTATTTATTCCATTACATTTACCTAATTATTTTAATTGTTTACCTATATGACCTATGAAAACTGCAGTAGTCATGATTTAAAGTTATGAAACCGCCATTGCAAAATTATAACTGAGACAGTGAAAAAGATATGACCTAACTGACTCCATCTTGCTTCTAACCTCCAAGCTGTCCTTGTTCATTCCTGGGCACAGGCAAAAGTAACTTTGGGAGGTACTTAGTTTATAGTTTAGCTTTGAAACAAAGATGATAACAGTTCTTTCCCAAAACAAACCTCCTTATTGCCTGTGGACTAGAATGCCTAAAGCCACAGGTTTAGAAGTTATGGTAATCTTACTAAATAATTCAAGATGAGCTATTTTCATTAAGCCAATATTAATGTCTTATTTATTAAAGATTACAGAGCAAAGGTCATTCTGTCTTGGGCTGGGTTTATGGTTTTATAAACCCTTTGCCAAATTTTGACACCTTATAGTATTTGTCAGGGATAAGTATGAAATTGCTTGATTAATAAATGCAAACAAAATGTATGCTGGCAATTCTTAGGACATTTCTAATGTTACTTTACCAGTAATTTTAAAGCTAGCTTATTTATTAAAGATTTTACTTAAGTTACATAAACTCGAAAAAGCATTTGACTAGTCTTTTCCTTTTTAGTACCTGATTTAAGTGCTTTTATTTTTAAGCCAATTAATTAGAGCTCTTTTATATATTTTTAGTAGTGAAACATTGTGTACACAACACATAGATACATAGACATATTAGGCATGCAAATAGAAGGACATTTTATAGGTTCATAAAAACCTTTTTTTTTTCATTTTTTCCTATCTTAGATTTTCTGATTCTTGATAACCTGTTTCACAACCCTGGGCAGTTGTCAGCTAAATAGCCTTAAATGTGCATGTTAAAGGAAACAACTCAGGTGAAAGTCAGATAGCAAAATTTACATTATAAGATGCGGAGAGAAAAAGTTTTATGTGCTAGAAGGAAATGAAAACGGATTTAATTGCCATTAAACATAAAATTGTAGAAATTATAAAAGTCTTTTTAATGCACATACACACAGATTCTATAGCTTTTACTTCAGAACTTTTAGCCACGAGATAAATACAAATTCACTGGCTTGCTAAAAGAACTTGTTGGATCAAAACTGGTTTTTATCTTAACAGAAAAGTAACAGCAGATTTAGAGCAGGCAGAAAAGGAAAAAAAATAGAGAAAAAGAGGACTTAGGAACTCTATAGTTTGCAGGTTGACCTTGTAAATGTGCACAAAGACCATATTATTTCCATTTTACGTATACTTTGGCAAGTAGAGGTGCCGTGAAACCTATGGAATGCTAGAAAGATGCATTCTGCTTGTTTTCACCTCACTCTTAGATTATTTATTTCCCACTTTTTATTTTTTTATTTTTATTTTTTTTCTAAAGGAGGAACAGAGCTGTGGCCTGGGGTTTTTGTGTGGTGGATTGATATGTGCCGTTTGTGGACAGGACTCCACTGTGTGTCACCACTGAGTCGTTTCCACCTTCTTTTTTTTTTTTTTTTGAGACGGAGTTTTGCTCTGTTGCCCAGGCTGGAGTGCAGTGGCGCGACCTAGGCTCACTGCAACCTCCGCCTGCTCCGGGTTCACACCGTTCTCCTGCCTCAGCCTCCCGAGTAGCTGGGACTACAGGTGCCCGCCACCACGCCTGGCTAATTTTTTGTATTTTTAGTAGAGATGGGGTTTCACCATGTTAGCCAGGATGGTCTCGATTTCCTGACCTCGTGATTCGCCCGCCTCGGCCTCCCAAAGTGCTGGAATTACAGGCATGAGCCACTGCGCCCGGCCTCCACCTTCTTACTGTGTCTCAGTTTCTCTCTCCAGAGGTCTGTGACCTCAGAGAGGGCTCAAAATGCTGGGTCATTAGCCCTTATATATATTTCCTGGGCAAGCCATTTTTAAAATTAATTTTTGTTGGGGATTTCCCTGCAGGGCCACAATTGCCCAGATACTTCCACGAGGTCCCAGGGTACCCAGGGGCACCTTTCAGTTTGGAGGAGCAAATGCCCTTTTCCTTTGGAGCTGAGAAAACTCAGTCTCTCATTAACATATGAAAACAACAGTTCAGTTCCTCATCCAAATGCACACAGACAAACCGAATTAAGATTAAATTTGGGAGAAAAAGCAATAAAGACTTTGTAGAATGCATCTTTGAACTAGAATTAGGATCCTTAAACAGCAACTTCAAACCAGAACAAACAACAACAAAAATCCCCAACAACATCATCACTGAGCACTCTAATTGTGAGGAGAAATTAAGACCAGCTGGTTGTTAATCTTAACTTGAGCCAAGGAAAACCCCAAGTCAGTTACTTACCTAGGGATGGGTCTCAGGCTGAAGACTGCTTTCTACCATCTTAGAAGCAGGAAAGAAAAAACAAACAAACCAAAAAACCCTCATTTTCCCTGTTGGAAGCAAGCTCAAACTCCATAAAGGAGTTACCTGCCTTCCATCGTCACGGAAGCAGGAAAAACTTGCCATTCTTGTGTTGGAAGCAAGTAAAACTCCAAAAAAAAGGGAGTTGTACAGCAAAATAAACTTTAGATCCCTAGCAAATTTTGGGAGATCAGGGATTCTCTGAAGGGGGTGCTCTCAGACCTCAGCAAATGGTCCTATTGGTTTGAGCCATAAAGTTAGCTCATGCTGTTAACAAGCACTGATAGGAAATTTGTCAAAGGTCAGGGGCATCCACGTTCAGAATCCCTTCGTGGTTACCAAAATGTGAACCCCAAAAATTTGAGACAGGTCTCAGTTAATTTAGAAAGTTTATCTGGCCAAAGTTGAGCATGCGCGCCCGTGACTCAGCCTCAGGAAGTCCTGGAAACATGTGCCGAAGATGGTTGGAGCACAGCTTGGTTTTATACATTGTCGGGAGGCATGAGACATCATTCAGTATATGTAAGAAGTACATTGGTTCCATCCAGAAAGGTGGAACAACTTGAAGCAGAGAGAAGGCTTCCAGGTCACAGGTAGGTGAGAGACAAATGGCTGCAGTCTTTTGAGTTTCTTTTTTTTTTTGAGACACAGTCGCACTCTGTCGCCCCAAGCTGGAGTGCAATGGTGTGATCTTGGCTCACTATAGCCTCTACCTCCCAGATTCAAGCGATTCTCCTGCCTCAGCCTCCCGAGTAGCTGGGATTACAGGTGTGTCCCACCACACTCAGCTAATTTTTTTTTTTTGTAGACATGAGGTTTCCACATGTTGGCCAGGCTGGTCTGAAACTCCTGACCTCAAGTAATCTGTTCCCAAAGTGCTGGGTTTACATGTGTGAGCCACCGTGCCCGGCTTCATTCTTTTGAGTTTCTGATAAGCCTTTCCAAAGGAGGCAATCAGAAAATGCATCTATCAGCTGGGAACGCTGGCTTATGCCTGTAATCCCAGCACTTTGGGAGACCAAGGCGGGCAGATCCTGAGGTCAGCAGTTTGAGACTAGCCTGACCAATGTGCCAAAAACCTGTCTCCACTGAAAATACAAAAATTAGCTAGGTGTGGTGATACAGGCATATAATCCCAGCTACTTGGGAGACTGAGGCAGGAGAATCACTTGAACCTTGGAGGCAGAGGTTGCAGTGAACCAAGATTGAGCCACTGCACTCCAGCCTGGGCAACAGAGTGAGACTCTGTCTCAAAGAAAAGAAAAAAATATGCATCTATGAGCAGAGGGATGACTTTGAATAGAATGGAAGGCAGGTTTATCCTGAGCATTTCTCAGCTTGACTCCTTCCTTCACAAGTATGAAGAGTAAGGCAATATTTTGAGTTGGATATAATGATTTGGAGATTATTCATTGTTTCAATAAATGTATTAAACAGCCACTGTATTATGTACTGTGATATTGTAAAATAAATATTTATTTGGTCTTTGATCAAATGGTCCTTAGAATCTCCAGAGTGTTGTCTTTTTGTATGCTAATGAGTTGACCATGACTAGTACCTTCTAGGTAGCTTGAGGATGGGGGTTAGTCATCTGGAAGACAAAAGCATGATTATAGGGTTGGGACCTTCAGCCTCACCAACCAAACCTTCAGGGAGGGGAAAGAGGCTGAATGTTAAGTTGATCACCAATAGCCAACAGTTTCATCAATCATGCCTTCTTAATAAAACCTCCATAAAAACCAAAAGGACTGGGTTCAGAGAGCTTCTGGATAGCTGGGCACATGGAGGTTTCTAAAAGGTGGTGTGCCCAGAGAGAGCATGTAAGCTACTGGCTCTTCCCTTGCCGTATGCATCTTTTAATCTGTATCCATTGTAATATACTTTACAATAAACCAGTAAAAGTAAGTGTTTCTCTGAGTTCTGTGATCCACTCTAGCAAATTAACTGAACCCAAGGAGAGGGTTGTGGGAACCCTGATTTTATAGCAGGTCATTCAGAAACAGGCCACAACCTATTTTTTCAACTGCCATTCGAAGTCAGAGGTAGTCTTATGGGACTGAGCTCTCTGCCTGTAGGATCTGAGACTATCTTCAGGTAGATAGTGCTGGAATTGAATTGGAGGACAACCAGATGGTATCCACTGCGGAACTGATTGTTTAGTTGGTGTGTGGGGAGAAACCCTACGCATTTGGCCACAGAAATCTGTATTGATTGTTGTGGTTTGAGAGCAGAGCAAAAACAGTTTATGTTTTTTCCACACTTGGGTACTGTTGTAAGCATTAGGGATACAACAGGGAATGAAAGAGCCTAAAGTTCCTACCCTCATGGAACTTAGATTCCAAGGGGAAGCAATAACTGATTCACAAGATAAATAAGTTAAAGATATACTATGTTAGATAGTAAAAAGTTCTAAGGAGAAAAATAAGGCAAGAAGATATGAAGTACTTGAGAGAGAATTTTGACATTTTAGAAAGGGAAGCCACGGAAGGCCTGAGGCACAGGGGCTGCGCCTGTTGTTCTGGCATTTGGCCATGGAGTGATTAGGGCAGGTGGGGAGAGGGTAGTTTTTCATTAAAGACCTAAAGAAAGTGAGGATGCTAAGTATGTACCTGTATGAGAAAGAGCATTTCAGACAAAGGAAACATAAATTCAAGTCTTTGATATGAAAATGTGCCCAGCATGAATATAAAGGATGCCACTATGGCTGAAGCAGAGTAAACAAGGAAGAGATCACGAAAGATGAAATCAGAGGCCTAGCTGTATGCATGTAAGATTTTTTAAGTCATAGTAAGGACTTAGGCTTTTATTCTGAATGGGATGGTAAATGAAGGATTTCGAGTAGTCATATTTTATTTTATTTATTTTTATTTTATTTTATCTTATTGTTCTATATTTGTTTGAGACAGGGTCTCGCTCTGTTGCCCAGGCTGGAGTACAGTGGCATAATCATAGCTCACTGTAACCTTGAACTCCAGACCTCAAGCAATCCTCCTGTCTCAATCTTCCAAAGTACTGGGATTACAGGCATAAGTCACTGTGCCCAACCCTTACATGTGTTTTAAAGAGGTCATTGTGGTTGTTACGTGGAGGATAAACTTTAGGGGATCAAGGTTAAGTAGGAAGATGAAGCGAAAGGCTATTGCAATAATCCAAGAGAGATAGGATAGTGTTTGGACCAGGATGGTAGCAACAAGAGTGGTGACAAATGAATGGATTCCAGATGTATTTTGAAATTTTTTTTCACCCAAGCAACTGGAAGAGTAAAGTTGCCCTTAACAAAAATAGGGAAGAGTGCAAGAGGAGTGGATTTGCTGGATGGGGTGAGGGTGATGTGGTGGTGGTGGTGGTGGAGGTTAATGTCAGGAACTTAGTTTTGGACATGCTAAGTTTCCATTAGTGATGTCAAGTAGGCAAGCAGATATACAGAGGAGAGGTCTAGTTAGAGATATACATATATTTGGGAATAATTTTCACATAGATTACTTTTAAATCATGGCATTAGATGAGTTAACCAGACTATGAATGTAAATAGAAAAGAGAAGTGCAAGGATGATTGCCACAGAAAAGGGAGGAGGAAAACCAAGCAAAGAGAGTGTCCTACGATCCAAGTTAAAAAAAAAAAAAGAGAAAAGAATAAACAGCTGGGTCAAATGCTGCAGATAAGAAAGATGAAAACATTGAAATGACCATTATTAGAGTTAGTATTGTGGAGGTGATTGGACCTTGGTAATAATCCTTTTGATGGAATGATAAGGGCAAAAACCTGATCAGACTCTATTCAAGAGAGACTGTGTGTGTGTGTGTGTGTGTGTGTGTGTGTGTGTGTAGAGAGAGGTGGCAACAATAAATAGGAGATTTTTCCCAAGGGTTTGCTGTAATTAAAGGAAACATGAATGACTGATAGCTGGAAAGACAGGTGAAGTAAAGAGAAGTTTCTTGTTTGTTTAAGATGGGAGAAATAACAGCTTGTTTACATGCTGAAGGTAATTATCCAATAGAGAGAGAAAAACTTATGATGCAGAGAGAGAACTGCTAGAGCAATGTCCGTGAATAGGCAGAAAAATGGAATCTGGTATGCATGTAGAGGGAGTGACCTGAACTGCAATAATAGAGAATTCATTCAGAGTAACAAGAAAAAAATAGAGAATATAGGCACAGATATAGGCAAGTGCATAGATGTGACAGTGGGAGTATGAAGAAGTTACCAGATTGCTTCAGTTTTCTCATTCAGATGGCTGAGAGTGAAAATGTGAGAGGAGGTTTTCATATTTGAAGAAAGAGAAGGTATAAGATAGCCTTAAAGAGTGTAGTAAAAAATGGACCAAGAAAATACAGATTGCTGGCACATTAAGGACCTTGATTAAGTTAATGACCCATAATTTAAAGTGAGACCTGTCATCATAGTTGGGTATTTTTCTTCCAGTTTCATTTAGCTGCACAGGTTGAGTTAAAATATAGTGTATTATTGCAAAATTTAGGGTATAGTTAGTCTAATAGATAGGAAGTCATTGCCATTGAAAAAATAGTTTATTATTCACAGTTCCAAGGAAGAGGGGGCCCACCACACCACAGGGGACTACCCAGAAGTAATGAGTGAAGCAGCATAGACAACTTTAAGATTAGCTACTTTGAATAATCTCAGTAGGTTCTGGGGCACAGGAGCTGCCCCTCTTGGTCTGAGATTTGGCCATGGGGTGATTAGGACAGGTATAGTGGCACAGAGTGTAAAAACCCCATAATGGTGTGGATTCTGGATTGCTTAGTTTGCATTTGACAAGTGCATGCCTGGGAGGAGGACTCCTCTTAGTAAAGAGGATGGGAGGCAAGAAGAGAGGCCAGAGGCCAAGACAAGGTAACTTAGGCATAGCATCAGGTTGTCCAGAATAGGGCATGTGTTTGACCCATGCATGTAGGTCAGATGTTACAGTATCAAATTTACAGACACTATAAACATGGTTAATATACAGGTATAGGCTCAAAGTAAGAGGATAATTGGAAATAACCATGATTTTGGTTTTGCCAGCAAGTATGCTGAAATGAAGGGAAAGGTATGGTAAGAATGTAAGTAAAGAATGATTATAATAATTAACTATCAATTAAAGTAACTAACCATAACCTCAAGAGGGAAGAGATGGCATGAGAAAGATGGTAGAGGAATAAAGCATGGTAGAATCAAGGGCCTGAAGGTCATAATAGGGTCGAAGGATTGTTGAAGGATTGGAGTTTGAGAGGGTATTTAAGCTGGAAAAATAGGAAATGCTGATTGACCTTCTAAAAACAAAAGCCACATGTATGACCATGGGAGTAAGTGTCTGAAGTAGCAAGGCAGGTAAAATCATTTATGTGAGAAGATTTCAAGGAGCTAAGAGGTCAGGGTATTTGAAGGATTACCTTCATGGATATTGAAATGCTCAAGAATTATGCCAGAAGTAGCTATTAGAGATAGAGCCAGTGACTTAGGATATGAAATCTTCAGAGGATGGTAGAAGAGAAAGGTAAATGCCATAAGAAAGTAGAGTACTTGTGGTCATTGAAACCATGGAATTTACTCAGGGATAGTGTATATAGTGAGAAATCAGGTAACTAAGATTTGAGCCTAAACGTAATCTGTAAAAGGGGAGCTCAAAGGAAAAGGGAATGGGAGGACCGGATTTTGTAAGGATAGTAGGGCAAAATGTTAAGGAGGAAGAGAATGAGAGAGTTGAAGGTAATGGCAAAAGAGTGACTCAATTGATAAATTGTGGATTAAAGATTAATAGAGAAAAGAGAAATCTAAAATGTTCTGATTATTTGGTAGAAATGGAAAGGTCAGGTGATTAGAGGTCTCAAGGAGGTTGAAGAATAGTCTGTGGTATGACAGAAACGAATCTGAGAAGTCAATTTTAAGAAGGAATGGTCAGCTGAAGAAGAAAGAGTAAAGCTACATTGTAGTTACAGAGCAAAAAGAGAAGTCATGTAGTAGGCAGTATTACTGACTAACATTTTAAGAAGTTGGACTGAAAGGAAGGAGAGATATAGTAATAGGTAGAGGAAGACATAGTTAAAGGAAGGATTTTCAAGTTGAGGAGATGATTGGGGCATAATTTTATGCTCACAGGGAAAAGAGAAAAAAATAAGATAGGAGACCTGGAATTATGGATGGAGAAGAGTCCCTGAGACACCAGTGACAAGTTTCAGAGTTCACATAAAAGGTTAGTCTTAGATAAGAATGGCAACTCTTTTACTGAGAAAGGAAAAAAGAGATAAGTGAGTTTGTAGGAGGTGGGAGAAGAATTTAAAGGAGGTGGTGAAATAATTTGAAGGAATTTTTACATGAATGATAGTTTATTTTTTTTTAGAGATGTTGGGGGTTAAGTCCTTAGAGATAGAAGGAGAATAGGGTAGGATACTTAAATGTAAATTTGAAATAGTGCACAAATGGAATTCATTTACTCATATATTTTAAAAATATTTATTAAGTGTCCATGGTATACTAGGCACTGTGCTGGGTGCTAGGGATACAGCAGTGAACAAGACAAAGTTCCTGCCCTAAACATGCTTACATTCTGCAGAGGGGTGGACAACAACAAAATGTCAAGTAACGATAAATGCTATGAAGAAAAATAAAATATGAAAACTGGATTGATCGTTATTTAAAAATATTTTATTCTTGTCAGATTTTTTATGATTTAAAAAGTAAATGTATTATTTAAAATGTTTTCTTTGGAAGCATATTTTTATAATCTCAGGGAGGCTCATCCCCATTTTATAGAAATCCATATTACAGAGTACTAGAAGGAATAAAATGATAAGGTAAGTCCTTGTCTTAAGGAATTTACAGGGTAAATCCAAAAGTGAAAAAATATTTTTTCATGGATATAAATATTTTGATTGTAACTTCTCTTCTTATTAAAAAGGGCACAGTGGCTCATGCCTGTAATGCTAGCACTTTGGGAGGCTGAGGTGAGACGATCACGAGGCCAGGAGTTTGAGACTAGCCTGGCCAACATGGTGAAACCCCTCTCTACTAAAAATGCAAAAATTAGCCAGGCATGGTGGTGCACACCTGTAGTCCCAGCTACTTGGGAGGCTGAGGCAGAAGAATCGCTTGAACCCAGGAGGCGGAGGTTGCGGTGAGCCGAGATCACGCCACTGCACTCCAGCCAGGGTGACAGAGCGAGACTCCGTCTCAAAAAAAAAAAAAAAAAAAAAAAGTAGTATATAATTCAGGAAGGAACACGCTATTCTTTCTCAGGCTTTATTAATCATGTTTAAATCTGCCTATGTAACTGCACTACACACTCATGTGTGCTTACTATGTGCCAGGGACTTACTAACCATAATACAAAAATTAATTTATTTAATCCTCATAATAACCGATGAGTTAAGTACTGTTATTATCCTCATTTTGCAGACAAAGAAACTAAGACCCAGAGAAGTCAGCATGGACTTAGGATCTGACTGCCTGGGTTCAAATCTCAACCATTGTAGGAATGTTTCCCCTTAAAGCCTCTGTGGCTTTATATAAAATAATATTAATAGCAACCTCTTGGAATTATGAGGAGAAAGTGATGTAATATATGCCAACTCTTTAGAACTATGTTTATACATAATAAGATTTCAAATAGTTATCATTATTTCTTGTTATATGTTTAGATTGTTCACATGTTTTTACAGGAAATCTACTTTTTTATTGTTGGTTGATTTTTCTTTTCAATCTTGAATCCTTTGCATTATATTTTATTTTTCTTATATAGGAACAATGCCACACAACCAAAGAAGTCTATTAGCTTTTTTGCTACAATGAAAGCAACTTCAGTGAAAGGATATACTGGTGCAAATCAAAGCAGAATGGCTGTGTCCAAAACCGTGCTTATTCCACCTGAACTGAAAACTGTAGAAAAACCAAATCCCAATATAAAGACAACACAGGTAATATTCTTAGAATTCTGAGTTTATTTGAAAATGGCACTGTGAAAAACTCAATTGAAATGTTAAAGATAGAAAATATGCTGCTTTCAGATAATCACTCATAATTTTGAAATACTGATTTTGTTAATTTTTACCACATATTATTCCATACAACATAATATTGACACTTGGCTCCTATAACTAGTTATTGATAAGAAGAATATTAGAGTGGAATGAGAAAAGTCTATTCATGACCTTAAGAACTATTTGCTTATGGTATTAATTATATACATTACAACTATCTTTCACTGTTGTCAGCAATATAGTCTTGAAAATACAATAAAATTATTTGTCATAAAGTCAGTTATTTTGCCTTACTAGAAGATTCATAATTAAGAATTGACTCTTTTAAACTTTTAATCAAATGATTATATATATACAGAAAAGCATATAATATATAATTTTGAATGGGTTCAGCATTTGTTTAGATGGGACATTAAAAGCAGAGTCCATAAAAGATAAAATTCATAAATTGGACTTCATCAAAATTAAAACTTTTTCTCTTTGAAAGACATTGATAACAGAATGCAAAGAAATGTGACACAATGGGGAGAATTATTTACAAAGCATATTTTGATAAAATATTTATAACTAGAATGTATAAACAACCTTCAAAGCAATATTGAGACAACCCAATTTTTAAAAATTAGCAAAATACTTGAGCTAACACTTCACCAGAGTAGATAAACAGATAGCATGGGAGCACATGAAAAGATGATCAGTATTAATTAAAAACCATACAATACTGCTAAGTACCTATTAGAATGGCTAAAATTAAAAGACTGATCATATCAAGTATTGACAAGTATGTGGAGGAACTAAAACTCTCACATGGCTGGTAGACATGGAAAATAGAAAACAATTATTTGTCAACTTATTAAATGTTAAAATATACCTACTATATCATCCAGCTATTCCATGTCTAGGTATTTACCAAGAGAAAAGAAAGCATAAGTTTATATAAACACTACTACATGAATGTTCATAGCACCTTTACATATAATGGCGGAAAACTAAAACAACTCTCATTTTATTAAACAAATACTATATATTTGCACATATGTATTTCACTTATTTATGTGTGTATATACACATATATATGAATACATGCATTTAAATATATATGCATATGTATATATACACACACAAACTATATTTCATTTATTTATATATATATAAAATTATTTTCTCCAATGGTGAAAATATTTATTATATATGTATATTTTCTCCAATGGTGAAAGACTGAAAGCATCTCTCCTAAGGTCCAAGAACAAAAGGAGGATGCCTGCTTTTACCACTTCTCTTCAACATAGTAGTGGCAGTCCTAGCCAGGGCAACTGAGCAAGGAAAAGAAATAAAAAGCATCCAG
The DNA here is from genome assembly GCF_000001405.40 of Homo sapiens. Lineage (NCBI taxonomy): Eukaryota > Metazoa > Chordata > Mammalia > Primates > Hominidae > Homo > Homo sapiens. The sequence continues at coordinate 66,903,792 of NC_000001.11, read as the reverse complement.
CTGGGCATGGTGGCTTATGCCTTTAATCCTAGCTCTTTGGGAGGCCAAGGCAGGCGGATCACTTGAGGTCAGGAGTTCGAGACCAGCCTGGCCAAATGGTGAAACCCCGTCTCTACTAAAAATACAAAAAAACTAGCCAGCCGTCGTGGCAGGTGCCTGTAATCCCAGCTACTTGGGAGTCTGAGGCAGGAGAATCACTTGAACCTGGCAGGCAGAGGGTTGCAGTGAGCAGAGAGAGCGCCATTGTACTCCAGCTTGAGGAACAGACTGAGACTCTGTCTCAAAATAAATAAAAGGCACCCAGATCGGAAAGGAAGAAGTAAAGTTCTCTCTGATGTGATCTATATGCAGAAAACTGTAAAAATTACACATACACACACACACAACTAAAAAATTCTGCAAAGTTGCAGGACAGAAAATCAACAACACAAATTAGTTGCATTTCTAACAATGAATTTCCAAAAAGGAAATTAAGAAAAAGATTGCATTTACAATAGCATCAAAAATAATGAAATACTTAGGGATAAACATAACAAAGGAGGCCAAAGATTTGTATGCTGAAAACTACAAAACACAAAAGAAAGGAAAGAATACACCAGTAAACAGAAAGACATTTCTTGTTCATAGATTGGAAGGCGTAATAGTGTTAGGTTGTCAATACTACCTAAAGTGACTTACAGATTCAATACATTCCCTCCAAAATCCCAGTGATATTTTTTCAGAAGTAGAAAAACCTATCCTAAAATGTATATGAAATATCAAGAGATGCAAATAGCCCAAACAATCTTGAATAAGAAGAACAAAGTTGGAAGTCTCATACTGCCTGATTTTAAAACTTATTACACATCTATAGTAATCCAAACAGGGTGGTAGTGGAATAAAAACAAACATACGGTATAGACCAATGGAATGGAATGGCCCAGAAATAAAATTTCACATATATGGTCAAATGGTTTTGACAAAGAAGCCAAGATTATGCAATGGAGAAAAGACAGTTTTGTCAACAAATCTTGTTGGGACAACTGGATATCCACATGGAAAAGAATGAAGTTGGATCCTTACCTTATACCATCTGCAAAAATAAATTCAGAATGGATCAAAGACCCCAAATAAGAGCTAACTCTGTAAAATTCCTAGAGGAAAATAGGGAAAAGAAATTATTTGCCAACAATTTCTTGCATATGACAACAAAAGCATATGCAGCTAAAGAAAAAATATATATATTGGACTACATTAAAATTAGAAATTTCTGTCTATCAAAAGACATTAACAGAGTGAAAAAACAACCCACAGGATGGTACAAAATATTTGCAAATTATATATTTGATAAGATGCTAATAACCAGAATATATAAATAACTACAAATTGACAACAAAGAAACAGCCCAATTAAAAGAATGGGCAAATAACTTGATTAGATATTTTTACAAAGAAGATGTACAAATAACCAACAAACACAGGAAAAGATACTCAACATCACTAAACATTAGGGAAATGCAAATCAAAATCACAGTAAGACACCACTTCATACCTATTATGACAGCTACTATTAAAAAAAACAAAACAAAATAAGTGTTGGTAAGACATGGAGGAATTGAAACCCTTGCATACTGTTAGTGGATTGTGAAATGGTGTGGCCACTATGAAAAATGGTATTGTAGGGCCAGGCATGGTGGCTCACACCTGTAATCTCAGCACTTTGAGAAGCTGAGGCAGGAAGATTGCTTGATGCCAGACTCAGCACTTTGGGAGGCTGAGGCAGGAGGATTGCTTGAGGTCAGGAGTTTGAGACCAGCCTGAACAACATAGCAAGACCCCATCTCTATAAGAAAATGAAAAAATAAATTAGCCAGGTGTGGTGGCAAAAGCCTGTAGTCCTAGATGCCTAGATGCTCAGGAGAATCACTTGAGCCCAGAATTTCAAGGCTACAGTGAGCTATGATCGTGCCACTGCACTCTAGCCTAAATGACAGAGCTATATCCTTTCTCAAAAGAAAAAAGGAAAGAAAAACAGTATCGTGATTCCTCCAAACCTTGAAAGTAGAATTACTATATGATTCAGGAAGGAGTATATATCAAAAGACTTCAAAGCAGAGTTTCAAACAGATATTTGTACAACCATCTTCATATCAGCATTATGCACAATAGCTAAAAGGTGAAAGCAACTAAAGTCCTCATCCACAAATGACTGGATACACAAAAAGTGGTATATATACACAATGAAATATTCAACCTTAAAATATAATGAAAAATCATTGATGAAATTAAAATCTACATTAGAAAAATATTCACTAATAGAAATAATGTACTATTGTGATGGTGATAGGTAAATAATCAGTAAGTTAAAGAAGAAATTAAAAGGAAAATCAGAAAATATTCTGAGATGATAGATAATCAAGACATGACATACCAAAGCTTATGGGATACAGCTAAAGCACTGCTTAGAGGGAAATTTGTAGATATACATTTGTATTAGAAAGAAGAAAGATCTCAAATAACTTACCCTTCCAACTGAAGAAACTGAAAAAAAAGAGTGAATAACACAAAATAACATGAAATAAGCAGAAGGGAGGAAATAAAAAATATTTGGGTGGAAATTAATGAAATATTGAATAGAAAAACAATAGAGAAAATCAATGAAAACAAAAGCTGGTTCTTTAAAAAGATCAACAAAATTGAAGGGAAAAGCATCTTAAAAAATCCAGCATCTTTTCATGATATAAACACGCAACAAACTAGGAATAGAAGGGAATTTCCTCAACTTGACAAAGGATTCACAAAAACCCCACAGCTAACATTATACTTAATTGCACTTAATCTCCTTATGATCAGGAACAAGACAAGTCCTTGCATTGCTATTCAACATTATCATGGAGGTTCTAGGCATGTAAATTAGACAAGAAAAAGAAATAAAAGGCATCCAGTTCGGAAAGTAAGAGGTAAAAACATCTTTATTTGCAGATGACATGATGTTATATATACAGACTCCTAAGGAATTCACTAAAATACTATTAGGACTTGCAAATGAGTTTTGTAAGGCAGCCGGATACATGATCAATATGCAAATGAATTGTATTTCTAGACACATGCATAGAACCATTTGAAAATTAAGAATGATTTATTTCACAATAGCATCAAAAACAGTAAAATACTTAGGAATAAATGTAATAAAAGAAGTGCAAAATGTATGCTCTGAAAACTATAAAACATTATTGAAAGAAATTAAATAAGATCTAATTCAATGGGAAAGTATCCCATGGTCATGATCAAAAGACCTACTATTGTTAAGATCGTTATACTCCCCAAACTGATCTGTAAACTTAACACAATTGTTATCAGAATTCCAGCTGACTTCTTTCTACAAACTGACAACTGATTCTAAAATTCATATGGGGCCAGGCGCGGTGGCTCACACCTGTAATCCCAGCACTTTGGGAGGCCAAGGCAGGTGGATCACCTGAGACCAGGAGTTCGAGACCACCCTGAACAACATGGTAAAACCCCATCTCTACTAAAAATACAAAGTTAGCCGGGTGTGGTGGTGCATGCCTGTAATCCCAGCTACTCGGGAGGCAGAGGCAGAAGAATCGCTTGAACTTGGAAGGCAGAGGCAGCAGAATCGCTTAAACTTGGGAGGCAGAAGTTGCCATAAGCCAAGATCGCACCATTGCACTCCAGCCTGGGCAACAAGAGCAAAACTCTGTCTCAAAAAAATAAAAATAAAATAAAATAAAATTCATATGGAATCACAGAGGACCCAGAAGAGCCAAAATCATCCTGAAAAAGAGCAAAGTAGGATGATTCACACTTCGCTGTTTCAAAAGTTACAAAGCAATAGTAATCAAAATCATGTGTTATTGGCACAAAGATAGACATGTAGATCAATGGGATACAATTGAGAGTTCAGAAATAAACCCATTTACCTAAAGTCAACTGATTTTTTTATGATTGCCGAGATCACTCAATGGGGAAAGGATATTCTGTTGAACAAATTGTTCCAGGATAACTGGATTGCCACCTGGAAAAGAATGAACTTAGACCCTTACCTCATATTTTCAAACTAATTCAAAATTTATTAAAGACAGATTTAAGAGCTAAAACTGTAACACTCTTAGAAGAAAACATAGGGGTAAGACCTTGGATTTGGCATAGGATTCTTACATGTGACACTGAAAGCATACGTAACAAAAGAAAAAGTAGACAAATTTGACCTTATGAAAATTTTTAAATGTTTGCATCAAAAGCATATACAGAGTGAAAAGATAACCCACAGAAATAGAAAATATTTGTGAAACATATATCTGATAAGAGCTTTTATCATATATAAAGAACTCTTACAATTCATTAATAAAGACAAATAATTATTCATCATACAATCTGAATGCTCATTTCTCAAGAAAATATATACAAATGATCAAAAAGCATATGAAAATATGGTGGACGTTGTTAGCCATCAGAGAAATTGAAATCAAGCCCACAATGAAATATTCACTTTATACCCACTAAGATGGCTAGAATCAAAGAGTCACATAACAAGTGCTAGAAGTAAAGAAAGCAGAACCCTCATACACTGCTTGTGGGAATATAAATTAGCCACTTTGTAAAATAGTTTGGAAGTGCCTCAAGAGGTTAAGCAGTGTTACCATATGAACCAGCAATCCTACTCCTAGGTGTATATACCCAAGAGAAATAAAATATATTTCCACACACAAGGGTATACACAAATGTTTCTAGTAGCATTATTCATAATAGACAAAAGGTGGAAACAACTCAAATGTCCATCAATGGAAAAGTGGGTAAAGAAAATGTTGTATAGCCATACAATAGAATATTATTCAACCATAAAAAGGAATGAAGCACTGATGCATGAATCTTGAAAATATGCTAAGTGAGACAAGCCAGTCACAAAATACTGCACAGTATATGATTCCATTCACTATCAAACTCCTGAATAGGGAAGTCTATAGAGACATGAAGATACTAGTGGTGGCGTAGGGCTGGGAGCGGAGATGTTAGGGGACTATCTTAATATGTTTTCTGTTGTTATTGTATAACTGAATGCTCAAGACTGGGTAATTTATGAAGCAATGTATTTCTGACATTTCTCGAGGCTGAGAAGTCCAGGGTCAAGTGGGCACATCTGGTGAGGATCTCCTCGCTAGTGGGGGACTCTCTGCAGGGTCCTGGAGTAGAGCAGGTTATTACATGGTGAGGAGTGCTCACAAGAGATGGAGAAACTGACTTTTATAACAGACCCCTCTCATGATAACTAATCCACTCCCTTGATAACCTATTTTATTTATGAGGGTAGAGCCCTCTTGACCCAGTCACCTCCCAAAAGTCCCACCTCTCAACACTATTGCATTAGGGACCAAGTTTCTAACATAACTTTTAGACACACATTTAAACTATAACTTTCTGCCCTTGGCCCCCAAATTCACATCCTTTTCACATGTAAAACACATTAATTCCATCCCAGTAGCCCCAACGCCTTAACTCATTCCAACATCAACTCAAAAGCCCAGAGTCTTACCTGTGAGCCTGTGAAATCAAAACAAACTATTTACTTCCAAGATACAATGGTTGGACAGACATGGGGTATACATTCCCATTCTAAAAGGGAGAATAGGCCAGAAATAATAGGTCTCAAAACAGTCTGAACTCAGCAGAGCAAACATTAAACTTTAAAGCTGGAGAATAATATCTTTTGACTCCATGTACTGCCTTCTGGACACACTGGTGCAGGGATTGGGTCCCCAGGGCCTTGGGCATCCCTGACCCTGTGACTTTGCTGGGGTCAGTCTACAGTATAGCTCTCCCAGGCTGGCTTTGCAGGCTGATAGCTCTGTAGTTCTGGGGTCCTGTGGCAATCCTGCTCCCATGTCTCCACTAGGCATTACCCTTTAGGGGCCTTCTGCAGTGGTTTTGCCCCTGTGATAAATCTCTGCATAGACTCCCAGGCCATCTGATACATCCATTGGAATTAAGATGGATCTTAATTCCTCCACAGCTTTTGCTTTTTGTAAGCCTGCAGAATTAATGCCATGTGGATGCTGCCAAGGCTTATGACTCACATCTTCTGGAGTAGTGGGCACAGCCCCAATGGGGGTCACTTGTGCCACAGCTGGGGTGGCTGACTCCTTGCCAAAATTTGGGGACCCAAGGTAGTTCTGGGTAGTGGGCTCTTGAAGGGCACCCAGGGTCTGTCCCCTGAAACCATTCTGCCCTCCTAGATCTCTGGGCCTGTGTTGGGATGAGCCACCTAGAAGATCTCTGAAATGCCTTTGGAGTCTTCTTCCACTGTCTTTATGATCCCTTCTATCTGTACTAAACTCCTTAGCAAATGGTTTCTGGGCCACACCCTTGGTTCATTCTTTACATGGCCAGGCTGAGACTTTTCCAAATCTTTCTGCTTTGCTTCCCTTTTGATTATAAATTGTTTTTTGTAATCTCATCCCTTTGTTCTCAAATCTCACTGTAAGCAAGCAAAAGCAACCATGCAGCATCTTGAACACTTTGCTTAGATATTAATATTTATTTTGCCAGGTATCCTAGTTTGTCACTCTTAAATTTTGCCTTCCATAAATTCTGCCAAGTTGTTTACTACTTTATAACAAAGACAGCCTTTATTCCGGTTTCTAATAAGAATTTCTGTCTGAGACCTCATCAGAAGTCTTTACTATTCCAAATTCTACCAGTATTCTGTTCACAACCACTTAAGCAATTAAAAAGATTCAGACTTTCTCTAGTCTGCTCTTCTGAGCCCTCACCAGAATCACCCTTAGTGCTGTTTATGGCAATGCAGCCTTTTTCTAGACTGCTTCTCTAAGTTCTTCCAGCCTCTATCCACTACTCAGTTCCAAAGCCACTTCTACATTTTCAGGTGTTTGTTATTAGTCCCACTTCTTGGTATTAATTTTTTTAGTGTGTTTTCTGTTTCTGTAAATGAATACCTGATACTGGGTAATTTATAAACAAAAGAATATTATTACAGTTCTGGAGGCTAGGATGTCCAGGGTCAAGGAACCACATCTGGTTAGGGCCTTGTTGCTAGTGGGGACTCTGCAGAGAGCTGAGGTGGTGCAGGGTGTCGCATGGTGAGGGAAGTTTATGAGAGATAGGGAAACTGGCTTTTATAACAGACTTCTCTTGTGATGACTAAACCACTCCCTTGATAACCCATTTATCCATTAATTCATGAATGGATTAATCCATTTGTGAGGACAAGCTTTCATTACACAGTCACCTTCCAAAGTCAAAGCTCTCAACACTGCTGCATTGGGACCACATTTCCAACACGTGAACTTTTGGTGCACACACTTAAACCATAGCAGGGATCATAATGGATACAGAGTCTCTTCTTGAAGTGTAAAAAGATTCCAAAATTAATTTTGGTGCACATATATGTGAACATATTAAAAGCTATTGAATTGTACATGTTAAAAGCAATTTAAAAAGCACATTAATGCATATTATGTTATTGTATTTCAATTTTGAATTTTGAAAATTTAGGTAAAATGTAAAAAAGCTTTTAAAAAATTACACTTTACCAAAGCAGACAAACAAAAATTGAAAACTGGAAGCTATTAAAGAAATTTATATGAGTGATTTAAAAACCTTCCTTCAAAGATAATTCCAGATTCAGATGACTTCAATTGTGGTATGTGTCAAACATACATAGATGAAAACAGAACACTAAAAGTGGGTATACTCCAAAACTCATTTTATGAGGCTAGCATTACCTTGATATTAAAACCTGAATACAGTATGAGAAACAAATATTATATGCCAATTTCACTTGCAAACGTAGAGAAATCCTCAATAAAATATTATCCAATAAAGTTCAGTAACAACAACAACAACAACAACAAATGCTTAATACATACATCATAAGGAAGCTTGGTCTGTGCCAAGATATCAAGATTGGTTTAACATTTAAAAACCCTTAGTGTAATTTACCACATTAACAGCTTAATGTGGTAAAAAAGCATATGATCATTTCAATATAGACAGAAAGTATCTGTTAACATTTAATATTCATGATTTTAAAAATTCTTATGAAACTGAGAATCACAAGGAACTTTAAACATCTTATTTAGGCTATCTATAAAATCCTACAGTAGTGATCATGTCAAATGGTGAAGCATTTCAAAAAAGAGCCCCCTTTTATTCAACATAAATCAGTTCAAATTGGTAAGAAAAAGAAATGGAATGTATAAGAATTGGAAAGGAAGAAAGAAAACGTTGAATATTTGTGGATTGAATATTTGTTAGCAACAAATAGTTCAAAAATTAGATTTTTTTTATTTGAAAAAAATTTTTTTAGAGATGAGTCTTGCTCTGATCATGCAGACTGAAAGTGCAGTGGCACAATCATAGCTCACTATATCCTCAAACTCCTGGGCTTAAGCAGTCCTCTTGCCTTAGCCTCCCATGTGGCGTGGGCTACAGGTGTGTGCTAATTTTCTCAAATTTTTGGTAAAGACGAGATTCTGCTGTGTTGTTCAGGCTGGTCTCAAACCCCTAGCCTCAAGCAGTCCTTCTGCCTTGACCTCCCAGAGCACTGGGATTACAGGCATTGAGCCACTGTGCCCATCCAAAAATTAGACATTTTAAAATGATACAATTTATAATAGCACTAACATTTATCAAGCACTTGTGGAAAAATATAACAAAAGATGCATATACCAATATTTTTAAAACTATAAAAGTTTATTGGAAGACATTAAAGAGGACCAAAACAAAAGGAGATATAGACATATTTGTGCAGAGCAAAAGTCAATATTTTAAGATTATCCTAAATTTTGATTTATAGATTCTTTGCAATTTTAATCAAAATCTCAAGTTTTAAAGTTATTTTTTCCAGAAACTTTTCAAGATAATTCTAAAATTTATATGTAAATGCTAAAGGCTAAAAATAGCCAAGACACTTGCATAAAAACTCAGTGGAAACACTTGCTTTCCTAGATACCAGGCTTAATAAAACATATAATATTAGCAAATTAGAGAGTCTTCAAATGACCTGAGCACATATAAACACTTATTTTATAATAAATGTGAACTGCAGAGTAATGGGGAAAGGACAGGATTTTCAAAAACTCTTGTTGAGACAATTGGATGTTCTTATAAAACAAAAATATATTGGCTTTCTTATCCTATATATAAAATTAATTCTGGGTATATTATAGACTTAAATATGAAAAGCAACATATAGGACTTCAGGGCTGGGAATGTTTTTTTTAAGGAGATGTCTAAAGCACAATCCATAATGGAAAACATGATACAATTGACTACGTTAAAAATAACTCATATTCATCAAATATACCATAAAGAAAATAAAGCCACAGAGTGAAAGAAGACATTTGCAGCTCATACAACTGAAAGGACTCATACATTACCAATAATAAAAAAGTCTCAATAAAAATTGTGCAAAGGACTTGAATAGGAAATTCTCCCCCTCCAAACGGAAATCAAAATAGGAATAAATATATAAAAAGAGTTCAACTGTATCAATATCTCTGTTTTCTGCCTCCACATTTTGTCCCACTGGAAGGTTTTTTGGGGGCAGTAATATGCATGGAGCTATCATCTCTTATAACAATATCATCTTCTAGAGTACCCACTAAAGGACCTGCCCGAGGCTGTTTTACAGTTAACTATTTTTTTAAGAAATAAAAGGAGTACACTCTAAAATATTAAAAAGTGTAGTTTCGTAAGCACATAAACCAGAAGCATAATTTATTATTATTATCAAATATTATGTACTGTGCATAATAGTATTGCTATACTTTTATATGACTGGCAGTGCAGTAGGTTTGTTTATACGAGCATCACCACAAATTCGTGAGTAATGTGTTGTGCTATGACATTATGATGACTGTGATGTCACTAGGTGATAGGAACTTTTCAGTTCTGTTATAATGTTATGGTACCACTGTCATATATGTGGTCCATTGTTGACTGAATCATTTTGTGGTGCAGAACTGTAAACCAAAAGCATATAATAACTTGGGAAATGCCTATTAATGAAATGTTAAGTGAAAAATAGTGAGTTTTCTTTAAAATGTGTACATACAATTTACATGCACCAAAATACTAACAATCTGGATGAATTATCTTTCCACTGTTCTGATTTTCCTAAAGTTAATATATATTAATTACATATAGATAAAGCAAAAATAATATTTTAAGAAAGTTTTTGCATAATTAAGAAACTTTCTAAGCATGACATTTTAAAGCATCCAATTTTTCATGTTTATCCTATTATAGGAGCATTATACTAATCTTTTTTCTACCATATTTGTTTCTATTTTCTAGCAGCTGTTATTTAGAAGCCCTGTCTTTTTTAGTTATTTCATTTTAAATAACCATTTTTAACAGGTATTTGACATAAATGGAACTGATGTTACTCCCCGACCTCTTTACCATCCAGATCCACTTACTGGTACAGCAAAACCAAGTAAACTCTTGACATCACAAGAAGGATCACTTGGATCAGAATTTATATCTTCCTATAGCCTTTATCAGAATACAATAAATCCTAGTACGTTAGGGCAGTTTACAAGGTAGAGTATACTATTATATAGTTCCTTTTTTCTATCATATATATTGCCTTTCCATTTAAATTGCAAATGTGTATCTTAGATATCAGTTGTCTCCAGTCTCCCAGTTTCTTTCTTTCTTTCTTTCTTTCTTTCTTTCTTTCTTTCTTTCTTTCTTTCTTTCTTTCTCTCTCTCTCTTTCTTTCTTTCTTTCTTTCCTCTCTTTCTTTCTTTCTTTCCTCTCTCTCTTTCTCTCTTTCTTTCTTTCTTTCTTTCTTTCTTTCTTTCTTTCTTTCTTTCTTCTCTTTCTTCTCTTTCTTCTCTTTCTCTCTTTCTTTCTTTTTTGAGACAAGTTTCACTCCTGTTGCCCAGGCTGGAGTACAGTGGTGCCATCTTGGCTCACTGCAACCTCCACCTCCCAGGTTCAAGCAGTTCTCCTGCCTCAGCCTCCCAAGTAGCTGGGATTACAGGCGCCCCCCCACTACACCTGGCTAATTTTTTGTATTTTTAATAGAGACGGGGTGTCACCATGTTAGCCAGACTGATCTCGAACTCCTGACCTCAGGTGATCCACCTGCCTAGGCCTCCCAAAATGCTGGGATTACAGGCATGAGCCACCCAGTTTTGATTATCATCCTAGTGTTCCATCTCTATGTTCCTCTCATGTTTTAAATTAAATGCAGAGCTCTTAATGTCTTCAGAGTTTCCATACACTCACAACAAAACATTTGTGAAAAATATATATATTTCACTCAAGACTTCCTGAGCAACCAAAAGATGGGACTAAAATCACATACAATTAATTTCAAATTCTCATTAGACATTTTTCTTCAGGTTTCTTCAGCTTCTTTTGAGCTGCATTTTACAGGAAGAGGTGGCTTTCCTTTTTTCCCCTCCTCTCCCATGCAAATCTCTGTTCTCCTAGAGTTTGATTTCTCTCTTATTTTATAATACACAGCAATTATGCTTCTCTGGAGCTTGCCTCTGAATTTGCCTGCAAAAATATAGGAGTACCTGGTAAAGGAGGATATTCCAATAAACTTTACATCCTCTTTTGATGGGCAGTTGAGACTATAAATAGGAACAAAAAAGAAAGTATGTAATACCATGGAGTACTGCTAAGTTCATATGTTTAAGGAAATTATTTTTGGATTCTTCCATTGATTTATTTCTGAGTACATATATTTTAGTTAAACCTTGAGAAGGCCTTTATAAAATGAAATAAATCACATTTTTAAGATGACATTTGAACAGTGAACAGAAACCAAGTGAAAAACAAAAGGAAGAGTATTCCAGGCTGAGGCTCTGAAGTTAGAGAGCTCTGTAAGATTGAGGAACTAAAAAAAGAAAAAAAGTAAAGGAAGACTAATAATGAAGATGAATATGCTGGGTAGGTTGACTGTATTTTGGATTTTTGTACTAAATGTATTGGTAATTCACCGAAGGACTTTAAGCATGTTTAACATGTCTTTCTTCTAAAATACATTTTGGCTGGGTGCGGTGGTTCACGCCTGTAATCACAGCACTTTGGGAGGCCGAGGTGGGCAGATCACCTGAGGTCAGGAGTTCAAGACCAGCCTGGCCAAAATGGTGAAACCACGTCTCTACTAAAAATACAAAAAAATTAGCTGGACGTGGTGGCGCAAGCCTGTAATCCCAGCCACTCAGGAGGCTGAGGCAGGAGAATCACTTGAACCTGGGAGGCAGAGGTTGCAGTGAGCAGAGATCATGCCACTGCACTACAGCCTGGGTGACAGAGCGAGACTCCATTTCAAAAAATAAATAAAGATACAAATAAATTTTAAGTAACTTTTTATTTAAGAAATATTAAAAACCAACTCATTATTTAAAAATTAATGTATCTATTTTGCTTATATGATCATAGTATATTTGATTTCTCCATCTGATAATATGTTCTAATTTGTATATGTAGTTTCCTATAAGGACATCTAAATAAATGAGTAATTTTGTTATTCATTATTAAAGGTCAGTTTTAGGAAGCAGTACAGTTTCTAAGTCAAGTGTATCAGCAAGTGAATCAATAGCAGAAGACCTGGAAGAACCATCCTATAAACGGGAAAGATTGACTAGTTTCACAGGTAATGAAAATATACTTGTTTATTTCAGTAACAGTCCGTTATTTAGTCAATATGCTTATTATTGGTTGGATACTTGAGATAAAAGAAATATGGTAATGATTTCCAAATGCTGGCTTGTGAAGTCGCTTCAAGAGAATTACCAGGGGAATATCTATTTTTTTAAGTTCCCTGGGTGACTGTTTTGAATCATCAGCCTGAGGAACCAATGGCGCTTTGTGTTAGAGCTCAGCTGCTGCTTCTGCTGCTGCTGTTGCTGCTGCTGCTTCTGCTTCTTCTTCTTCTTCTTCCTCTTCCTCTTCTTCTTCCTCTTCCTTTTCTTCCTCTTCCTCTTTTCCTCTTCTTTTCCTCTTCTTCCTCACTTCTTCTTCCTCCTCTTCCTCTTCTTCCTCTTCCTCCTCCTCCTCTTCCTTCTCCCCCTCTTCCTCTCCCTCCTCCTCCTCCCCCTCCTCTCCTTCTTCTTCTTCCTCTTCCTCCTCTTCCTCCTCTGCTTCCTTCTCCTCTTCCTCTTCTTCTTCTTCCTCTTCTTCTTTCTTCTTTCCTCTTTTTTTTTATTTTGAGACAGAGTCTTGCTCTGTCACACAGGCTGGCGTGCAGTGGCACAATCTCAGCTCACTGCAACCTCCGCCTCCTGGGTTCAAGCAATTCTCCTCTCTCAGCCTCCCAAGTAGCTGGGATTGCAGGTGTCCGCCACCATGCCTGGCTAATTTTTTTGTATTTTTAATAGAGACGGGGTTTCATCATGTTGGCCAGGCTGGTTTCAAACTTCTGACCTCAAATGATTTGCCTGCCTCAGCCTCCCAAAGTGCTGGGATTACAGGCCTGAGCCACTGTGCCTGGCCTCTTCTTTCTTCTTCTTCTCAGGATCTCACTCTGTCACCCAGACTGGAGTGCAATCTTGGCTCACTGCAACCTCTGCTTCCTGGGCTCCAGCGATCCTCCCACCTCAGCCTCTGAAGTACCTGGGAATACAGGCATGTACCACCGTGCCTGGCTAATTTTTTGTAATTATTGTAGATAGAGGTTTTCACTATGTTGACCAGGCTGGTCTCGAACTCCTGGGCTCAAGTGATCTGTGTGCCTCGGCCTCCCAAAGTACTGGGATTATCAGTGTGAGCCACCAAATTCAGCTTCTAATTGCAGACAAATAATTCTGATACATTTGTGATCAGTTCCATAATAACATATGTGGAACGTCATGGGAACACTTAGAAAGGAGTGATTAAATCCTTTGAGGTAAAATAAAAAAGGTTTCACAGAGAACATTATTGACTTTTGAATCAGGTTTTTAAAGATGATTAGTTACTTGTTTGGAGAAGAAGTAGGGGAAGCTCAATCCAGGCAGAGGGTAAAACATGAGGTAATAGAAGGGATTATGAAAATGAAGATACAAGAATGAGGAAATAATAATGGATGATCAGAAGTGCTGGGAGAAATGGTTACATACTTGAGGGGTACTTGATTTGGAGTGCAATAAGGATTTTTTTCCTTTAAAATGATAATGAGGGACTGGTGAAGATATAAGGTTGGAAAAATGGTGCTTTATGGACTTTTCTTTCTGATGTTGGGGGATGTAACAGGAATGACTCTGACAGCAAGTAACAGAATACCCAACTAACAAGAATTGAACAAATATTTACTTTTCTCACATTAAAAGAAGAGATAGCTTTTGGCTTTGATTTTTTTTGGCTTAATTTTGTCAGAATTTGGATTGGCCGTTCTGCTATTCTCTTTCCTAAAGCCTTTCTTCTTTTCTTATGGTCTCAAAATATCTTCTCTAGCTCACTCTGGGCATTTTATCCACATTAAAGACAGAAAGGAGAAGGGCAATAGCACCATCCTATCTCTGTCATTTTTCAGGAAGGTAAAAAATTTCCCAGAAGCCATTCCGCTTCCTTTATATTTCTGCTTTCATCTCATTGGCCAGAACTGTCACATGACCACCCTTAGCTTTAAAAGAGCCTGGAAAATCAAGTATTTAGCTTTCTATTAATTATATTATTTCTATTAAAAGAAAGAGGCAAGGAGAGAGAGAAAGGGTTTGGAATAAAAACCTAACCAATCAGCAATGTCTGCTGCAGGAGAGACCCTCATTCTCTCAGGTGGAGGCAGGGAAAACTGGATTATTGTCATAACCTCCCCCAGCTTTCTCTGTAGATATTCTTGCCACCTTCCAATCTATTTTTCCAAACTATATTCAGAATGATTTTTTTAGAAACACAACTAATTGCATCCTCTTTTGCTTAGAAACTAACTCTTCAAAGGATTTGCATTACTCTTAGCATAAAGACTAAATCTTTATGTAACAATTTGCCTTGAAGCCTTTCTTTGCTTATCTACATCAAAAACAAACAAAAACAAGTAACACAAATTTACCTCCAGAAGACTTGAAAAACAATATAGATATTTATATCACTTTGGCCAGTTGCTGGTGAATTTTTTTGTTTTGTTTTGTTTTGTTTTTTAGACGGAGTCTTGCTCTGTCACCCAGGCTAGAGTTCAGTGGCATGATCTCAGCTTACTGCAACCTCCGCCTCCCGGGTTCAAGTGACTCTTCTGCCTCAGCCTCCCGAATAGCTGGGAATACAGGCGCTTGCCACCATGCCTGGCTAATTTTTGTATTTTTAGTAGAGACGGGGTTTCACCATGTTGCACAGGCTGGTCTTGAACTGCTGACCTCGTGATCTGCCTGCCTCGGCTTCCCAAAGTGCTGGGATTACAGGCGTGAGCCACCACGCCCAGCCGTTGCTGGTGAATTCCAACTACAAAGTCAGCCTCTAAAATGAATGACACCTAAACAATTCTACTTCTACCCACTGGCTTCTTTTTTAGACCAGAACAGTGCTTCCTCGCTCTAGAATGCATATTAAAGTCATCTGGTATGCCTTTTAAAAATTCCCATAGTTGTGTCTCAATTCAGGTCAATTGAATTGCAATATCTGGGACTAGGGTTTAGGCCTAAGCAGTAAGTATGCTGATAAATATTTTGCTACCTACACAGGTGGCAAGGAAACATTTATTTGCAGCATTTGCCAATTTCCATGTTATAAATCCTCTCATCACAGCAGATTTCAAGCTCCCAACATAAATTTTCTGAATGGGAAGTTACAAATAGATACTTAGTAGCACACCACCATACAGATACAATAGATATTTTAAATAACTGCAAGAATTAGGTAGTAGTAGATTTTTTTTTTTGAGACAAAGTCTCGCTCTGTCACCCAGGCTGGAGTGCAGTGGTGCGATCTCGGCTCACTACAACCTCTGCTTCCTGGGTTCAGGCCATTCTCCTGCCTCATACTCCCAAGTAGCTGGGATTACAGGTGCCTGCCACCACACTCAGCTAATTTTTGTATTTTTAGTAGAGACAGGATTTCACCTTTTTTGCCAGGCTGGTCTCGAGTGATCCGCCGCCTTGGCCTCCCAAAATGCTGGGATTGCAGGTGTGAGCCACCACTTCTGGACGGTAGTAGTAAAATTTAATAGCATAACTAGGAAGTGATGATCCTTGAGTAATTATTATCTTTGTTTTTAATATGATTTATTTAATAATAAGTTTATATAATTTAATTTTGAGTAATGTCTATGTTTAACAACTGACTCACAAAATTCCTGAAATTAGCCTGTTCTAATATACTTCTAGATAAAAATATATTTAAAATATGTTTATAACTTCCCCCCTCCCAGACCTACTGAATAAAAAATTCTGTGGTGGACTTCCAGTTTCTGTTCTTACATGTAGAGAGTTTAAAAGTCATTACTCCTGTCTTATAACAAGAAAAAGTTGGACAAATGGAAAATTAACAACTTTTATTGGGCTTATCAGAGAACTGTGGTGACAAGGGCAAACTGCCACCTTAAGATCTAGAGAGATAGACAATCCAGAGAAATACAGTTCCCAAGAGTTACTTACCATAAACTGGAGGAACACATGAATGATTATTTTCATGAATTGCTGGAGGCTGAGTATTTTACTAGTATAAGAGTAAAAAATTCATGGGGGAGCACAATCATGGGAAAGAGAGGGCCCACACTTACATGGCCTTCATTCTAGGAATCCAGTGGATTCTTTCAGTGAGGATCTGAGCTGAGGATCTGAGCTAAAGATCTGAGCTGAGGATAAGCTAGTGGCCTTGGTAGGGGAGGCAAAGAATATCCAGCTTAAAACACTCCTTCCCCTTTTTTTCTAACAAAGACTTAGTCTGGGGATGGGGGGTGGGGGAAATTTGCCAGAGGGTAATTTTGAAACTATAGCCCAGATAGGGTAAGGGAATTCTACTCTAGCACCAGCCTTTATTTCTTAACTAAGGAGGAAAGATAACAGCGTTTAAGGAATTCCATTGGAAATGTTGCAGCCAGGGAAGGGAGTAGGGGCAGGGATAAGACAACCGTGCCCTTGAAGTAGGAATAGATATACTTGTGAACACCATGTCTCCAAGACACAGGTTAACTAAAAGTCTGAGACTCAATCAGATTGTAGACTACTTCCCTTCTCCACACTTACTACCAGTGAACCTCCAGAGTAACAATACTGGATTGCAGATGAAAGAATTGCAAGACATAGGCTTTCTCTAAAGCAATACAAAGAGAAGCCTGAAAGCCAGGAAGGGAAACAAAAACAAGAAAGGTTTTGATACCTGTAGCTAAAACAACATTAAACACAACCAAACTGCTACCCTGAGTGCTATCAATTCTTCTGCTGAAGGCCTTATTACCTCAGCACCTGTTACAGGATACAACATGTCTGGCTTTTAACAAAAAGTCATTAGGAGTGCTAAAGGGCAAGAAAAATATATTTTCAAGAGATCAAGCAAGCATCAAACCCAGGCTGTTATGATACAAATTTAAAAACTATGGCACAGGGCATTTTAAATAATTATGATTAATATGTTAAGAGATCTAATGGAGAAAGTATACAATGTGCAAGGTGTGTAATGTCAGCAGAGAGATGAAAATTATACGAAAGACTCAAAATGACATGCTAGATATCAAAAACACAGCAACGTGAATGAAGAATATCTTTGATAGCCCCATTGACTTCACAGGGTTAAGGAAAGTATCAGTTAATTTGAAGGTCAATAAAAAATTCCCAAACTAAAATGCGAAGAGAAAAAATAATGAAAATAGAACAGCCATCCAAGAACTGTGGGATAATATCAAAAGGCGTAACATATGCACAATTGGAATACCAGAAGAGAGAATGGGATAGAAGAAATGCTTGTAGTAATACTTGTTGAGAACATTCCAAAATTGTCAGACACTAAACAACAGATACAAAAAGAATACCAAGCAAGATAAATATCAAAGCAAAACAAAAACACAAAACCTAGGAATATTATATTCAAATTACAGACAACAAAAGACAAAGAGAACATCTTGACGGAAGCCAGAAGGAAAAAAATCTTACCTATAGAAGAATAAGGATATATTTTTTATTGTTTTCTTTTTTTCTCTTTTATTTTTGTACAGACAGGTTTTTGCCATGTGCCCAGGCTGGTCTTGAACTCCTGGGTTCAAGCGATTCTCCTGCCTCAAGCCTCCCTGAGTGCTGGGATTATTATAGGCATGAGTCATCACACCTGGCTAGAAGAACAAGGATATAAATTACATTTGACTTCTCATCACAAACCAAATAAACAAGAAAAGAGTGAAACAAAAATCTTTAAAGTGTTGAAATTAAAAACTGGCATTCTATAATTCTATATCCAGAAAAATTATCCTTCAACAGTGAAGGAGAAATGAAGATTTTCCCAGATAAAGAAAATTCTGAGGTAATTTATTTCCAGCAGACCAGCTCTGAAAGAAATGTGGAAAGAACTTAATCAGGCAAAAGAAAAATGACATGGGTCAGAAACTTGCATCTACATAAAGAAAGGCTAGATGGCATTCTGTAGACCACATTCTGGGCCATAAAACATACTTCAACAAATCCAAAAGAATAGAAATTATACAAAGTATGTGCTCAGATGACAATAGCAATAAGCTAGAAATCATAACAGAAAGATAGCTGGAAATTTTCCAAACATTTGCAAATTAAACCACAAAATTCTAAATAACCCATGGGCCAAAGAAGTCTCAAGAGAAATTTAAAAACAAATAATTTGAACTCAATGAAAATGAAAATACAACTTATCACAATTTGGGGATGAAGAAAAAGCAATTTTTAGAGGGAAATTTATAACACCAAATGCATATGTTAGAAAAGAAGAGAGATATACAATTAATAACTTAGGTTTCCACTGTTCTTTGAGACAACTGGCTGTTCTCTGCTATCCGGCAGAGCTGCTGACAAGGTACTTTGATGGCTTCTGGTTAATTTGGTCACAGGATGTATTCCTTGGCTAAGCAATTACGCTATTTGGTATCTGCAGTTGGGCAGGGCTGCAGTTGGGGTCTGAAGGGGGAACATTTCCAAACTAATTTTACAAGGCCAGCATCACCCTGATGCCAAAGCTAGACTAAGATATTACAAGAAAAAATCATGGGCCAATATCCTTGATGAACATGGATGCAAAAATCCTCAACAGAATATTAGCAAACTGAATTCCACAACACATTGAAAAAACTCATCCACCATGATCAAGTGGGATTTGTCCCTGAGATGCAAGCATGGTTCAACATATGCAAATTAATAAATATGATACATCACAATAGAATGAAGGACAAAAACTGTATGATCATTTCATCAGATGCAGAAAAAGAAGGGAACTCTTATACACTGTTGATGGGAATATAAATTAGTATAGCCATTATGGAAAACTGTAGGTAGGTTCCTCAAACTAAAAATAGAATTACCATAAGATCCAGCAATCCTACTTCTGGGTATTTACCCAAAAGATTTGAAATCAATTTCTCTGACTGCATCCCATGTTCATTGCAGCACTATTCACAGTAGCCAAGTTATGGAATCAACTTATGTTCATCAACAGATGAATGGATAAAGAAAATGTGGTATATACACACAGTAGAATACTATTCAGCCTTAAAAGGAAGGAAATTCTGTCATTTGTGACAACATGGATATAATGAATTAGAGAACATTATGCTAAGTGAAATAAACCAGACACAGAAAGACAAATACTACATGTTCTCAGTTATATGTGGAATCTAAGACAATTGATCTCATAGAGGTGGAATGTAGAATGGTAGTTAACAAAGGCTAGGGATTTGGGAGATTGGGGAGAAGATGATCAAAGGGTGAAAAATCTTAGGAGAAGTATGTTTTTTTAAAAAGTCTATTGCATAATGTGGTAAATATAGTTAATAGAATATTCTATATTACAAAATTGCAAAGAGAAATTTCAAATATTTTCACTACAAAAATGTTGAGTATTTGAGGTGATGGATATGTTAACTAGCTTGATTTAATTATTCTACATTGTATTCATAAACCATCACTTTGTACCCCATAAATGTACCCAATAATAAGTTGTCACTTTACAATTTAAAAATTGTATATTCCTATAAAATACAACATATTTAAAAGTATCTTCCTAAAAAAGATATTTTAAAAATTATGTCACAGGCAAAATGAAACTAGGCTTACTTTTTAAAAAAGGAATAAAGTTCATGCAGATTGGGCCAAGCGTGGTGGCTCACACCTGTAATCCCAGCACTTTGGGAGGCCGAGATGGGCGGATCACCTGAAGTCAGGAGTTCAAGACCAGCCTGGCCAACATGGCAAAACCCCGTATATACTAAAAAACCAAAAATTAGCTGGGTGTGGTGGTGCACACCTGTAATCCCAGCTACTCGGGAAGCTGAAGCAGGAGAGTCACTTGAACCCAGGAGGTGGAGGTTTCAGTGAGCCCAGATTGCGCCATTGCACTCCAGTCTGGTGACAAGAGTGAAACTCCGTCTCAAAAAAAGTTTATACAGATTGGAAGGCAAGAAATAAAACTGTCTATACTTACAGATGACATCATTGTCTATATAGAAAATTCCTAAGAATCTACAAAAAAAAAAAAAAAAAAAAAGAAAAGAAAACTTCCTGGCACCAATAGGCATGTATCCTGCAACACTGCAGGATACAAGGTCAATATATAAAAGCAAACTGCCTTTCTGTTTGCCATCAACGAACTACTAGACTTTGAAATTAAACTACAACAACAAAAAACATTTACAGTAGCATCAGAAAAGTATAAATCTAACAAAATATTTACAGAATCTATACACAGAAAGCCTCAAAACAGGGAAGAAAGAAGTAAAAAAAAATAAATAAATGAATTTCATATGCATGCATTGGAACATTCAGTATTGTAAAGATATCAGTTATTTGTAATTCGATGTATAGATTCAATCCAATCTTAATCAAAATCCCAGCAATCTTTTTTGTAGATATCAGCTAATTTATTCTATAATTTATATTGAAGAACAGAGGATTTAAAACAGCCAGCCCAACTCTGGAAAAAAAAAAAGTGAAGGACTCACATTACCTGATTTCAAGCATAAGTATAGAGCTATCACAATCAAGTACACTGATAAATAAAATGGAATACAGAGCTCAGAAATAGAACCACACTAATATAATCAACTGATTTTTTACAAAAATACAAAGGCAATTCAATGAAGAAAGAATTCTCTTTTCAATAAATGTTGATGGAAAAATTGAACATCCATATGCAAAAAAAAAGAGAGAGAGAGAGAGCATAGACACAGACCTTACATCTTACTCAAAAATTAACTCAAAATGGATCATGGGCCTAAAGTTAAAATGCAAAAGTAAGAAACTTTTTGAAAAACATCAGGAAAAAATCTGTGTGATCTTGGCTTTGGTAATGGAATTTTAGATACACCAAAAGCACAATCCATAAAATTAGAAATTGGTAGAATTGGACTTTTTAAAAATTTTTGCTTTGTGAAATAAAATGTTAAGTGAATGATAAGACAAACCACAGGCTGGGAGAAAATTGTTTGCAAATCAAATAGATCATAACGGACTTTTATCCAAAGTACATATACAATTCATAAATTTCACAGTAAAAAAAACCCAACTGTATTACTCTGTTTTCACCCTGCTGATAAAGACATACCCAAGACTGGGAAGAAAAAGAGGTTTAATGGACTTACATTTCACATGGCTGGGGAGGCCTCACAATCATGGTGGAAGGCAAGGATGAGCAAGTCATATCTCACATGGATGGCAGCACGCAAACAAGAGAGGTTGTTCAGGGAAACTCCCATTTTTAAAACCATCAGATCTCTTGAGACGCATTCACTATTACAAGAACAGCACAGGAAAGAACTGCTCCCATAAGTCAATCACCTCCCACTGGGTTCCTCTCATGACATGGAATTGTGGGAGTTACAATTCAAGATGAGATTTGGGTGGAGACACAGCCAAACTATATCATTCCACCCCTGGTCTCTTCTAAATCTCATGTCCTCACATTTCAAAACCAATTATGCCTTCCCAACAATCCCCACAAGTCTTAAGTCATTTCAGCATTAACTCAAAAGTCCACAGTCCAATGTCTCATCTGAGACAAGGCAAGTCCCTTCTGCCTATGAGCCTGTAAAATCAAAAGCAAGTTAGTTACTTCCTAGATACAATGGGGGTACAGGCATTGGGTAAATACAGTTGATCCAAATGGGAGAAATTGGCCAAAACAAAGGGGCTACAGGCCCCATGCAAGTCCAAAATCCAGCAGGGCAGTCAAATTTTAAAACTCAAAAATGATCTCTTTTCACTCCGTATCTTGCATCCGGGTCACACTGATGCAAGAGGTGGGTTCCCATGGTCTTGGACAGCTCCACCCCTGTGGCTTTTCAGGGTATAGCCTCCCTCCTGGCTGCTTTCATGGGTTGGCAGTGAGTGTCTATGGCTTTTCCTGGCACATGGTGCAAGCTGTCAGTGGATCTACCATTCTGGGGTCTGGAGGATGGTGGTCCTCTTCTCAAGGCTCCACTAGGCAGTGCCCCAGTAGGGACTCTGTGTGGGGGCTCCCACCCCACATTTCCCTTCTGCATTGCCCTAGCAGAGCTTCTCCATGATGGCCCTGCCCCTGCAGCAAACTTCTGGCTGGGCATCCAGGCGTTACCATACATCCTCTAAAATCTAGGGGGAGGTTCTCATACCTCAGTTCTTGACATCTGTGCACTCACAGGCTCAATACCACATGGAAGCTGCCAAGGCTTGGGGCTTCCACCCTCTGAAGCCATAGCTTGAGCTGTACCTTCATCCCTTTTAGTCACGGCTGGAGTGGCTGGGATGCAGGGCACAAAATACCTAGACTGCACACAACACCGGGACCCTGGGCCCAGCCCACAAAACCACATTCACCTCCTAGGCCTCCAGGCTTGTGATGCGAGGGGCTGCCATGAAGACCTCTGACATGCTCTGTAGACATTTTCCCCATTGTCTTGGTGATTAATATTTGGCTTCTCATTACTTATCCACATTTCTGCAGCCAGCTTGAATTTCATTTCAGAAAATGGGATTTTCTTTTCTATTGCATTGTCAGGTGGTAAATTTTCCAATCTTTTATGCTCTGCTTCCCTTATAAAACTGAATGCCTTTAACAGCACCCAAGTCACCTCTTGAATGCTTCGTTGCTTAGAAATTTCTTCTGCCAGATACCCTAAATCTCTCTCAAGTTCAAGTTCCACGAATCTCTAAGGCAGAGGCAAAATGTCACCACTCTTTTTGCTAAAACAAGAGTCACCTTTGCTCCAGTTCCCAACGAGCCCTTCATTTCCATCTGAGACTACCTCAGCCTAGACTGTATTGTCCGTATCGCTCTCAGCATTTTGGTCAAAGCCATGCAAAAAGTCTCTAGGGAGTTCCAAACTTTCCCACATTTTCCTGTCTTCTTCTGAGCCCTCCAAACTCTTCCAACCTCTGTCTGTTATCCAGTTCCAAAGTTGCTTCCACATTTTCGGGTGTCTACAGCAGCACCCCATTCTACTGGTACCAATTTACTGTATTAGTCCATTTTCATGCTGCTGATAAAGACATACCTGAGACTTGGAAGAAAAAGAGGTTTAATGGACTTACAGTTCCACATGGCTGGGGAGGCCTCACCATCATGCCAGAAGGCAAGGATGAGCAAGTCATATCTCATGTGGATGGTGGCATGCAAAATAGAGAGCTTGTGCAGGGAAACTCCCGCTTTTAAAACCATCAGACCTTGTGAGACTCATTCACTATCAAGAAAACAGTGCAGGAAAGACCCACCCCCTTAATTCAATCACCTCCCATTGGGTTCCTCCCATGACATGTGGGAACTGTGGGAGTTACAATTCAAGATGAGATTTGGGTGGGGACACAGCCAAACCATATCACCAACCCAGTGAAAAATGAACAAAACATAGGAACAAACACTTCATCAAAAAAGATATACAGATGGCATATAATAAGCATATGAAATGATGCTCAGTTTCATATGTCATTAGGAAAATACAAATTAAAAATGAGATAGTACTACATATGCATTTAAATGGCTAAAAAAACCTGATAATACCAATTGCTGGCAAAGATGTGGAGAAATAGGAACTCTCATTCCTTGCTGGTGGGGATGCACAATGGTACATCCAGTTTGGAATATAGTTTGACAATTTCGCATAAAACTAAACATACTCTTACCATATCATCAAGCAGTTGTGTTCCTTGGTATTTACCCAAATGAACTGAAAATTTATCTTCACACAAAAATCTCCACTCAAAAGTTTCTAGCAGCTGAATCATCAATGCAGAAGACTAGAAGCAACCAAGATGTCTTTTAAGTGGTGAACAGATAAATAAACAA
The DNA here is from genome assembly GCF_000001405.40 of Homo sapiens. Classification (NCBI taxonomy): domain Eukaryota; kingdom Metazoa; phylum Chordata; class Mammalia; order Primates; family Hominidae; genus Homo; species Homo sapiens. The sequence goes on along the minus strand of NC_000001.11, from coordinate 66,879,409 downwards.
TAGCATGTCCATATAATGGAATATTATTCAGCAATAAAAAAATGAGCTATGAATCCATGCAACAAGATTGATGAATCTTAAATACTTATTGCTAAGTCAAATAAACCAGTCTGAAAAGACTATATCCTGTCTGATTCTACTTATATGACAGTCTAGAGAAAGGCAAAACTATAGAAACAGAAAACAAATCAATGGTCGGTAGCAGGGCCTTGAAGAGAAGGGAGAGTTGAATAGGTGAAGCATAATGAATATTTTTAGGATGGTAAAACTATTCTGTATAGATACTATAATGGTGGATACATAGCACCATGCCTTTACTAAAACCCAAAGAATATTACAACACAAAAAGTGAGACTTAAAATGTGGGAGGTTTTTTAAAATCACAATTAAGAAATACGAGGATCCTACAATGGAATACAGACTGTAACAAAAGAATCAAACTGCCTTACAAATGTATAATATAACCCTCCAGAAGGAGTGGGAGGAAAGGGTATATACCTAAATAATATTGAAAATGAGTAGAGGCTATAAGATTAAAGACAAAAGGAACTGCAAATAAACACTCTAGTTTATAGTCACTTCCCATGGGGGTATTGGTTAATAATTCTGAATCATTGTACATGCATACTGGGATTGAACATGTAAGTAATTGGAGGGCAGATGGTAGGAACTCACCATTGTTGGAGTGGGAGATTACAGAAAGCAAGAAGGGAAGCTAGAATTATTTATGTGGTATTGAACAAGTGTCAAAAACATTAATATAAACTCATGTTTAGCTTAATAGAGATATAGATGAACATAGATGTATAGATATGTTTGTATATACAAGTTAGTATACATACAAATATTTCTTAGCTCTGTCCACTAAGAAAGCCTAGAAGTAATGATACCCCAGAAGCAGCAAGCACTCTCAGTGCTCAGATTTTGGTTTCTAATTCCATTCTCTAATAAAAGCAACTAGGGCTCTTTGAAGAAATGCCTGATTCTAGAGTTGGTGCATGGATACAAGATGAGCCAGCAAGTAAAGAAGTGCTCAAACAAAACAAAATAGAACAAAACTCTACAATAAACAAACAACAAAAAGGGGTATTTGAGAGGAACCTAGCAGCCAACAGAAAGAGCTCACAATGGCAAAAGGTAGAACAATTTCAACAACAAAATAAATATTGTAGAATTGGATTATAACCCAAATTATAAAATAAATACGCATGAGTTCATAGTAACACAAACTAATATTGAATAAATGAAGAGGAGAGAATAGAAAAATCTTTTTACACGAGAATTCCAAATAATTATATAGATATTCTTCCCTCAAGAAGGTGGATCTTAACTTCCCATTCTACAAGTATGGGCTTTGCATGTTGACTTTCTTCTAAACAGTACAATATGTAAAAGAGAGAGGGGGGAAAATAACTTTAAAGCAGAGGATATTGACAGGTGGCCAAGATTAACACCATCAATGATAAGTTATGATGTTAGCATGTATCTTTGATATGATATGATGAGAATGACACTTTACCTCTGTAGTCTTCCTCCCAGAAACCCATAACACTTGTTTAACATCAGAAAATCACAAATTGAAGGACATTCTACAAAATACATGACTGCTGCTTTTCAAAACTCTCAAAGTCATCAAAAACAAGGAAATTCTGAGAAACTGTCACAGTGTAGAGAGCCGTAAGGAGACATCATGACTAAATGTAATGTGGTGTCTTGGATGAGATCCTGGAAGAGAAAAATGACATTAGTTAAATTTAAGGAAATTAGAATAAAATATGGACTTTATATGATGATAAAATAGCAATATTGTAGTTGTACTAAATGTACCAAAGTAATATTAACAATAGGGAAAACTGGATATAGGGTATACAGAAACTCTAATTATTCTTACAACTCTTCTGTATACCTAAAACTATTCTAAAATACAAAGTTTACCAAATGTTGAAAAAAAGTCTAGAGGTAAGTCCAAGCAATTATTGCTAAGCCCTTGGGTGATTCTGTTGCAGGGTAAAGTTTGAGAACCATTGCTTTACCATATAACTAGAAGGAGTTTTGTGCTTAGAAAAGTTTGTGGTTTTAATTGCAAGGTAGGGGCCAAACAGCATCTCATGCACAGGTTGTCTCTGGATGCTCTCAGTTAATAAATAAGTCACTAATAGATACTTTTGACAAGTGAGGAGAAGGGAGGAAGAATAAACTGCTTTTGTGACTCAATTATGCTGTAATTGTATTGGGCCCATTGAAGCTAAAGTAGAGGCCAAGGAAGGCTTCATAGGTTGTTCTCTACTGGGGTCTCTGAGAATAGCCAAACAATTGCATCCCTTTTCCTCACCCTGTTCTGAATTAATTGAAAAATATGATAAGGGTAAATATGATGAATTGGAGCCAAAATATCACATTATGGATAAAAGTCCCCTGTTAAACCCTCACATTTGACAGACTTACCCACCCATTCACGAAAGGTTCTAGACCACTTCAGGACTCTCCTAACCCTCTCAAGGGGATTCATGAGTAAAGGTGTGGAGAGGAGCCATGATTGTCATACTAGGCTGGAGCTCCCTCCTCTGGGAAGAACCTTTAGGAGTGTAGATGTTCCCTCCATCATTGGCAGTCAAGAGGAGCAGGCAAAACAGATTGATAGAATTGTGATTCTTTTCTAGGTGGAGAGAGAGGTGTACTCAAAATCTGTGGTACAGCCAGTCTAAAGTTAGGGGATCTGACCCATGAAATAGGCAGATTCTATAGGTAAAGAGTGTGGTTTGGGGGTAGTTTCTGAACATATAGTAAATTCAAGCAACATTTAGGAAATGGGTGATACAGAACTCCAGGCAAAAATCCTATTTGCCATCCTAGGGCTTTGTCTATGAATGGTAAGTCCTCTGCCATCAAGAAGGTTGACTAGACTATTACTTTTCCCAACCGTAATAACTGAGATGTTACCATATTAGGTTCTATATATGTAATTTATCTAATATAAGATCATTTATTTTTATAATTAGCATGTCTGTGCCACAATGTTACTTTGAAGTTTATATAACTAAATTGCAAAGGAAGATCTGGTGGTCTAACAGTAAGAAACCTCAGAGAATCAAGAGCCTAAATCGCTAGCCTTAAAATTGTTAGTATTCCTGTGTGGACTTTTCACTTAACCTCTGTTTTTTATTTTCTTCATTGACAAAAAGTTTGGACTACATGTACCTCAAATTTTGTTCTTGTGGATAACTCATTTACTTCTTTACTCATTTTGTCTGTCTTAGTCAAATTTACTTATATAAATAAAATCTTTTACTTATTTTTAAAATTTATTACACAAATAGAAAAAAATTAAAGAATATTTTTAAAAAAGAAGAATCACCCAAAACTAAAGAAGATTTGCAACTTAAAATTTTCTGTTTCCTGACCTTGTTTATCTGCATAATATTTTACATTCTTATTACCATAGTACAGATCATGTTCTGGGCTGCTCTGTCATTTAACATTTTAGAACATATTTTCAAAAATTTGTATTATTACATTACTTACTATTTATTAGTCATAGATGGTATATCATAATTTATTTAGTCATTAAAAATGTTGATGATTGGTTTTTGGAATTAATAACTTGTTTTTTTTTAGATTATAAGGAAGGTGTTTTTCTCAGCTCTGAACCTTTTTAAGAGGAGACTGAGACGTTTTTAAGTTTTCCTAAAGCTGTCCAAGCTTTACCTATCCCAAAGGCTCATGAATGTCTGCTGTATACCCTGTTGTTGATAGAAAACATTGAACTCTCACTTATATACTTTCTCATGGCTGTTACCCACATAACCAATTCCAAACTCTCCCAGCTGTGAAACTCAATTCTCAATGGAATTTTCCAAGGACCTTGGATCAAGTTCTGACTGTCCTAAAGGTTTATGGCCAATTATTTTCACTCTATTATTTGCATAGACATTGGTTCCAATTTTATTTCTATAGTCAACCAGGACTAATATAGTAGAGTCTTTACCCCTGGTGAAGATGATTAGAGGTGGAATGACATCTAAATTAAAAGACAGCTAATAAGGAGGGCAAATGAAGGATAAAAGTTTGCTAAAGCAACGAATTAGAAGTTAACTTCACGGCTCAAAGAAGTGTTGCTTATTATGCCCCCTAAATATACTTGCCTCCATATTCTTGAGTAGTACCAACAGTTGCTAACCCCAGTTCCCAATTAATATTGTGGGATAGTTATAATGGAATACCCTTAGAGTTATGACTATTGGTATTAGACTGGGGTAGGCTTGTTATGTCAGCAAGAAGGCTGTTTATGGCCTACAAGATCCAATTTGGCTTCAGAAAGGTTGAATATACTACATCTCACAACCTGGCCTGTTCCTTGACTATATAAACCACCTGCAATATATTACCCATTATGGTATATTGGTGACTAGAAGGAAAAATGCAAATTAAAAATAGCAATTAGTAAATGATTTTAATTAAGTCATGTATTTTAGATTTGCAAGTTATAAGGGCAGCACCTGAAAAAATTGTAACAAAAGAAGACCTGGAGAAGAATATAGAGATAATACTCACAGAGACAGAAACACTGAGATTTTTTGACTTGCCCACAGTCATGGTCTCTGTAGAATCTGAAGAAGCTGAGAAAGTAACGTATGTATGGTTCAGTTGTCTACATTGTTTCTGTAATTCAAATGCTAAGCCAAGGGTTCTTATCCTTGTTTCTGTGAAGGGTCCTTGGGGGTTCTGGGGTATACACTATGGGGTTTGGGGGGAGACTGTATATTCCCTACAAAATTATATACAAAGTTATATAAGTGCCATGTGAACTTTTATGTTCATGTTTATGTTGTGTGTAAATTTTTCTAGAGGAAGAGCCCATAGCTTTACCATATTTTTAAATAATTAGGCGAACTTCTAAGCCAAATAACAGAATAAGCTTCCAAGTCTCTATATAGGTTTTAATTATTTTTACTTTTATACATATATAAATCATTTTCAATTTAAAAAGAAAGAAATGACATTTTTATAGTAATAGCCAAACCGCAATTACTTTTGCACCAACCTAATATTTAAAACTTAGGAAGGCAAAATATGGGTAAATAAATGAATTTACTATATTAGAGAAGTTTTCCATTTCTCTTTATTAATGAATATAAATAGAGTTAGTTTTGGTCTCAAGTATTTTGACAGTCTGTTGTTAGGCAGATACACATTTAAGGATTGTTATGTTTTCATGAAGAATTGACCCCTTTATCATTTTGTACTATCCCTCTTTATCCCTAATAATTTTTCTTGTTCCGCTCTCCTCCATCTAAAATTAATATAGCTACTATAAGTAGATTATTAATAGTTATTCTGATTATTTTACCTAAAGTATTATTTGAATAGGATTTATAGTACTAAAAACTCCATCACTAAAATAATTTTAGGGTATTATTCCTTCTCAAAATCTAAAATATTATAATATGGTTTGGACTATAAAACATAGTACATGTTAGATCATGAATAGCGTACCTTTAAAAGCTCATAAGAAGGAAGGGAAAGTTCCTAGGACCAAAAAAAAAAAAAAAAAAAAAAAGGAAAGAGGGAAAAAAGAAAGGGACAGATAATTGCTTTGAAATCAGAAGGGGAGAAATGCTGGGAAGAAATGTTAATATTAACATATGGATCTGGAGACCAGTGATGAGTCTTGGGTTCTCCCAACCCTTACACTGAAAGAGCTGAAAGAGAGATTCTTGTGTTAAGCCAAGACTCTCAAAAGGAGCTCAATTATCTCAACTGATCCTAGGCCAGTAGAGTCAACTCCCTACTGTCAGAAGCAAACACAAATCTCTGGAGCAAAGCATACCACCATTTTGGCTCTTAAGATTCCTTCAGATCACCTGGATGTGGTGGCTCATGCCTGTAATCCCAGCACTCTGGGAGGCCAAGGCAGGAGGATGGCTTGAGCCCAGGAGTTTGTACCAGCCTGCAACATGGCGAGAGCCCTATCTCCACAATTTTTTTTTTCTTTTTTGATTAGCCGGGCTTGGTGGTACATACCTGTAGTCCCAGCTGCTCGGGAGGCTGAGGTAGGAGAATCACTTGATTGATCACGGGAAGTTGTGGCTGCAGTGAGCTGTGTTCATGCCATTGCATTCCAGCCTGGTCAACCGAGAGAGACCATGTGACCATGTCTAAAAAAAAAAAAAAGGAAGAAGAAGAGGAGGGAGAGGAGGGAGAAGGAGAGGGAGAGGGAGAAGGAGAGGGAGAAGGAAAGGGAGAAGGAGAAGGAGAAGAATTCCCTCAGGTTGAATTTGGTATAGATCCTGAAGACTATAGATAATTATATTATCAGATATAGAATATAAAATATGTGTGAAATGTTTAAACAAATAAAAGACAGAGTTAAAACATGATTAACATTAAGAAACTGTCAGGCCGGGTGTGGTAGCTCAAGCCTTTAATCCCAGCACTTTGGGAGGCTGAGGTGGGTGGATCACTTGAGGTCAGGAGTTTGAGACCAGCCTGGCCAACATGATGAAACCTTGTCTTTATTAAAAATACAAAAATCAGCTGGGCATGGTGGTGGGCACCTGTAATCCCAGCTACTCAGGAGGCTGAGGCACGAGAATTGCTTCTCCAGGAGGGGAAGGTTGCAGTGAGTGGAGATCACCCTGGACAACACAGTGAGACCACATCTCTTATTATTATTATGTATAAATAAATAAATAGATAAATAAGAGCATTGGAATATAAAAGTAATTTCATTAAAAAATAAAAATAGAAAAAATATTTTTTAAAAACACGTCACCTACAGAGGAACAATTAAACTGACAGCATTATTAGGGATAAAGTGTACTTCATAATGATAGGAAGGTATAGTAATCCTGAACTTGAATATTCCTAATAAAATAACATGGGCCAGGCACGGTGGCTCACACCTGTAATCCCAGCGCTTTGGGAGGATGAGGTGGTTTGGATCACCTGAGGTCAGGAGTTCATGAGCAGCCTGGTCAACATGGTAAAACCTCGTGTCTACTAAAAATACAAAAATTAGCTGGGCGTGGTGGCTTATGCCAGTAGTACCAGCTTCTCGGGAGGCCGAGGCAGGAGAATCACTTGAACCTGAGAGGCGGAGGTTGCAGTGAGCTGAGGTCACGCCACTGCACTCCAGCCTGGGTGACAGAGCAAGACTCCGTCTCAATAAATAAATAAATAAATAAATAAATAATAAATAAATAAAATAACCTGAAAATATGTGAAGCAAAAATTGGAAACTTGATACATATCCTGTTAAAGTAGGAGATTTAAACACACCTCTCTTAATTATTGGTAGGTCAACCAGAGAACACATTAGTATGGATATAGAAAATTTGAATAAAAACTTAATGGTCAGATACAGACTTCTGCACTCAACAATTAGAGAACACATTCTCTTTCAGCACACATGCAGCATTTATAAAAAATTATTCATAAGGCTATGAAGCAAGGTCTCAAAAATTTCAGAATAGAATTATACAAATGAAAATTTCTGGCCACAGTGCAATAAAGTTAATAACATAAATCTCAACTAAAACAGACACATTTACATACACATTTGGAAGTTCAAAAACACATTTCTAAATTCCTCATGGGTCATCAAAGAAGTAATGGAAAATTTAAAAATATTCAGAACTAAAACCTACATGGAGTTAGTACTAGCATGTTATTGATAAGGTACCGATAGTAGTAGGGATGTTGGGAAATAGACACAGTATAAAAGAGTCCTCTGGAGGTCATTTAGTGCAGTCTTTTCCTAAGGCTTTTTTTGAAGTCTCACTTCACTTTTTGGTGCAAGCCACATTAAGGAAAGTAATTTTAGGGAAAAGAATAATATAAAGAGATAATACGTGTGGTGATGATTCTTATTAATGAGTTGGATACACTTTATTTTTTACAGTCAGAGAAACAAGAATTATGAAGTCCTTTGTAGAAACAGATTAGGCAATGACCTATATGTTGAAAGGATGATGCAGACTTTCAATGGAGCACCAAAGAATAAAGATGTTCAATGTGATAAAATCATAATGGAAGATAAAGGTAATTTCTATCATTCTGCTTGATAAACTATAATGTTCTAATATACATTTTTTGAGTCTGTCAATCGACAAGTGAATATTGAAATGTATAAAGCAAAAATAAAAATAATTTGGCCAAACCACAACAGTAGTTGGACACTGTGTTCTATAGCTTTCAGAATTTGACATGTTAAGTAATAAATATATAGATTTGAATAACATAATTATTCATCTTGGTTTTTATGCATACTATATCATAGAACTTTATACTCTTTAAACGTTTATATAAACTGATTATTTACTATGTCACAAAGAATATCAGCCATAACTATTAACATTTTAAATGTGTCAGACACTATGTCCTTCACATGTATTAACTGGTTTAATTTTTACAGCAACCCTATGAGGTAGATACTATTATGCTTCCCCATTTTATAGATGAGGAAACAGGCAAAGAGAAGTTTGCTAACTGTTCTGGTTCTAGAGCTTGTGCACTTAACTACTATACTTACCACCTCTCACTGTGTACAAATTAACAACCCTGAGCACATTGCATAGCCAAAATCTGTAGGGTGTAGCCAAAGAAGTAATTACAAGCAAAGTTATATTTTTCCTTTTTTTTTTTTTTTTTTTTTTTTTTTTTGCGTCAGAGTCTCACCTTGTCACCCAGGCTGGAATGCAATAGCACAATCTTGGCTCACTGCAACCTCTGCCTCCTGGGTTCAAGCAATTCTCCCCCTCAGCCTCCCAAGCAGCTGGGATTACAGGCACCTGCCATCATGCCCGGCGAATTTTTGTATTTTTATAGAGATGGGTTTTCACCATGTTGGCCAGGATGGTCTTGAACTCCTGAACTCAGGCGATCCGCCCACCTCAGCCTCCCAAAGTGCTGGGATTACAGGCATGAGCCACTGTGCCCAGCTGGTTATATTCTTTTTTTTTTTTTTTTGAGGCACAGTTTCGCTCTTGTCACCCAGGCTGGAGTGCGATGGCGCAATCTTGGCTCACTGCAACCTCCGCCTCCCGGGTTCAAGCAATTCTCCTGCCTCAGCCTCCCGAGTAGCTGGGATTACAGGTGCCCACCACCATGGCCAGCTAATTTTTGTATTTTTAGTAGAGATGGGGTTTCACCATGTTGAAGGCTGGTCTCAAACTCCTGACCTCAGGTGATCCTCCCATCTCGACCTCCCAGAGTGCTGGGATTCCAGGCATGAGCCACCGCGCCTGGCCATGGCCGGTTTTATTCTTAATTGCCTTTATTATGCAGCAAAACTATAAGCTAGTTTTTACAAAAGATTAACAGAACAAACCCCTAGCAAAAAAATTAATCATTGCTTTTAATCAAAGAACATACATACATCTTATTGGTGAGAGCATTTATTCCTTACTCCTAATGTTTTCTTTTATGTGGAAGAACATGAGTGGATATCTTTATCTCCATCTCTTTCTATTCTCTCACTCATTCCTACTTAGGAGTGGAGGTATGACTTACTTGATTGGTAAATAACCATACATGGGGATGTACGGTTATTCCCCTGCTTTCCCTCTTCTAGTAGCCTGCTGGCAGAAAGGAATACAAATTCTGATTGGTTTCTCCATGCTATAAATTTTATAGGGGGAGGACTCAACATTGTTAGGCCTGTGGTTATCAAGCTCATTGTTGCTGCACATCTAAACTGTATCAGCCAATCTAAACATTATCAGTAATAAAGGTAATTTTGATCTCTGTTTTATTCCTTGTCAGTTTCTTAATTGGTGCAAACTTGGATGGACCCAGAAAAGTGAATTCCTAGATGATATTTAGTAACTTTTTCTAGTCCTTAACCAATTCATATTAAGAAACCTATTCATATTTTTTCCAAATATTAATATGTAGTAAAGGGTTTAAATATTTTTAAATGGATTACTGTATGTAACTTTAGGTTTCCAATTCATATTAGGAAACCTATTCATATTTTTTTCCAAAAGTAAAGGGTTTAAATATTTTAAATGGATTACTGTATGTAACTTTATGCTAAAATATTTGAAAATAAAAAAAGAATGATTCTTTATGGAACTCAAAATTATCAACACTCCCCAAGAAGTAATAGAATTATACATTAACTCAAAGAAATGGGAAAATTTTATCAAAAATACCATTTTAAAATGGCCTAGATCAAGGTCAAATTACTTTAGAGGTTTATTCTGTAAATGTGAGAATACTTTATAATATTCATGTGTATTAGGATTCTTCAGAAAAACAGAACCAATAGAATATGTATATATATATATATATTCATATCTAGGATTTATTTATTTATTTATTTATTTATTTATTTTGAGACAGAGTCTCACTCTGTCGCCAGGCTGGAGTGCAGTGGTATAATCTCGGCTCACTGCAACCTCCGCCTCCTTGGTTCAAGTGATTTTCCTGCCTCAGCCTCCCAAGTATCTGGGACTACAGGCGCACCAACACACCCAGCTAATTTTTGTATTTTTAGTAGAGACGGGATTTTACTGTGTTGGCCAGGATGGTCTCGATCTCCTGACCCCATGATCTGCCCACCTCGGCCTCCCAAAGTGCTGGGATTACGGGCATGAGCCACTGTGCCTGGCCAATTTATAGTTTATATCTAGTATTTATTTATAAAGCGATTTATTACAGGGCATTGGCTTATGTAATTATGGAGGCTGAGAAGTACCATAATCTGCCATGTGCAAACTGGGGACACAGGAAAGCTAATGTGGTAGTTTGAAGCCCTGAGAGTTGAAGAGCCAACAGTATCGATTCCAGTCTACCTCTGAACACCTGAGAACCAGGAGCACTGAGGGCAGGGGATTGATGCCCCTACTGAAGTAATCAGGCAGAGAGTGAATTCAACCTTCCTCCACCTTCTAATTCTATTCAGCCCTCAGTGTATTGGATGATGCCCACCACATTGGAGAGAGCCATCTGCTTTACTCAGTCCACCAATTCAAATGTTAATCTCTTGTGAATACACCCTCACAGATACACCCAGATACAACGTTTAACCAGCTAGCTAGGCATCCTGTGCCCAGTCAGGTTGACATATAAAGTTAACCATCACACCATGTTATTTAAATTGCTCCAAGTCATATAAAATATGAGGATATTTTGTAGTTTTTAAAACAAGGTTAACAAAACATTACAAAGAAAATATAGACTAATCTCATAGATATGTGGAAAAATTAAAAATATAGTAGTATAAATTTGAACCCTCAAGGCATTAGGAATCCCTATAGCAACAACTTATTCTAGGAGTATAAAGATTATTAAATATCAGGAAAGCTATGATTCATCATTACAAAATCATATTTATAGGTTTAATGTAAAACAAGAACGGTAAATGCCAAAAAGAGCAGTTGATGCAATTCAGACTTCATTCCTGATGAAATTATCTGTACAGGAATGGTATGGATCTTCTTGATAAAATATTTAAAATAAAAAGCAAAATTTTTGCTTTCAGGTGAACCACTAGAGATAATAATTGCTGTGATCTATTAAATATAAGAACCAGAACATAGTGTCACTTATCACAGTAACTCTTCAAGTTTGTTTTGGCAGTTCCAACTATTGCAGTAACACAGCAACAGATATAAGATACTAATATTTATAAGGATTCAAAAACAAATAGTCATTATTTGTAGGTGACATTAGTGTCTACTTAGCTACCTCAGGAATATCAACTAAAAAAAATAGTTCCAGGATGATGCAACAAAAATGGCAGAGTAGGTAGTTCTGACGTGTCCCTCCACAGAAATGCTCCTAAAATTGAGCAAACGCTGTCAGAATCTGTTGCATTCATGGAACAAGAACAGAATGTTCTTTAAAAAAAAATCCAAAGAATAAAAAGATCTTGATAGCTTAATAAAATGTTTGGAAGATAACAAAAAAAAAATTCCAAGAAGTAGAGAAGAAAAACAAAGAGATGGAAAATCTAAGAGAAACAATAAAATTAGAGGACCAATCCAGAAAGTTCAATAGTCAATAATGGTTCCTAAAATAGAAAATGGAGGGGAGGAGATAATTCAGTAAAACCTCTCAGACTTGAAAGTCAAAAGTTGGAAGATTGAAGGGGAACAACAAGTGCCAGCATATTACCAATAAATGAAATTTTAAAATGTGGGGGACAGAAAATGTCCACAAACTACCAGAGAGAAAAATAAATAGGTCAGTGTAGAGAACAAGACATCAGACTGGTTGGAAACAAGAATGTAATGGAACACTGCTGATATGCTTGGCTGTGTTCCCACCCAAATCTCATCTTGAATTTTAATCCCCATAATTCCTACATGTTGTGAGAGGGAAGAGGTGGAGATAATTGAATCACGGGGGTGGTTACCTTCATGTTATTCTTGATAGTGAGTGAGTTCTCATGAGATCTGATGGTTTTATAAGGGGCTTCCCCCTTCGCTCGTCACTCGCTTTTCTCACCTGCTGCCATGCAAGACATACCTTCCACCATGACTGTGAAGCCTCCCTTGCCATGTGGAACTGTGAGTCAATTAAAATTCTTTATAAATTACCCTTGGTAATTTTTAATTTTAATTTATAATTACCCTTGGGTATGTCCTCATAGCCACATGAAAATGGACTAATACAACTGCCTTCAAAATTTAGAAGGTAAATAATTTCCAGTCTAGATACTACATCCAACCAAATGTCAAGTATGATGGTAGAATAAAGACATTTTCATATATGCAAAGTATCAAAATAATTTACCCCTCCTGTATATTTTTTCAAGAAGTCAAGGATGTGCTCAACCAAAACCAACTGTGAAACAAAAAAGAAGAAGACAATAAAATACATTGAACAGGAGATCTGACATAGGAGTGAGGTGATAGTAGTTCCCAGAAGGATGATGACTAGATAGCCTAGGATTTCAGCTGTTCACCAAACATAGAAGGCAACCTATTTACATTAAAACTTGAGATTGACATATTGATCACTACCATAACCTAGATGCTTGCTAACATTATACAATCTCTTTAACCTGAGGACAGAATACTTAGGTACATTATCGGTCTGAATTCTTTTCTGCATCTAGCTTGCATTTACCATTCTTTTTTTTTTCTTTTTTTTTTGAGACAGAGTCTCATTCTGTCGCCCAGGCTGGAGTGCCATGGTGCAATCTCAGCTCACTGCAACCATCGCCTCCTGGATTCGAGTGATTCTCCTGCCTCACCCTCCCAAGTAGCTGGGACTACAAGTGCCTGCCGTCACACCTGGCTTATTTTTGTATTTTTACTAGAGATGGGATTTCACCGTTTTGGCCAGGCTGATCTCAAACTCCTGACCTCAAGTGATCCACTGTCCTCAGCCTCCCAAAGTGCTGGGATGAGACATGAGCCACCACACTGCCTTTACCATTCTTAATCCAGTTCCCGCTTTCCTTTTCAGTAGGCCTCCATAGTTAAGCTGAAGCTCAATTATTTGAAATGCCACCTTTCCATAAGTGACTGTATGTATACTGTCAGGGAAAACTTACTCCTCCCTTTTTGTGAACCTTTACAGAAATAACTTCTGCTAAATTAACACTTCTGGCCTCTCTCTATACATTATTTACTCATTCCCAGGAAAAGAGAAGTGACTAATTCCATAAGAGAATTTAGGAGAAGGAATGAAGCTCGGTCATTTCTGGCTGAGGCACTTTTTGTTAAGTCTGTCCACTTGCAGAAAACATGCAATCTGGGCTGTTCTTACCCCTGTGGAGGAAGTCTGTGCTTGTCTAGCTGTGACAGTTACTGGTTAGTAATTCTTCCCTATATTCTGGAAGGAAGAATTAGCAAGTCCATTTAGTTGCAGATTTAAGGCTACATTTTTCAATTAGACTTATCAGTAATAAAGGTAATATTTTGACCTCCATTTCTCTGATTCTTGTATCTCTTCCAGTTTCATCCAAAATCAGGCAGGGAAAAGGTACACTTTTATTGATCCATAAAATCTTTTTGTTGTTGTTGTTGTTTTGAGATGGGGTCTTGCTCTGACACCCAGGTTGAAGGGCAATGGCGCAATCTTGGCTCACTGCAACCTCTGCCTCCCAGGTTCAAGTGATTCTCGTGCCTCAGCCTCCCAAGTAGCTGCGATTACAGGCACATGCCACCATGCTGGGCTAATTTTTGCATTTTTAGTAGAGATGGGGTTTTCACCATGTTGGCCAGGCTGGTCTCAAACTCCTGACCTCAAGTGATCTGCCTGCCTCATTCTCCCAAAGTGCTGGGATTACAGGCGTGAGCCATCACGGCTGGCATCCATAAAATCTTAATATTTACTTAATTTGCATCTAAATTCTTTAGTGTAAACTTTCATTATTTAAAAACTTTATTATGAAATATATACCGCAAACAGAAGAGCATACAACACATACATGTGTAGTGTAAAGAAAAAATCAATACCATGTACTCACCAGCCAGGATAAGAAATAGAACATCCCCAGTTGATTAGAAGCCCCCTGTACACTGTCCTATCACAACCCTCTTTCTTCTAGCCACCTCTAACAGAAGTATCCACTCTCCTAACTTTTGGGTTGATCATTACCTTGCTCTTTTTTGAGACAGAGTCTCGCTTTGTTGCCCAGGCTGGAGTGCAGTGGCACGATCTCGGCTCACTGCAACTGTCTCCTCCTGGGTTCAAGCGATTCTCCTGCCTCAGCCTCCGGAGTAGCTGGGTCTATAGGTGTCCGCCACCATGCACAGCTATTTTTAGTAGAGACAGGGTTTCACCATGTTGGCCAGGATGGTCTCGATCTCTTGACCTCGTGATCTGCCCGCCTCAGCCTCCCAAAGTGCTGGGATTACAGGCGTGAGCCACCGCGCCTGGCCTACCTTGCTCTTTTAAATGTTTTTTCTTTTATAGCAGATGCTGTAACTGAACTGCCCATATCACCTCTGCATTACCTCTTGCTAGCCAGTCTCCATCTGTTGACACCTGCGTTTCTTTGCCTTTTAGCAACTATTTAAACATGTATTACACTGAGAAATGCTTAAAAAAAAAGGCATAGTTTGGAATGCTTCTTTTCTGATACCAGTTAAAATAAGCTTTCTTTAATAGCATATAATTATAAAATTGGGAAGTCACAATTATTCATTATTACCCATCTTTTACATAACATTAGGGCATGAATTTTGAGACTTTTTTAACAGCTTTATTGAGTTAGAATTATATACAAAACTGCACTTATTAATGTATACAATTTGACAGGTTTGAAAGTTTGTTTCTTAGGTTAATTAAACTTGTTCAAATGAACAAATGTAACTATAGTACCCAAACTAAAATGAGCAGTAATTTGTTATCTACAAATAAGAGTCAACTTTTAATTATCCAAACATATTGTATTGCTTATTTATAATAGGCGTATTTATTTATGTAACAGTTATTAATGACCATGTAACAGTATGTTCCTATATGCTAAACTTACTAAACTTTCAGTTAAACAAAAGAAAAAGAAAGTTGAGTAATTCAGTGTTCAAAGATGTAATTTCTAAGTTCTCTTCATGAACATGGAAAATGTACTTTTTTCAACTGAGCAAAATATACTAGGTATTCTGTGCATGACTTTGTTAGATGGCCTTATGATAAGTTCATTAAGATATAAATATCATTAAGAAATTTGAGTTAACATTCTTACCATTGAGGCCAGGCATGGTGGCTCACACCTGTAATCCCAGCACTTTGGGAGGCTAAGGCAGGTGGATCACTTAAGGTCAGGAGATCAAGACCAGCCTGGCCAACATGGTGAACCCCATCTCTACTAAAAATACAAAAATTAGCCAGGCGTGGTGTGGGTGCCTGTAATCCCAGCTACTTGGGGAGGCTGAGGCAGGAGAATCACTTGAACCCGGGACACATAGGTTGCAGTGAACTGAGATTGCACCACTGCACTCCAGCCTGGGCAACAGAGCAAAACTCTTAAAAAAATGAAACAAAACAAACAAATAAACAAACAAAAAAACAAAAAACCCGATTATTACCGATTGAAAACATTGCTTTACTAGAGCTCCTCCATTTTGTATTAGGAAAATAATAGTTGTAGCAATTAAGAGGCTGCATTTATTAGATCCACATTCTGTTTTGATTTTTAAGGAAAAAAATTATTTATTAAATCACCATCCTTTAACTGAAAAATTGGTAAATTTAGCATGTACAAATATATTGTTACATGATCGCTGATAAAATAATTGCTGCATAAACATAAATCAGCAGTGGAAGAGACTTGGAGTTTTTAAGTTATTATTTAAAGATAAATAACATTGCCAATATTTGTTTGCAAACCATTGTTATATTTTTGATGATTTGAATAAATTTAACCTAAACTATAATTTTAAAAGAGACGATAATAACCGTACTACTATACAAGCTTCTTGAGATCAGAGTCTATCAATTTTCCCAGCAGGGGCAATCTTTTCACATAATAAGTGTATAGGAAATTTTACTTGATAAAAATGGAATCAGATGCTTGCAAATACCTGTTGACAATATATTATGTATTAATCATAAGTAAAGGAACATAAAAGTCTTTTTATAACATATTTGCCCAGATGCATATCACCAAGGCAGCCCTACAATGACAGACCAATGAGATTATGCTGTAGAGGTGTGGGGTAGTGGGAAGGGAGGTGTGATGGTCAGAAAATATTGTGAAGATAATTTGGAGTTATCCTTAAAGCATTAAAGTGTTTGTAGATACTAATAGTGTGATGACTAAGGATCTCTTGAGGTATCCTCATGATGTATTTCTTTGTCATTTCTATCCACTTCCAGTTATATTGTAAAACAATAGTGTTTTTAAAAATAAACAGTAGATTCTTTTTTAATTTTTAATTTCTTTAAAGAGAGGGTCTTACCATGTTGTCTAGGCTAGAGTGCAGTGGCTATTTATTCTCAGGTGTCATCATAGCACACTACTGCCTCTAACTCCTGGCCTCAAGTGATCCTCCTGCCTCAGGTGGACCAAGTAGCTGGCACGGGCAACTGCATCAGGCAATAGTAGATATTCTTATCTTAGCTTTTTCTGTGACTAGTTATGTATAAAGCTAAAATGTTGGAATTTGGTTTAAAACAATTTTTACCTTTCTGTGTCTTTATCTAGGCATAATGTCCACTGCCTGGGATTTGTATGATTCTTACAATGCTATGGAACTTGTATCTTTATCAGTAAAACAATCTGTGGTTGAGTCAAGTAGTAAAGCAAATGTACTTCCTAAAGATCAGGACCAAAGATTGCCAGGGAGCACTACAGAAAAAAGTAAGATTTCATTTATTTTAGTTTTTTTGAATGACTTTAACATGGCATTTTTAATAAATTCTTTTTTGGCAGTTAACAATGTTTTCTTTCTAATGGACCATGAAAAGTACAACTTTTACTCAGAAATAGCACTATTACTCTATCACATGGTCTTGGACTTAACTGAAAAATTTACATTTTTCTTGGATATCTGTCAAGAATTTTCAGTTTGTCTCTTTCTCTAGTGCACCTTTACTTGCTCTTAAGCTCTCTTTCCTACATGTGAGTTCCATCATTTTCTATCTCCCTTTTGTTCAATTAGATTACTTATGAGAAAAAGGATGTATACTAGCTCTATGACAACTTAAAATGGATTTATACATTAACAACAGTGGCTCTTAATTTGGGGCTATTTTACTTCCCCTGGGGACATTTGGATGTCTGGAGACATTCTTGTTTTTCATGACTATGAGGGCATCTACCGGGGATACTGCAAAAAATCTTTCAGTACACAGGACAGTCCCTGCAACAAAGAATTTTCAACCCAAAATGTCAGTACGTGTACTGCCATGGTTGAGAAACCCTACATTACAACTTTAGCTTCTAGTATTTTAATTTTTAAGATGAAATGTTATAATTAAAATCAATACAAAGTTGTAGCTTTCCAAATAAACTTTGCAATGTGGAAGAACCTTTACTAAGTCTAGTTATGAGAAGTTTGTTCAATTCCACTTCTGAATAGTTTATGGTTATCTACTTTTACTTTTCCTATTCTGAAATGTTGTATCTTTTTCTTACAAAATTATATTACTGCATTTAGGTGATGGTCCTCATTTTAGAATAACTAAAACCTGATACATTTTTTTAAGTTTTGGCAAATTTTTAAAATTAAATGGAAATGTTCCTACTTTCACTAATTTTGACCCAAAGACAAATGGAATATTTTCAAGTTCAGTAAATCAGTAAGTATAAGTATTTCGAAATAACAAGTTTAAAGAGAATAATTTCTGGAAAACAATTCCCTTATTTATAACTGACTACATTTCCTTAGGAGACTATAGATCCCAAAGACCTTTCGACTTGTTCCTTTTTTAAAATCTCATTTTCTAGTCTCTTTGAATCTTAACTTTCAATAAGTGGCCTATATTCCATAGTTCTTTAGCTATGTTTATGGTCATGTAAACTAGAGCTATGTTTTACTGAAGGTTGTTTATAATGAGGAATAGTTAATTTTCTAAGAGAACAATGAAGGGGAAGAATAAATTATTTAATATTCGTTATCACTAAAGAAACATTGTTTTTGTTAAGCATGAATGTCTATACAATAGGTTTGCTTGTAGAAGCTATCAAAAACTGCTCAGAACAATCCAATCTTAGACTGGAAATTACACTGGGACTTTATATTAGATCGATCTTTTCCACACCATTAAGGCCATTGACCTACAAAAATGTGCGAGTGCAAAGTCCCCCACAAAAAATAAATCTCAATTTGTGAATCTTTCAGAGTATTTCATGTGTGTATGGGTGTGCTTTTAAAAACCAAAAGGGACAATAAAACCATATTCAATAACTGCAATAGAAAATAAAGATATACTTTATTTTACTATTATAGCCAGTCAAGGGAGTAGGGGAAACTAGAACTAGGAAAAGAAAGTTAAAAAATAGAAAAAAATAGGTAACAAAGCTGAATAATCAGATTTATTGAAAATGTAAAGGAAATTCAGATCAAAACTAGGACTAGTTACCTCTAAGGTCCTTTTGACTCTGAGGTTTTTATAGTAGAAACAGAAAGGAAAAAAAAGTTAAATATGGTCCATATTTGATTTAAAAAATATTTTTATTCCATTTAAACTTTGAATGTATTATACAAGTTGCATTTAACCTTCTATTTATCATACTCAAGGGGGGAAAACGTCCAATAATATTTGCCTTTGAATGAAGACCATATCTCAGTTGATAGAGAAAAATTATTTTTTATTCTGAAATAGTGCTGTAGGTTTAGAAAATTGATTAATGGAATTTTCTAGTACAGTTTTAGATTTACAGAAAAATTGAGCATATAGTACCAAGAGCTCCATAAAATCCCTTCATCTCTCTACTTTCTGTGCACAGTGGCCCCTATTATTAATATTTTGCATTAATGTGGTATATTTGTTACAATTGGTGAACCAATGTTGATACATTATTATTAATTAAAATCCATAGCTTACATTAAGTTCCATTCTTTGTGTTATATAGTTCTTTGTATTTTAACAAATGCATAACGGCATGTTTCTACCATTACAGTTTTATACAGCAAAAAATTAATAGTTTCACTGTCCTAAATATCCCCTGTGGACCACCTATTCATCATTTCTCCTTTCTCTTGTACCCTTGATAGTCACTGATATTTTTATTTTTATTGTCTTTATAGTTTCGTCTTTTCCACATTGTCATATAGTTGGAGTCATACAATATGTGTAACCTTCTGAGACTGGCTCCTTTTACTAAACGATATGCACTTAAGCCTCCTCTATGTTTTTTCATGGCTTAACAGCTCATTTATTTTTGTCACTGAATAATATTCCATTGGATGAGTGTACCACAGTTTGGTTATATATTCACTTATTGAAGGACATCTTGGCTGCTTCAAATTTTTTGTAATTTCGAATAAAACGGTTATAAACATTCATGTGCAGGTTTTTGTGTGGACATAAGTTTTCAACTCATCTGAGTCAATATCTAGGAGCCCGATTTTTGGATCATACAGTAAGAGTATCCCTAGCCTTTTACGAAACTACCAACTGTCTTCCAAAGTGGTTGTACTATTTTGCATCCATTAGCAATGAGTGAGCATTCCTGTTTCTCATTCTTGCCAGCATTTGGTATTTTTAGTTTTTTTGGATTGTAGCCACTCAAATATGTATGTAGTGGTAGCTCATTATTGTTTTAATTTACAACCCCCTAATGTGATATTGAGCATCTTTATATCTTTTTTGGTGAGATATCTATGTGGATGTTTTGCCCTTTTAAAAATTTGGCTGTTTGTTTTCTTATTGAGTTTTAAGGGTCCTATGTACAATTTAGTTCTTTATCGGATATATGTATGTACTTTCTCCTAGTCTATGGCTTCTCTCTTCATTTTTATTAGCAGGGTTTTTCATAGATGATACATTTTTAATTTAAATAAAGTCTAATTTATCAATTTTTTTCTTTTTTACATTGTGTTTTTGATGCTATATCTAAAAACTTATCACCATTTTCTCCTGTGTGAGAAGGGATATCCTAACCTTATTACTGATCTTAGGGGAAAGTTTTCAGTTTCTCACCATTATGTATGATGTTAATTGTAGGTTTTATATAGCTGTACCTTATCAAGTTCAGGAAGTTCCCCTTCTCTTCCTAATTTGCTGGGAGTTTTTATCATGAATGTGCAATGAATTTCGTCAAGTACTTTTTCTGTGTCTATTGATGTATTTTTCTTTTTTAGCTTGTTGATGTGATGGATTACATTAATTGGATCCTGAATGTTGAACCAGCTTTGCATACCTTGAAAAAACGCCATTTGATTATGTTGTATAATTCTTTTTATACATTGGTGGATTCTATTTGCTAATATTTTGTTGAGGATTTTTGCATTTTTTTTTTTTTTTTTTGAGACGGAGTCTTGCTCTGTTGCCCAGGCTGGAATGCTGTGGCCTGATCTCGGCTCACTGCAAGCCCGGCCTCCTGGGTTCACGCCATTCTCCTGCCTCAGCGTCCCGAGTAGCTGGGACTACAGGTGCCCGCCACCACGCCCGGCTAATTTTTTTGTATTTTTTTTAGTAGAGACGGGGTTTCACTATGTTAGCTGGGATGGTCTCGGTCTCCTGACTTCAAGATCTGCCGGCCTCGGCCTCCCAAAGTGCTGGGATTACAGGCGTGAGCCACCGCGCCCGGCCAATTTTTGCATTACTTTCATGTGAGATATTGTTCTGTAATTTTCCTTTCTTATAATGTCTTCATCTGGTTTTGGAGTTAGGGTAATGCTAGCCTAATAAAATGAGTTGGAAAGTATTTTCTCTTCACCTATTTTCTGAAATAGATTGTATAAAAATGATATTTTTACCTTTAGTATTTGGTAGAATTCACCAGTGAAAGCATGATGCTTTCTATTTTGGAAGGTTATTAATTATTGACTCAGCTTCTTTAATAGATATAGGCCAATTCAGATTATCCATTTTTCCTTGAGTGAGTTTTGGTAGTTTGTGCCTTTTAAGGAATTGTTCCATTTCAATCTAAGTTATACATTTTGTGGGCAGAAGGCCGGGTGCGGTGGCTCACGCCTGTAATCCCAGCACTTTGGGAAGCTGAGGTGGGCAGATCACCTGAGGTCGGGAGTTCAAGACCAGCCTGACCAACATGATCAAGACCAACATGACCAACATGAGTTCAAGACCAGCCTGACCAACAGACGGAGAAACTCCGTCTGTACTAAAAATTCAAAATCAGCCGGGCGTTGTGGTTCATGCCTGTAATCCCAGCTATTCGGGAGGCTGAGGCAGGAGAATCGCTTGAACCTGGGAGGCAGAGGTTGTGGGGAGCCAAGATCGTGTCATTGTACTCCAGCCTGGGCAAAAAGAGTGAAACTCTATCTCAAAAAAAAAAAAAAAATTTGTGGGCAGAGTCTTTAACATTATTTCTTTTCTTTTTTTTTCTTTTTTATTATACTTTAAGTTATAGGGCACATGTGCACAACGTGCAGTTTTGTTACATATGTATACATGTGCCAAGTTGGTGTGCTGCACCCATTAACTCATCATTTACATTAGGTATATCTCCTAATACTATCCCTCCCCCCTCCCCCCACCCCACAACAGGCCCCAGTGTATGATGTTCCCCTTCCTGTGTCCAAGTGTTTTCATTGTTCAGTTCCCACCTATGAGTGAGAACATGTGGTGTTTGGTTTTTTCTCCTTGTGATAGTTTGCTGTGAATGATGGTTTCCAGCTTCATCCATGTCCCTACAAAGGACATGAATTCTCTTAGGTCCATGGAATCAGTAGTGATGACACTTCTTCCATTTCTCATACTGGCAATTTTAAATGTTCTTTCTTTTTTTCTTGGTTAGCCTGGCTAAAAATTATGAATTTCACTGATATTTTCAAAGAACTAACTTTTGATTTTATTAATTTTCTCTAATGATGTTTTGTTTTTGATGTCATTGATTTCAAACTTTTCTTTTTTTCTGCTTGCTTTAGGTTTATGTTTATTTTCTTTCTCTAGTGTCCTAAGGTGGAAGCTTATATTACTGATTTTAGATCTTTCTTCTTTTCCAATATATGTGTTCAATGTTAAAATTTTTCTCTAAGAACTGTTTTTGCTGTGCCACACAAATTTTGATAAGTTGTATTTTCCTTTTCATTTAGTTCAAAATATTTCAAAATTTCATTTGAGACTTCTTCTTTGACCTATTTGTTATTTATAAATGTTTTGTTTAATCTCAAATATTTTGGGATTGTCCAACTATCTTTCTTTTATTTAATTCTAATTTAATTCCTTTGTGTTCTGAGACTGTATATGATTTCTATTCTTTTAAATTTTTCAAATGTGTTTTATGACCCAGAATATAGTCTATCTTGGTGAATGTGCCATGTGAGCTTGAGAAAAATGTTTATTTGTTGATAATCGATTAACTATTTTATAAGAATTTTTTTTTATTTTTATTTTATTTTTTTGAGACGGAGTCTCGCTCTGTCGCCCAGGCTGGAGTGCAGTGGCACGATCTCGGCTCACTACAAGCTCTGCCTCCTGGGTTCACGCCATTCTTCTGCCTCAGCCTCCCGAGTAGCTGGGACTACAGGCGCCCGCCACCATGCCTGGCTATTTTTTTTTTTGTATTTTTAGTAGAGACGGGGTTTCACCATATTAGCCAGGATGGTTTGGATCTCCTGACCTCGTGATCTGCCCACCTCGGCCTCCCAAAGTGCTGGGATTACAGGCTTGAGCCACTGTGCCCCGCCTATAAGTGTTATTTAGATCCAGTTGATTGCTGGTGATATTCAAGTGTATCTTTTGCCAGGTGTGGTGGTTTACCCTGTAATCCCAGCACTTTGGGAGGCCGAGACAGGCGGATCACCTGAGGTCAGGAGTTCAAGACCAGTCTGGTCAACATAGCAAAACCCCATCTCTACTAAAAAATACAAAAATTAGCCGGGTGTGGTGGTGGGTGCCCTTAGTCCCAGCTACTTGGGAGGCTGAGGCAGGAGAATCGCTTGAACCTGGAAGGTGGAGACAGCAGTGAGCCCAGATTGCGCCATCACACTCCAGCCTGGGCAACCAAGAGTGAAACTCTGTCTCAAAACAACAACAACAACTGCAACAAACCTATATCTTTACTGATTTTCTGTCTGTTGATCTGTTAATTACTGATATAGAGGAGTGTTAAGTCTCCATCTGTAATAATGGACTTGTGCTTTCAACTCTATCAGTGGGCTTTACATATTTTGTAGTCTTGTTTTTTGCACCATAAGCATTTAAGATTATTATGTCTTCTTGGAGAATTGACCCATTTTTCATATGTAATGCCCCTCTTTATCTCGGATAATTTTCTTTGCTCTGAAGCCTGCTTCACCTGTAATTAAATATAGCTACTCCAGCTTCTTTGATTAGTGTGTAGATAGTATATCTTTCTCCATTTCTTTAATTTTATTGTATTTGTATCTTTATATTGAAAGCAGACAACATTGTTTTAAAATGTAGGTTTTGTTCTTATTGAGGTATGGCAAAACCAACAGATCAGGAGATGATTGCCATTGCAAAGATAGCTTATTATTATACTCACAGATCTCAGAAGGAGGCATTTCATGCCATGAACTACATATGTAAGTATCAGAGTTGGTCAGAAGGCAGAGAGAGTGATGGGGAAAACATGGGCAAGAGCCTTTATTGTGGTTACTAGGGAAAGGAATGGTGAGGCAAGGTAGGCAAGTTTAGGATTGGCTAGTCTGAGTAATTTCAGTGGGTTCTGGGGTTTAGCAGATATTCCTACTTGTCTGGTAGCTGGCCCTGGGTAATTAGGGCAAGGGAAACTAGTGACTGAGTGGGAAAGCTTTGTTAAGGAGGCAGTTGGGTTATGGTCTCTGGTTGATTGGTTTGCATATGGAAGGTATGCTATCAGGTGAATCCTTTACTATCTTTAGGAATTGGCTAATGCTAGTGGGGGCAGTTCCTCCAGGGTTAGCAAGGCCCTAGGATATCAAAGCATTAAGTGCAAAAAGAATTGATATCTTTACTGTGTTAAGTCTTTCAATCTGTGAACATGGAATGTCTCTCCATTTATTTAGATCTCATTTATTTAGATCTTTGAACTTTTTTAATTTTTATTTTTATTTACATATTTATTTTGAGACAGAGTCTTGCTCTGCCACCCAGGCTGGAGTACAGTGGCATGATCTTGGCTCAATGCAATCTCTGCCTCCTCCCGGGTTCAAGCCATTCTCCTGCCTCAGCTCCCGAATAGCTGGGATTACAGGTGCACACCACCAAGCCTGGCTAATTTTTGTATTCTTAATAGTGACGGGGTTTCACCATGCTGGCCAGGCTGGTCTCGAACTCCTGATCTCAGGTGATCTGCCTGCCTCCGCCTCCCAGTGCTGGGATTACAGGTGTGAGCCACTGCACCCGGCCAAGATCTTCTTCAACCTTTTAAAATCAGCATTTTGTAGTTTTCAGCATTCAAGCCCTGTACATGTTTTGATAGATTTACACCTAAGTTTTTTTTTAAGCAATTGTATATAGTATTTTGTTTGTTTTGTTTTGAGATAGGGTCTTGGTGTGTCACTCAGGCTGGAATGCAGCAGCACAATCATGGCTCACTGCAACCTCAACCTCCCAGGCTCAAGCAATTCTCCCACCTCAGCCTCCCAAGTAGCTGGGACTACAGGTGTTTACCACCAGACTCAGCTAATTTAAAAATTTTTGTAGACATGAGGTCTCACTATGTTGCCCAGACTGTTCTCAAACTCCTGAGGTCAACTAATCCTCCTGCCTTGGCCTTACAAAGTGCTGGGGTTACAGGCATGAGCAACTGCTCCCAGACAGTATTGTGTTTTTAATTTGGTGTCCACCTGTTTATTGGTAGTATTTAGAAATACAGTAGATTCTTCTATGTTTTTCTTGTATGTGGTGACCTTGCTGAATACACACATCAGTTCTAAGAGTATTTTTGTGTTCCTTGGGATTTTCAACATACACAATCATGTCAACTGCATTTAGGGACAGTATCATTTTTTTTCTATCTGATCTACATGCCTTTTATTTCCTTTTTTTGGCTTTATTGCTCTGCTAGAACTTCTATCACTATATTGAGTAAGAGTGGTGACAGCAGACATTCTTGCCTTTGTTCTTGATTGTAAGAAACAATTCAGTCTTTCTGCATGAGGTATAATGTTACCAGTAGTTTTTTTGTAGATGATTTTTATCAAGTTGAGGGACATCCTTGTCTTAGTCAGTTTGGGCTGCTGCAACAAAGTACCCTAGGCCTGGGGGTTTATAAATAACAGAAATTTATTTTTCATGGTTTAGAGGCTAGAAGTTCGAGATCAGAGTGCCAGAATGGTTGGGTTCTGGTGTGGGACACTTGTTGGAAATTTGTTTAACATAGTTGCTGCCTTGGCATTCACTGTTAGGTCTGACATAAGTTGTTTGAAACTGTGTTGTACCCCCATCACCTTTAGCCTGGTTAAAACTTCCCTTTGCTATGTGGTTGTGTGCCATAGAGCCCACTTGTTCCTCATCTCACAGGCCTAAAACTCAATATACCCTACAGCTGCTGACCATGATAAAACCTAATGGTCAACACTAGAATCATGTAAGTTCCCTGACTCAGCCGTGTTTTCTTTAAGCTCGTCAATCCATAAACCTGTGGGAAAGCCCAAGGGGTAATGCCCATGAGGCATAGTTCTGCATGTCTTCTCTCTTTCTCACGCCCTTCCTGGTGATTGAATTCTTTGCCTCCTCTGTGCTTCTCATCAGCTTCTTGTTAGGAGAATAATAACCAATAATTTCTCTGAGACCTGTGAGTAATACGTTTTTGCTGTTTTGTGCATTTTGGTTTCACTTCCTCATGGTGTCTCACCTAACCAACACACCTGAATTTACCATTCCTCCTGGTCAGGGCCCTTCTAGAGAGTAGCTATCTTGGCTTTAGCTACTTGACTGAGAGAGCTCAAGACCAAATTAGAAAGAAGTTATAACAATAAAAATCATAACAGCCCTCTTCCATGTTGCAGATTGCTAACTTCTTGTATCCTTACATGGCAGACACAGAGCAAAAGAGCTCTCTGGAGGTATCTTTTTCAGGACACTAATCTCATTCATGAGGGCTCCACTCTCATGAGTTAATTATCTGCCAAAGGTCCTACCTCCTAATCACCATTACATTGGGGGTTAGAATTTCAACACATGAGTTTATAGGGACACAATCATTCTGTCCGTAACACCCTGCTTGTTTCTATTTTTCTGAGAGATTTTTTTTTTAATAAATGGTTGATTTGTCAAGTGATTTTTCTGCATTGATTGATATGATCATGTGATTTTTTTTCATTGGCCTAAACGTATGGATTACTTTGATTGATTTTTTAATATTGAAGAACTCTTTTATCCTAGAATAAACTTCAATTGGTCATTGTGTATAATAATTCTTTTTATATATTGCTGAATTCTGTGTTGTAATATTTTGCTAAGGATTTTTATGTTGATGTTGATGAGAGATATTGATTTGTAGCTTTCTTTTTTGCACTTTGTTTCACTTTATTATAATAGTTTCATAAAATGAATGAGCAAGTATTCTTTCCTTTTCTATTTTTGGAAAAGGTTATGTAGAATTAGTGACAATTCTTCTTTAAGTTTCTGGTTGAATTCTTTAGTGAAACCATCCATGCTTGGTGATTTTTTGTGGGTGAGTTTTTTAAATTACACATTTAATTTTCTTAATATTCAAATTATATTATTAATAGCATAATATAATTTTTAATAGTTGTTTTTAAGTAATTGGTTTATTTTATCTAAGTTGTGAGATTTATGTTATGTAGAGTTGTTTGTTATTATCACTTTGACGTCTGTAGGATCTGTAGTAACTACTATTTTACTCCTGATTTTGATAATTTATTTTTTCTCTCTTTTTGTCTTTGTCAGTCTGCTGGAAGATTGTCAATTTTGTTAATCTTGTCAAGGAAGAAATTCTTTATATCACTGACTTGTTTCTAACTTCATTTACTTCTCTTCTATTTTCTTCCTTCTCATTGCTTTAAGTTTATTTTGCTCTTTTTTCTCTTCTATATTCTCAATTTGGGAACTTAGATTATTGACTTGACTTTCCTTCTTTTCTAATGTATACATTTAATGCTGTAAATTTTCCTCTCAGTGCTGCTTTATCTGTATCCCACAAATTTTGATATGTTGTGTTTTGTTTTCATTATTAAATACATTTTTTATTTCCCTTGAGACTTCCTCTTTGACACAGATTATTTACAGCATTTTGTTTTTTTAAGATTCTAAGTGTTTGGAGATCTTCCTGTTGTCTTTCCATTATTGATTTCTAGCTTGATTCCACTGTAATTGGAGAAGACACTATGATTTCTCTTCTTTTAACACACTATGATTTCTCTTCTTTTAAATTTGTCAAGGTTTGTTGTATGGCCTGGGATGTGTATTCTGCTGTTATTAGGTGGAATATTATATAAATATTAGTTACATCTTTTTAGTTGATGATGTTGTTGAGTTCATATATACCCTTGCTGATTTTCTGTCTCTTTATTCCATCAAAATTTTATATAACCATTATTTCTCTTTTCAATTCTAATAATTTTTACTTTACATATTTTATAGCCTTGTTTTTTTGCATAAACATTAATTATTGCTATGTCTTCTTGGTACAATCATGACATAATGTTGCTATATATCCCTGGTAATTTTCTTTGTTCTGAAGTCAACTTTATATGATATTGATATAGCCCCTCCTGCTTTCTTTTGGTTAATGTTTGCCTGCTATATCTTTTTTTATTTGTTTACTTTCAACCTATCTACATTGTATATTTGAAATAAATTTATTGTAGACATCATATGTTTGAGTCATGTTTTTTAATCCAATTTTTTTTGTCAGTCTTTATCTCTAAATTGGTATATGTAGACCATTTGTATTTAATTTTTTATTCGCATGTTAGCCCTTAAGTCTGCTGTTCTTTTCTGCTTATTCTATCTTATCTATCTTATATTTCACTCTTATCTTCTTCCTGCTTTCTTGCTGCTTTTCCAAACATTTTTTTTACCATTCTGCTTTAATTTACCTGTAGTGTTTTGAGTTTATGTGCAGCTTTTTTATTATTTAATTTACATATTCCATTATGCATACACAATAGTCCATAGATGTTGACATTTTACCAGTTCAAGTAAAGCGTAGAAACCTTACCTCCCTTTAGATTCCACCCCCATTTATATTTGCCTTAAATATTTTTTCTAAGTATTTAGAAAGATATTTAGATATATAAACATTTAATATTTAGACATTTAAAACTATATCAGACAATGTAATAATTTTTGCTTTAACTGTCAATCGTAATGAAGAAAACTCAAAAGAATAAGAAGTATATTCTATTTATCTTTATTTTCTCTCTTCCCATTGTTCTTTTTTCCTTTCAGATGTTCTAAAATTCCTTTCTCATTTTCTTCCTGTTTAGAGAACTGCCTTTAGCCATTCTTTAGGGAAGACTTTTTTTTTTTGAGACAAATTCTTAGTATTCCTTCATCTGAGAATACTACATCTTAATTTCCTCTTTATTCCTATAGGATAATTCACTGGGTATAGAATTATTCCCATAGGAAAATTCACTGGGTATAGAATTCTGCATTGACCATTCTTTCCACTCAGAACCCAGAGAATGTGTGCCACTTTTTTCTGGCCTCTAGGGTTTCTAATGAGAAATCTGCTGCTATTCAAAGTATTTTCCCCCTAAAGATAAGGTGTCATTTCTCTCTTGCTGCTTTCTAGATTTTTTTTTTTTTTTTTTGGTCTTCTGTTTTTAGAAATTTTAGTATGGTGTGTCTTGGTGTGCATTTCTTTGAGTTTATCATCATTGTGATTTATTCATTTCTTGAATATGTTTGCTATTGTCCTTTGCCAAATTTTGGAAGTTTTCAGCTATTATTTCTTTAAGTACTTTTTCAGGCTCACCCCGTTCCTCCAATCCTCGGATGATAATGATATGAATGGTACATATGTTGTTATGGTTGCAGAGGTTTTTGAGAGTCTTCATTTTTTTCAGACTTTTCTGTCTGTTTTAAAGATTGGGTTATTTCCATTGTTCTCTCTTCCAGTTTACTGATTTATTTTTCTTCCATTCTGCTGTTGAGCCCATCCATTGAGTTTTAAATTTTAGTTATGTTTTTCACTCCTAAAATTTCCATTTGGTTTTTCTTTTCATTTGCTAAGACTTTCTATTCATTAGCTAAGACTTTCTATTCCTTTGATGATACTTTCTATTTTTTCATTTGTTTCAAGTGTGTTCATAAATACTTGTTGAATGATTTTTATGATGTTTGCTTTAAACTCTTTGTCAGATAATTCTAACATTGATGTTGGTGTATAGGGGCTTTTTTCCATTCAAGTTAACATTTTCGTGGTTCTTGGTATTATGAGTGACTTTCAATTGAAACCTGGACATTTGGGGTATTGTAAGAGTCTGGATCTTTTCTAAACTTCCATTTTAGCAGGCTTTGTTTGACACTGTTCTGGCAGGGGAAAGTGGGAGTCACTGCCTGATTATTTCCAGGCGGGAGTAGAAGTCTATATTTGCCACTTGACCTCCAATGACATCAGGGGAAGTTGTGTCTTCATTACCATGGGGCAGTGATAGGAGCTCTGGTTTCCATTGACAACACCATGGCTAGGAGATATAAGAATGCTTCATTAGTGCTACACATGTGGCCTACACTGACACAACAGAGTGGAGGTTGTTCTCATTACTGCTGGGGAGTGATAAAAGTTTTGACTCTTCACCAGTCCAACTCTGACTACTCCAGTGGGAAGAGGGAGGTATACTTTGTTACTACTGGATAGGTTGGAATTCCAGGATCCCCAGCTGGTCTCCACTGACACTGTAGGAAGGGGACCACTATCATTATGTTTGGTAGGGATGAAAGTCCTGCCTGCCTGCTGGGCCTTCTCTGACACCATACACAGTGAAAGGTCAGGGATTTGGGACACCTTGTTACAGCCTAGTGAGGGTGTAAGACTAGGCTCCCTCTAGGCCTTCGTCACATGGGTGGGGCTACAATTTTTTCTGTGCTTGGCTGGAGTAGAATGGCTGCCATCTAAAAGCTTTCTTTCTTTCAAGGCTATGCTTTTCCTGGTCATTTGGCTAAAGAGAGGAGGCTTCTTTTGGGGATTTTTTTCTTGCCTGTGCCCATCAGTGTTCCCAGGTTGCTGACTTCTTCAGCTCCATATCTGGAATATATATATATACCCATTCCTTCTCTTCACCTTTCAAAGACTGCTTATGTTTGTTGTTTTCTAAAATTTCCAGTGTTTTTAGTTGAATTTAGCAGGAAGAATAGGGAAAAGTGTGCTCCCTCTATCTATAAAGATAAAGAAGCAAGAGTTTCCTTCATTCTGTTTTTAAAATAAGAGTTTACTAAGTAGTGCAGTAGGCAGAACAATAGTCCCAGAAATTTGTGCACACCCCAATCCCTGGAACCTGTGAATGTGTTACCTAACATGGCAAAAGAGATTTTCCAGATGTGATTACAATGGGGATTTTCAGATGGAGAGATTATCCTGGATAATCTTATTGGGCCCAGTCTAATCACATGGGGTACTAAAAAGTAAAAGATCTTTTCCAGCTGTGGTCTGGGAGAGAGACGTGATGACAGAAGAAGGTCAGCGGGAATGCAATCAATGTTGCTGTCTTTGAAGATGAAGGAAAGGTTGTGGTGGCCCCCAGAAACTGAAAAAATCAAGGAAACAAATTCTCCTTTAAAACCTTCAGAAAGGAACAAAGCCCTATCAACTTCTTGGTTTTAGCTCAGTGACATCTGTTAGGCCTCTAATCTACTGAACTGTAAGATAAATTTGCATTGTTTTAAGCCACTGTGATTTGTTACAGCAGCAAGAGAAAACTTAATACAATAGTATAGTATTTCTGTATAGCAATAATCAAATCAGACCTTTTTCTGAAGGCTGATCATCTTATTTCAACTTGAATTTTAAAAGAATAAAGACAAAAATTACCTCTGGAGGTTATCATTGCCTATCTTCTGAAAAATAGTACAGTTTTTGATGGTTAAGAATTCCAAAATGAGATATGTGCATCTTTCATGTGCTTGGTACGTAAGATATTCAATAAATGTCTATTAAAGTTGTTGGAAACTGGAGGAAAATAAATACAAATGATGAAATGTCATTTTTAAAATCTTTAGAATGTATGAACCATCCATTTGAATATTTTATCATTGTATCATGTTTGTATTTTGTAGATAGTGAAACTAGTTCTCTAATGGACATAGAAAATGTAATTCTGGCAAAAATCCATGAAGATGAGGAAGACCACTCAGATGCAATATTAAAATCTGACAAATTTCATCAGGACTTATTTTTTATGGAACGGGTTCTGATGGAAAATATATTTCAGCCCAAACTTGCAGCTTATCGTCAGCTTCCTGTTTTAAAAGGTATTTAAAAAAAATAAACATGTTTAGGCTGGGTGCAGTTGCTTATGCTTATAATCCCAGTACTTTGGGAGGCTGAGGAAGAGGATTGCTTGGGCCCAGGAGTTCAAGGTTGTAGCAAGCTATGATCATGCCACTGCACTCCAGCCTGGGTGACAGAGCAAGACCTTGTCTCTTAAAAAAAGAAAAAGAAGATATCATGTTTAGACAAACTCAAATAATTTTTAAAATGTAAGGGTTTTAGTATATATTTCTAAATGTAATCTCCAGATTGAGTTATCATTATCAGAGGACATGTTTCTAAAGCTTTCAGCACTAAATGCGTGAGTAGCACTAGAGTCCAGACTAGGATGCCCACAGAAGCAGATTGTCTTAGATTCAAAACTTCCTAAGCATCTATAGCTCTTTCTTCTCCCTTATTCCTGCATTCAATTACTTAGTCATTTTTATAGTATCTCTCATATTCAACCTCTTCTTTTCCATTGTCATTGTTACTTTCTAAGTTCTTACTTTTATTACTACTCCCAAATCTATTGCAGAAGCATTCTTCCTGTTCTCATTGCTACAAATCGCATCTCATATGATCACAGAATATTTTAAAGGATTTTAGAGATTATCTTAATCAACCTTTAATCATGTATTAAAAAATACATGAATGAAGAAACTGAAGGCTATAGAAACTTTGTGAGGTTAATAGTAAGTGGAAAAGCTAGGCATTCAACCAAGGTCTTTTGATCTCAAGTTCCAGTTCTCTTTCTACTTTATCAGCCCACTTTGCTGATGTATCCTAAACCACTCAAAAAACCTTCAATGCCTTCACATTGCCTAGAATAAATTACAAAGCTCAAAGTGTATCATTCAAAAGATATCTGCAATATGGCCACAGATTACTTTGTATTATCATATTGCTTTGGAGACTCTAAAAGTTAGCTATATTTAGACTTATCTGGTAATCCTCAAATAGAACCTACATTTTCCTGCCTTAGTACTTTTAGTTGGAATTTGCTTGACAGTCTACCCTTATCCCCACCCCATGTTTGCCTATTGTATTTCCAGCTTTCAAAGATGGATTAAGGAAACTTCCTTTATGAAATTTATCTTGATTCTTCAAGTCAAAATTAATCTATATGGTTACATTTAAAAAGAAAAAGTTTACAGAATAGTATGTGTGACAAATGGTTGTAAATCTTTTTGCCTGCATGCATCTAGAAGAATATTGAAAAACTGTGTTCCTTCTCTCATATTAGGTTGATATTTAAAGATTTTTATCACTTATATATATAGATTTTTCATCCTATATTTAAAGAGTTGTAAGGTTGCAATTCACATAGTACTGTATATATTGACATTTACAAAACAAAATGTAAATGTAACAATGTAAATGTTACTGTTGGCACATCACTTCTTTCAACACATCTAAGAAATAAAAATACCATAGCAAATGTTTTATTGAGGTAAGATTTATATACAATGAAATATATATTTTAAATTGTATATAAAAATACATTTTGAAAATGTATAAACCAGAGTTACCAATACCCTAATCAAGACAGAGGACATATCTATTAACCCTAAGAGTTACCTTGTGCTGTTTTCCAAGTAAACCTTAACCCCACCCCCCAACCCCCACCACACACACACACACACGCATTGCTCTGATTTCTGTCAATATAGATTAACTTTCCCTATTCTGGTATGTCATATAAGTGGGTTCATAAAGTAAGTATTCTTTTGAGTCTGGCTTCTTGCATTCAATATTAATGTTTTTGAGATTTCCTAGGTTGATGCATGTATAAGTAGTTCATTTTTTTCCTAGTAATGCTCTAGTAGATGAATATACCATAATGATTTGTTTGTCCATTCACACACTGAGGGACACTTGCATATTTTCAGTCTGGGGATATTAAGAGTAAAGCTGGTACAAACATTTTTGTGTGAGACTTTTGGTAAATGGATATTTTAATTTTTCTTGTGAAAATACCTACAAATGGGATTATTGGATTATTGGGAATATGTTTAACTTTTTAAGAAACAGTGAAATACTTTTCCAAAGTGGTTATACCATCTTATACTCCCACAACAATGTATAAGAGTCTCAGTTGCTCCACATTCTTTATAACACCTGATGCTGGCAATCCTTTTAGTGTTGTTCTAAAAACTGAGTTCTTGTTTATGTGGTTTATTTTGGTCACTTGAATATCTTCTGTTTACTGTTTGGTCAAGTCTCTTACCAATTTTAAAATTGAGTTGCCTTTTTTTTTTTTTTTTTAATTTTTCTTTTTTTTTTTTTTTTTTTGAGATGGAGTTTCGCTCTGTCACCCAGGCTGGAGTGCAAAGGCACGATCTTGGCTCACTGCAACCTCCACCTCCTGGGTTCCAGTGATTCCTGCCTCAGCCTCCCAAGTAGCTGGGATTACAGGCGCCCACCACCACACCCGGCTAATTTTTGTAGTTTAGTAGAGACCGGGTTTCACCGTGTTGGTCAGGCTGGTCTCGAACTCTTGACCTCAGGTGATCCGCCCTCCTCAGCCTCCCAGAGTGCTGGGATTACAGGGCATGAGCCACCGTGCCCAGCCTGAATTGTCTTTTAAAAAATCAAGTTGTAAGAGCTTATTTTTATATATTCTGGATACAAACCCTTTGTCAGTTACATATTTTGCAAATATTTAAATCTATGGCTTGCCAATTTATTTTCTTAAAATTTTTTTGATGAACAGAAGTTTTTTATTTTTGCGAAATCTAATCTGCCAATTTTTTTCTTTTGTAATTAATTCTTTCCATGAGCTCTCTAACAAATCTTTGCCTGCCCCAAGTTTGCAAATTTGTACTTCTCAGTTTTCTTATAGAAGCTGTATAGTTTTAGCCTTTATGTTTAGGTCTACTATCTATATTGGATTATTTATTTATTTATTTATTCATTTTTTGAGACAGAGTCTTACTCTCTGTCCCAGACTGGAGTGCAATGGCTCTATCTCAGCTCACCACAACCTCCGCCTCCCGGGCTCAAGGGATTCTCCCACCTCAGCCTCCCTAGTAGCTGGGATTATAGGTGCACGCCACTACTACCTGGCTAATTTTTGTATTGTTAGTAGAGACGGGGTTTTGCCATTGTTGGCCAGGCTAGTCTTGAACTCCTGACCTCAAATGATCCACCCGCCTCAGCCTCCCAAAGTGCTGGGATTACAGGTGTGAGCCACTGCGCCCAGGCCTATTTTTATTTTTAATATATTTATTGTGTATATTTAAGGTATACAACATGATGTTTTAAGATAAATATATATAGTAAAAAGATCATTATAGTGAAGCACGTTAACATATCTATCATGTTATTTATTTTGAATTAATTTTTTTTATGAATGGACTAAGGTAAGGTTTAAAGTTTTTTTTTTTTTTTTTTTTTTTGAATCTCCAGTTGTTTCAGCACCATTTTAAATAAGAGTTGTTCCCACTCTGGGATTATAGACATGAGCCACTGTTCCTGGCTCCTTTTCTAGTTTCTTAAAATGGAAAATTGGATCATTGATTTCACATTTTTTTCTTGTCTAATATAGGTATTTAATATTTCAAGACTTAGTATAAAGCTATCGTGGTCAAGACAGCATGCTATTGGCAAGAGAATAAACAAATATATAGAATAGAACAGAATAGAGAGCCTAGTAATAGATCTGCCAAAATATAGTCAGCTGATCTTTGACAAAAGAAGAAAGGCAATAGAAAAAAGATAGTCTTTCAACAAATGGTACTAAATACGAACCTAGACACAGACTTTACACCTGTCACAAAAATTAACTCAAATGGATCATAGACCTGAATGTAAAATGCAAA
Organism: Homo sapiens; assembly: GCF_000001405.40. Classification (NCBI taxonomy): domain Eukaryota; kingdom Metazoa; phylum Chordata; class Mammalia; order Primates; family Hominidae; genus Homo; species Homo sapiens. The sequence goes on along the minus strand of NC_000001.11, from coordinate 66,843,661 downwards.
ACTATAAAACTCCTAGAAGATAACATAGGAGAAACACTAGATGACCTTGGATCTTACAATGACTTTTAAAATACAACACCAAATGCATGATCCATTGAGAGACATAATTGATAAGCTGGGCCTCATTAAGATTAAAAACTTCTGCTCTGCAAAAGACACTGTCAAGAGAATAAGAAGACAAGTCACATACTGAAGATAATATTTTCAAAAGACATTTCTGATACATTACTATTATCCAAAATATACAAAGAACTCTTAAAACCCAACAATAAGAAAATAAACAACATGATTAAAATGGGCAAAAGACCTGAAGAGATACCTCACTGAAGAAAATATACACATGCCAAAGTAGCATACAAAAAGATACTCAACATCATATTATTATATTCTCTTCTTCTTGTTCTTCTTCATCCTCCTCCTCCTCCTCCTCCTCCCCCCCACCCCCCACCTTTTTTTTTTTTTGAGACAGAGTCTTGCTTTGTCACCCAGGCTGGAGTACAGTGGCACAATCACGGCTCATTGTAGCCTCAGCTTCCCTGGCTCAAGCGATCCTCCTGCCTCAGCCTCCCGGGTAGCTAAGACCACAGGCGTGCACCACCACACCCAGCTAATTTTTTAAAATGTTCTGTAGAGATGAGGTCTCGCTTTGTTGCCCAGGCTGGTCTTAAACTCCTGAACTCAAGCTACCCTCCCACCTTGGCCTCCCAAAGTGCTGGGATTACAGGTGTGAGCCACTACACCTGACCTTTCAATATCAGATTTCATTAGGGAATTGCAAATTAAAACAACAATGAGGTAGCACTACACACTTAATTAGAATGGGCAAATCCAAAACACTGACAGCACTCAAAGCTGGTGGAGATGTGGAGCAACAAGAAGTCTTATTCATGCTGATGGGAATGCACAATGGTATATCCACTTTGGAAGATTGTTTGGCAGTTTCTTATAAAGCTAAACATACTCTTGTCTGGGTGTGGTAGCTCACACCTGTAATCCCAGCACTTTGGGAGGCTGAGGTGGGCAGGCCACTTGAGGAAAGGAGTTCAAGACAAGCCTGGCCAACATAGTGAAACCCTGGCTCTACTTACTAAAAATACAAAAAATTTAGCCGAGTATGGTGGCAGGCGCCTGTAGTCCCAGCTACTTATTAGGCTGAAGCATGAGAATTGCTTGAACCCAGGAGGCAGAGGTTGCAGTGAGTCGAGATGGTGCCGCTGCACTCCAACCAGGACAACAGAGTGAGACTCTGTCTTCAAAAACAAAACAAAACAAACAAACAAAAAAACCCAAACATACTCTTACCGTATGATTTAGTAATCACTCCTGTTGATTAACTAAATGAGCTGAAAACTGTGTCCACACCAAACCTGCACATGGGTATTTATAGCAGTTTTACTCATAATTGCCCCAACTTGGAAGCAACCAAGATGCCCTTCAGTAGGTGAATGGATAAATGAACTATGATACATCCAGACAATGGAATATTATTCATCACTAAGTTATCAAGCCAGAAGCAGACCTGGAGGAAATTTGAATGCCTATTACTCTGCAAATGAAGCCAATTTGAAAGGCCACATACTGTGTGATTCCGACTATATAACGTTTTGGGAAAAGGCAAAATATGGAGACAGTAAAATAGTCAGTAGTTTCCAGGGACGAGGGACCAGAGAGGGATGAACAGGAAGAACACAGAAGATTTTTAGGTCAGTGAAACTATTCCATATGGTACTACAATGGCAGATACATGTCATTATACACGTTTGTCAAAGCTTATAGAATATACAATACTGTGCGTGAACCCTAAAATTTAAAATGTAAAACTATGGACTTTGAATGATAATGATAGTAAACCAGAAGCCGTAGCACATTCTTGGAGGGACTTCAGAGATTACTGCCACTGTCAAGGACTTGAAATATGGAGGGATGTTGATACCCACCACATTTCTCATTCAACTCACATATGTGGCATATGTAGAAAAGAGATGGATCTTGGCCAAGTGCAGTGGCTCATGTCTGTAATCACAGCACTTTGGGAGGCTGAGACATGAGGATTGCTTAGGCCAGGAGTTCAAGACCAGCCTGGGAAATAGAGTAAGACCCCCGCCCCCATCTCTAAAAAATAAAAATAAATAAATTTAAAAACAGATGGATCTTGGAGAATGACAGTGGATTATTATTATAAACTTAACCAGTTGGTGACTCCAATTGCAACTGTTGTTCCGTAAGACATTCATTAAGGAAATTAAGACATCTCTCTTGTACCTGGTGCATAGCTATTGACAAGGCAAATGCTTTTTTTTCCAGCAATGTCTATTGGTAAAAAACAACCAGAAGCCATTTACTTTTAGCTGGTCAGGCCAGCAATATACCTTCACTGTCTTACTTCAGGGGTATATCAATTCTTTAGCCCTGTATCATAATTTAGTCTGCAGAGCTCTTTCCCTTCAACAAGATAACACACTAGCACATTAAATGGATGATATGCTGGTTGAACTTAGTAAACAGGAAGTAGGCTTCAGTAAGACATTTTCCTGTCAGAGTGTGGGAAGTAAATCTGACAAAATTTCAGGGGCTTCTACCTCAGTGAAGTTTCTGGGTGTCCTGTGTGTGTGGTGTGGGATATGTTGAGCTGTATCTTCTAAGGTGAAGGATAAGTTGTACCTGGCACCTTTTACAACAGAAAAGAAGCACAATGCCTAGTGAGTCTCTTTACATTTTAGAGACCACACATTTGTCATTTGGATGTGCTACACTGGCCCATTTACTGAGTAAACAGAAAAGCTGCTGGCTTTGAGTTGGAACCCAGAACAGCAGAAGACTCTGCCACAGGTCCAGGCTGCCCTTCATGGTGCCCTGCCACTTGCACCATATGATCCAGCAGATCTGATGGTGCTTGAAGTGTCAGTGGTGGGTAGATATGCTGTTTGGAGCCTTTGGCAGGTCCCTATAGATGTAGAGGACAATGATCTTTTTATTTGTTTAAACTTTAGAACCTGAACCTGAAGAGCCTGAAGATGTTTTAGAAAGTGCAAAACATGAAGAGGTAGAGGAAGAATCTAAGAAGGAGGAGGAAGAAGAAATACATGCAGAAGAATCAACAATACCCGCCAACTTGGAACGACTTTGGTCTTTTTCCTGTGACTTAACCAAAGGCCTCAATGTGAGCAGCCTTGCCTGGAATAAAACAAATCCAGTAAGTTATCAAACATTTGAACAATTCTGTTTCTAGCATTGAAGGGAAATTATCAAGTTCGAATAATGAAGAATTGTTTTCCTTAGATATGGCACAAGGAATTTAAATTGACCATAACTTTGAGTTTTAGAATGCCCCTAAAACAAGTTCCAGTTTAAAAAGGGGGAAATGCAAATAGTTACAAAATAATGTTTTTCCCCTTTAATATAGTAAACATTTAATATGTAAAACATTACCATTTTTATTTTAGGGGATATACTTGAGACATGGCATTCTCTGAATTCATGTTAGATATGAATAAGTAAACTATACGATTGGTATATTTATTCAACGTATACCAAAACTGATGAGCCCAAATTTATATTAGCTTCAAAGTAGTCATATTTGGAAGTGTATACTTAATCTAGTGACCTTACAAGTGTGCAAAATAATTTTGAGATTCTTTAAAATACTGTTACCACCGATATTAGCAAGAGCTTAAACAGCACTTAGTATATAGCAGGCACTATTGTGTTTTAACCGTACTAACACAACAACCCTATGAATTAGGTACTATTATTTTTCTCATTATGTTGAAAGGAAACTGAAGCACAAAAAGCATAAATAATTTGCCCAAAGTCACACAACTGGTAGGTGAAACAGCCAGAATTCAAATGCAAACATCTGGCTCCATAGTTCTTGCTCTTAACTACTGCACTGACAAAAGTCATCTTGAGGCAAATAAGATGAATTGTCAAGTTGGAGAATTATATGTTTGGTTGTAAAAAAGAGATAATTATAGAGTAATTAGACTAATTTTCTTCTGGGGTTTATAAACTGGTTCTGAAGATATTTCCCAGTTAACAATTCCAACAATTTTTCAGGCAATGGCAGTATCTTTGATATAAATATTTATATTGTTGAAGCAGTCAAAACCAATTTATTTAAATTATATTATATTTTGTATGTTTAAGAATTAGCCTTATTATTTTATTGCCACACCTTATCAGGTGCTATGTGCAAACAAGACAGTTGTCATAGTTATTAAAAAACAGAAAGTCTATAATCATTTCCATTGAAACCTAAATAACACATTATTTTAATTATGTGTATTATTTTGTAACGAAGTAAAGTACTTTTATAATGAATTTATCTTTATAAAACTATATTTGGGACTGTCTTGTGGATTAGTGGAATTAATTTTAATTAATTAATTTTTTGGGGAGATGGGGGTCTTGTTTTGTTGCCAAGGCTGGTCTTGGACTCCTGGTTTCTAGTGATCCTCCCGCCTTGGCCTCCCAAAGTGCTGGGATTACAGGTGTGAGCTACCATTCCTGTCCTGTAAATAGGATTTAATAGATCTGTAATAAAGATATATGAAACATTTTTAGAAACTGAATATACTAGCATTTTAAAAATTAATGCATTGCTATGGAGATTAAATTAAATAATTTTGAATGAGCCTAAATACAAACATATTACAGATGGAGTCTATGTTTATTAATTCATTGTATAAATATTTGTTGAACGTTAACTCTGTGCCTGGCACACTGTTAAGGCGCTAGAGATACAGTAATAATGAAGTTATACATAGACCCTGCCTATATAATAATTTCAAATGTGCTATGATGAGGAAAATAAACAGTGCTGTGGGGACACATACAAGAAGCTCTTGAATGTTTCTTAGAGAAAGTAATGCCTCTGCAGCGTCTAGAAGAGATAAATAGGGATATGTCAATGTCAGGGTGAAAGGATATAGTAGTGAAGACTGTTTTTAAGACAGAGGGAATTATGGAGAGATTACGTTGGCCTGAAAGTAAGGTGGTGATAAGAAAATATAATATTCTAAAATTAAAGGTATTCTGGTTACACAGCAGAGGCTGGATTTGTTCAGTTATTAAGCTTTTGCCTATTTGTATTTACATATGCATTTCTTGAAATGACCTCCTGTATTAGGTAGCTCATGCTGCCGTAACAATATATTATAGACTGGGTGTCTTAAAGAACAGCAATTTATTTTCTCATAAATCTGGAGGCTGGAAAGTCTAAGATCCAAGGGCTGCTGATTCAGTTTCAGTGAGAGCTCTCTTCCTGGTTTGCAGTGGCTGCCTTTTCACTGTGTCCTCACATGGCAGAGAGAGACCTCTGGTGTGTTTTTCTCTTTTTATAAAGTCACCAGTCCTGTCACATTAGGACCCCATCCTTATAATCTTATTTAACCTGCGATTCCTTCTAAAACCCCTATCTCCACATACAATCATATTGGAGGTTAGGCCTTCAACATATAAATTTTAAGGGGACACAATTCAGTCTATGGCAGCTACCTTTAACTTAAGTGTCCTTTATTTTACATTTGAAATAATTAAGTCATCCTCAAAAACTCAGAATATATTATAACCTATTAATACAATCTCAGAAGACTACCTCAATATGTAAAAGAACTTGTTAGCAATTGGTTATTTTTAGGTGCTTATCTTTCAGCCTGCAAATGAGAAGCATTATACTCATTAACTTTTTTGCTTAGGAATATGGAGGTATAGAGTAAAAACAGATGGTGTACTGGCATTTTTTCCTCTCAGATGAAATGTCTTACTACTATTTTTAACACAGCTCATTAATATATATCTTTATACATTTACCAATATTTTAATGCTATCTTCTCTTATTTTTAAATGTATTTTTCTGGTTTTCAGGATCTTTTGGCTGTTGGCTATGGGCACTTTGGATTTAAAGAGCAAAAAAGAGGACTGGCTTGCTGCTGGTCAATAAAGAATCCCATGGTAACCCAAACAAGAATAAGAAGCATTTTTATCTGGCTGTTGACAAAATTCTCATAAAATATATAATTACATGTAATAATTAAATAAAGTCTAGAAAATTTTATCAATCAAGACTATTTTCTTTGGTTTAACTTCATAGCAATTAAAATTTGTTCTTGTTGACATAGGGTAAAGATAATTCATTTATTAATTCATTCAGTAAATATTTATTGAATGTGTACTATATGCTGTTATATATGATGATGAAGAGTTGAACCATTATTGATTTTCACAGCTAATTATAAAGAAAAAATGAATCTTAAATGAAAATCCTTTGAAAATTATGTTTTTTTTTTTTTTTTTTTTGAGACAGAGTCTTACATTGTCGCCCAGGCTGGAGTGCAGTGGCGCAATCTCGACTCACTGCAAACTCTGCCTCCCGGGGTTTAAGTGATTCTCCTGCCTCAGCCTCCCGAGTAGCTGGGACTACAGGTGCACACCACCATACCCAGCTAATTTTCGTATTTTTAATAGAGACGGGGTTTCACAATGTTGGCCAGGATGGTCTCGATCTCTTGACCTCATGATCCAGCCGCCTTGGCTTCCCAAAGTGCTGGGATTACGGGCGTGAGCCACCGGCACCCAGCTGAAAATTATGTTTTTTAAATACCTGGTTGTTTCTTAATATATGAATACCTCCTTATCACCTGACTGTTATTCTGAACAGATATGAAATAGATTTATCTGACCTTCTTACTGTCATACATTTTTCAAAGAGAATGAATATAAAGAATCATAGTAGTAATTTTGCTAAAGAGCCCTAGTCAATCTGTTACTTTAAAGTTTTACATTTAGTTTAAATTCACAACTGAAATGCAAAGTGGAAAACTTAGAGAAGGGTCAGAAGAGCATATAAAAATGACTAAAATTTTTATAAATAGCTCTAGTCTGTAATAGCTGTAACAGTGTTTGAATAAACTTAGCGATATGTCATATAGATCTGGGTTTATATAGCACAAAAGAAAAGAAGAAGCAATTTTAAATGTGGAGGGATTGACATTGGATTCATCATCAGTAGTCTGTCTTCTTTTTTATGTAGGTGGTTAAAAGCAGGAAAGGATTTAAATTAGACATTCAAACAAAACAAACTCTTCATGGGGTTGTAGAACACAGTAACTTGGGGAGTTTTGGAACTTTTTCTGTTCATTCTTTAGATAATCCAAGCATCTGAAACAAATACTAGAAGACAGGAATTATATGCTAGATGATTAGTTTTTTGTTCCCATAAGAAGGTAGACAGGTGATGGTGATACTAATCCTGCTGAAAGATTACCAAAATATAATTATTGTAGAAGGCTGTGCTGTACTTCCCTTCCTACTTTCCTCCCTTCCTTCCCTCTTTCCTTCTTTCTTTCTTTCTTTCTTTCTTTCTTTCTTTCTTTCTTTCTTTCTTTCTTTCTTTCTTTCTTTCTTTCTCTCTCTCTCTTTCTTTCTTTCTCTCTCTCTCTCTCTCTCTCTCTCTCTTTCTTTCTTTCTTTCTTTCTTTCTTTCTTTCTTTCTTTCTTTCTTTCTTTCTTTCTTTCTTTCTTTTCTTTCTTTCTTTCTGAGATGAGGGTCTTGTTATGTTGCCCAGGCTGGTCCCAAACTGCTGGTCTCAAGTGATCCTCCCACCTCAGCCTCCCTAGTAGCTAGGATTCCAGGAGTGAGCCCCCATGCCCAACACTCTATTTCTTAAAGCCATTGAGTGCTGAAGATTCATACTTGTATCAAAGGAAATGACCAAGTGAGGTTTTATTATTTTCTATACTGGAAATTAGGAAGACAGAAGTAACTGAATGTGGGCTAACTCTGCTCACATACCCACTGCCACCAAACTAAATCTCAGCCACCATTATATTCTGCCTTACTGTGGTCTACAAAAACAAATTGAAAATGTAATTTTTTAAAATTTAGTGGCCAGAACGTATTTATCAGAGTCCATATGGAGTTACTGCTGTGGATTTTTCAATTGGAGCACCTAACCTTTTAGCCGTTGGCTATCACAATGGCACAATTGCAATTTACAATGTACGGAGCAACAGTAATGTTCCAGTTCTGGATAGTAGGTAAGAATCCGAGAATTAGATAAATGTATAATACATGCTTTTTCAGGAGGATTTACTCTAATGTTATTTAGTTTTGAGTAAATATTTTTGTTGTTACTGAGAGTGATACCATTATTTTTGAAACATTTCATAATCCCTCATATTGTCTCTCCAGCTGGAATGGTCTGTCCTAATAGCTCCTTCAACTTCTTCTCTGCCCATCTCACTAACGAACTTCCTCTGACTTGACAGTTTATGCTTATTCTTAAACTATTGCTTTGGGTTTCACTTCTTCCAGAAAATGTTCCCATTCCTTTCTTTTGTGCAACCTATACATACCTTTATCATAGTGCTTATCACATTGTATATAAAAATTATTTATGTGTATATATGTAAATCTATCTTATCTATCTATCTATCTATCTATCTATCTATCTATCTATCTATCTATCTGTCTAAGGAGGGTATAAGTTCCTTGAGAGCAAGGATTGAATCTTACATACCTTTCTGTCATCAGCATGTCATATAACATGGGACATGTAACAGGAGTCCAGTAAGTGTTTGATGAGTAATTGATGAATAAATGAGTCATATGAGGAAAGCCAAAAAGTTAGAGGTGAAAGATATTAAAAAGGCTAGGTTTTTGTAATAGACAAGATACCAATGGGGCATGTTTGTAAAAGTGTTTGAATAAACTTAGCTAGAACTAGAAATAACCATTAAAGCAGAGGTTCCTAAACTTAACTTTCAAATTATTTGCAGTTTTGTAAGCATAGGCCTTTGTGCTTGTTTCTGGGAAGAGGGTCCATAATTTTCACCAAAAAATCAAAGATATGTATGATTTTAAAAATGTTCAGAATTGATTTCATTGGAGGGTTTGTATTAAAAATCAAGGTAGTCAGTACCACGAAAAGAACATCACATTAATCTGATAGGAAAAGAGTCAGTAATCTGAGAAGTGAGTTTAATTTTTCAGAAAAATTTTAACTCTAATCCATAGAGAGAGTCAAACCAATGGGCAATCTTGAAGCATAGGAGGAAGAGTGAAATATAGAAAGAAGAATTGTTTACCTGGATAAGATTTAAATGATTAACAACTTAATTCATAGAAACATCATAAAGATGAAAATACTTATATTCCATGTGTCTAAAATAAAGTAAAAGTCAGAAAGAATTAATGAATAGAGTAAGAAAAGTAGATTCTGAAAAGAAAGAACATTTTTGCTTTTGTATTCCTGTTATGATAGCTAATATAGTTAAAGACCAGTACAATTTTTCTTTTGTAAGAAGTACAAAAAATAACAGTGAGTATTAAGTAGAAAAGTGGTTGTCTTTTCTTTTTTAAAAATATTTAAAATAAAAGTCTATTTTTGAACAATAAAAGGATTATATAAATAGGTCATGATCTTCTAGAAAGCTGACCTTATCACTTATACTCCAAGGCCTTTAAGAAATTATTATAATGATTATATGTTTAGTATTTTTTTTACTGTTTTAGTGAATCACCTCAAAAACATTTGGGACCTGTATGGCAACTACAGTGGATAGAACAAGATCGAGGAACAACAGGAGATGGCAAAAGAGAAATACTAGTTTCTATATCAGCAGATGGAAGAATCTCCAAATGGGTTATACGAAAAGGACTAGACTGTTATGGTAAAAGAAAAATCAAGTTATATTTTTCTTGTTACGTGCTGAATTAAAATTTTCTAGTTAACCATGTGTGAAAGATGACAAATTTTGGTTTGGCCAATAAGAAAAAAATTGGGTTGGTCATGGTTTTTCTAAGCAGCTAGTTCTGGTGTGTGCTAATTTTAGCCTAATTACATGCAAAAGTTGGCAGAACTAATATTATTATTTGCAGGAGAAACACACATGATATTTGCGGTACTCTTTCATGTGGTAAATAACAAGTTATATATGTTTTTCTTTAAATACAGATTTGATGCGATTAAAGAGAACTACAGCTGCCAGTAACAAAAAAGGAGGGGAAAAGGAAAAGAAAGATGAAGCTTTGATATCTCGACAGGCTCCTGGAATGTGTTTTGCTTTTCATCCCAAGGTAAATTATTTCACTCTTATTTACCACTGGACATAACAATTTCCAAAAATTGAAGTGTATTAAGTCATAAAACAAGACCAAATATTAGCCTGTTAATGAATACTGTGCCTAATATATTAGAGACAGAAAGTAGATAAATGATTGCCTGGGCTAGGGGATGCAGGTGGAAGAATAGGTGAGGAGGGAGGGAAAAATAGGGAATGACTTACTAATGATAATAGAGTTTTTTGGGGGATGATGAAACTGTTCTAAAATTGATTGTGGTGATGATTGCACAACTCTATGAACAAACTAGAAACTATTGGATTATATACTTGACATGTGTGAATTATATGATATGTGAATTATATTCCAATAAAGCTTTTTTTTAAAATTGTGCTTTGTAAGTGAAAAAATGACAGATTTAGCTGCTAACCTAAGGTGGAATGGTACATTCTAGTTGGCTATACTATGATCTTTATCTGCTTTTGCAGATAGATAGATGAGAGGTATATATTTCTGAGTAACTATGGAAAAATTCTCTTTACAACTTTGTGCTTAACTCAAGTGCCTCTCCCTGCCCCCCTTGGCCACTCTGCTGCTCTATCATACTTACAGAAACCTAATCCACTTGTATATAGTCTTCTACATTTCAATTCACGTGGTGACTCTCAGGATTTGGGGATTAGAAAGACTACTTAATTTCATGTTTACCAAGCATCAAATCAGAGCACAGTTAATGAAGTCCTCCTTTTTCTTTTATCTGGAGATACTTTGTTTTTTATTTTTAATTTTTATGAGTACACAGAAGGTATATATATTTATGGGGTACATGTGATGTTTTGATACAGGCATGCAATGAGTAATAATCACATCATAGAATATGGGGTATCCATCCCTTCAAGCATTTATCCTTTGTGTTACAAACAATCCAATTATACTCTTTTAGTTCTCTTAAAGTGTACAATTAAATTATTATTGACTATAGTCACTCTGTTGTGCTATAAAATACTAGATATTATTCATTCATTCTATTTCTTTGTACCCATTAACCATCCCCACCACTGCCCTACCCCCAACTACCTTTCCCAGCCTCTGGTAACCATCCTTGTACTCTCTATCAGTCTGGAGATACTTTGGAATCAGAATATTCAGCCACTATGATAGGCTTTTTCAGAACATGTGTTCCATGTTTTCTGTTACATGTAATATGATCATCTCTTTGGTGACACCATCATCTACCTCATTATGCAAACCAAAACTTGAGCTCCTCTATTCTACCCTATCATCTAAATGATACTTAAAATTTGATTGTCCCATCCCTTCCAGCCCAAGCCTGCTATTGCTAATGTAGTTCAGATCTGTCTTATTTTTTACTTTTACTACTACAGCCATCTTCTAACTTCCTTCATTCTCAAATTCCTTTAATTCACCTTAACTTTGACTCTAGTTCTCAATGTGGGCAGGGAGGGGAGAATTTTCCCGTTAGGGAACATTTGGCAATGATTGGAGATATTTGTGGCTGTTGCAGCTGTCAGGAATTGAGGTGAGGGTGGGGAAGGGCTACCAGTATCTCTGGGAAGATGCCAGAGATGTTGCTAAATATCCTTCAATGTACAGGCAGCCACCACCCTCCCAGTGCACATCAGTCCCCAGCAGAGAATTATCTGGCCCAAAATGTCAATAATGCTTGGTTGAGACAACCTAGTCTAGTGTCCTGAGGTGTCCTTTGCATAAGGAATTCAAGATGATCATATGGTCTGTAAATAAAAACAGTTTTACTTCTTTCTTTCTAACCTGCTTGCCTTTATTTCTCTTTCTTGTACGATTGCACTGGTTACAACCTCCAGTACAGTGATGAGTAAAGATGATGAAAGCATGCATTCCTGTATTGTTCCTGATCTTAGAGGAAAAGTATTTAGCCTTTTACTATTAGGTATGGTGTCAGATGAAGGCTTTTTGTAGACAGAATTAATCAGATTGAGGGAGTTCCATTACATTCCTAGTTTGTTGGGTGGTTCTTATTTGGAATGGATGTTGGATTTTGTTAAACACTTTTCCGTATGTATAAAGATGATCATATAGTTTTTCTTTTCAAGTTTGTTAATCTGGTGAAGTAGATTGATTTTTTGAATGTTTATCCCTGGAATAAACTTTATTTGATTGTTGTTTACTACCCTTTTAATATACGAATACATTTGATATACTGAAATTTTGTTTAGAATTTTTGAATCTTTGGTTAGAAGAGAGATTGATCTATAGTTTTCTTGTGACATCTTTGACTTTACTATCAGGGTAATCATGCCTGCGTAGAATTCCTTTTAGAAAGAATTTTCATAAAATTAGTATGATTTCTTCATTATATACTTAATAGAATTAGCCATCTGGGCCTGGAGTTTTCTTTGTGGGGAGATTTTTAATTTTTAACTACAAAATCAAATTTTAATATATATAGGGTTATTATGGTTATCTATTGCTTCTTGAGTGAGCTTTGGTAATTTCTGTCTTTTAAGGAATTTGTCTATTTTATTGAAGTTGTGGAATCTATTGACATAATACTCCCTTAGCATCCTTTAACAGTTGTGGAATATATAGTAATCTCACCTCTAATTTTTTTTTTTTTTTTTTTGTGACAGAGTCTCACTCTGTCATCTAGGCTGGAGTGCAGTGGTATGATTATAGCTCACTGTAACTCTGAACTCCTGGGCTCAAGCTATCCTCCCACGTCAGCCTCCTAAACAACTGGGATTACAGCCACACACCACCATGCCTAGCTAATTTATTATTTTATTTATTTTATTTTATTTATTTATTTATTTTTTTTTGAGACAGGGTCTCACCCTATAGTCCAGGTTGGAGTGCAGTGGAGTGATCTTGGCTCACTGCAACCTCCGCCTCCTGGGTTCAAGCAATTCTCCCACCTCAGTCTCCTGAGTAGTTGGGATTACGGGTGTGCACCACCACACCCAGCTACTTTTTTGAATTTTTTTTAGTAGGGACAGGGTTTCACCATATTGGCCAGGCTGGTCTCAAACTCCTGACCTCAAGTGATCCTTCTGCCTTGGCCTCCCAAAATGCTGGGATTACAGGCTTCGGCCACCGCGCCTGGCCTAATTTATTTTTATTTTTGTAGTGATGTAGTCTTGCTATGGTGTCCAGGCTGGTGTCAAACTCCTGGGCTCAAGTGATCCTCCTGCCCTGGCCTCCCAAAGTGCTGGGGTTATAGGCATAAACCATGACACCACTCTGTGATTCCTAATATTAGTAATTTGTGTCTTCTCTTTTTTCCTGATTAGTCTGACTTATGTTTATCAATTCTATTGAACTCAAAGAGATGGCTTTTGACTTAATTGGTTTTCACTATTTTTTTTTTGTTTTCTTTATCATCAATTTCCACTTTGATCCTTATTATTTCTTTTCTTTACTTTGGTTTTAATTTGTTCTTGTTTTTCTAATTTTTTAGAATGAAAGTGGAGGTCATTGATTTATGACTTTTTTCTTTTCTAATGTAGTTATTTCTGCTGTAATTTTTCCCTAAGTATTGCTTTAGCAGCATCCCAAAAATTCTGATATGTTACATTTTCATTTTCATTCTGTTCAAATTACCAGTTTCACCCTTGATTTCTTCTTTGATGGGTGGGTTATTTAGAAGCATGTTATTTAGTTTCCAGATATTTGGGGATTTTCCAAAGTTCTTTCTGTTACCAATTTCTAATTCAATCCCACCATAATTAGAGAAAATACTTTTTATAAACTGAACTCCGTGAATTTATTAAGATTTGTTATAAAGCCCAGTATGTGGTCTATATTGGTAAATATTCCCTGTATACTTGAGAAAAATATGTATTATGCTTTTCTTGGTTAGAATATTCTATAAATGTCATTCAGGTTAAATTGGCTGATAATGTTGTTCAAGATTACTTCTCTTTGCTGATTTTCTTCCTACTTCTTTCAATTATTGAGAAAGAGGTAATAAAGTCTCCAACCATAATTGTAGATTTGTCTATTTTTCCTTGTAATTCTATCAGTTTTGCTTTGTGTATCTTGATGCTTTCTTATTAGGTACATACATATATTTAGCATTATTATGTCCTATTGATCAATTAACTCCTTTATCACTATGAAATGGCCCTATTTATAACTTGTGATTTTTTTTACTCTGAAATCTACTTAGCATGATATTAGTATAGCCACTTCAGCTTACTTTTAACTGGTGTTAGCCTGGTTTGTCATTTTTTATGCTTTTTCTTTTAACCTATTTGTCTCTTTATACTTAAATTTTTTTGTAGGTAGCATATAATTGGGTCTCACCTTTTTATACAATCTTAAAATCACTGCCTTTTAATTATGCTGCTAAGATCATTTACATTTAGTTTGATTATTAGTATGGTTAGGTTTGAGTCTAACATCTTGCTTGAAGGGGGCATATATAAAATATCTGGCCTCCTTATCTTGAGACAGGACTCTGAAGGGCCATCTTCTCTCCAGAGCTTCTTATACTTTGGACTAAGCCCTTGATTGCAACTGCGTCACGGCTCAACTGAAATATCTGCCCATTCCTGTTTCCCACATAGAGGTTGTTCCTGAGAGCACTCCCTAACACTCTGGCATGAAATCTCAGAGTTTATTTGCTGGGAAACCCAACTTTCAACAGTGACCTTGAAGATCGCTAGCGAAAAATGACCACTTATAAATGGTGTTAGAATAATAAGTATCCATATTAAAAAAGGAATTCGATTTCTATCCTATCATACACAAAAACCTTTCAGAAGAAAATGTAGGAAAATATCTCTAGGACCTTAAGGTAGGGAAAGATTTCTTAAAGCACAAAAAATGCTAAATATAACAGAAAATGAAAACTTATGTTCATCGAAGACAGTAAAAAGAAAATAAAAAGGTAAATCATACACTGAGAGAAGATATTTATAACATGTTATAGACAAAGCAATAGATTCTAGAATATATAAAGAACTTATACAAATGAAAAATAACAAGACGTATTATTACTAAAATTATCGGGACACAAAATAAGAGGAAACACAAGTGGCCAAGGAACGTAAAGTGCTCCACCTTATTGATATTCACATAATTAGGAATTAAAAACAGGTGATATAATTTTACATCTAATAGAATGGCAACATTTAATATTTCTGATGTAACTAACTGTTGAAGAGAATGTGAGTCAGATCACTTTTATATACGACTGTCTGGGAATATGTATTGGTAATACCAATTTGGGAGAAATTATACTTTATCATATAATTTATTTTTTTCTTTTTTCAATATCATGTAGTTTGAAAGTGTATATCTGTCTTTTCTTGGAATAGTTGTAATGAAAGAGCACTTACTATTTCCCTGGACTGCTAGTTCCATTGTCAGGTAGCTCTAAATGTTAGAAAGTTTCTTATTTATTTTAAGCCAGTGTTTTTCTATGTAATTTCCATACAGGATATTAAATGCTACCCCGATTCCAGCAAAGGACCAATTTATATTTTCTTTTGCACAGTAGTCTCTCAGGTAGTTTGATTATTACAAAATCATGACAAAAGAAAAAGACAAGATTGGTATATTCAAGATAGTGTTTTTATTTTGGGTTCTTGAATTGATTTTAATAGATCCAGAAATATCTAATCTTCTATTTATCACACTTACTAATGTATCACAAGCCAATGCATTTCGATGTTTTGTGTTGTAGGACACAAATATCTATTTGGCTGGCACTGAAGAAGGTCATATTCACAAATGTTCTTGTTCATATAATGAACAATACTTAGATACCTACAGAGGACATAAGGTTAGTTTAATTATAGTAGGTTGGAACATTTATTTTGTATTTCTGAAAAAACAGTACCATTATATACAGAATATGTAATATGCAATAAATTTACAACTTCAGAGTTAAAAATACCATCTTGAATTAAGTGTTTTCTTCTATGGAAACCACCAATAATGTACGGGGCATTTTATTTGACTTCTAGATATCCTTGATTTCTTCTTGAAAGTTTGGAAGTTTTGTTTCTAAAAGACTTTGCTTATGATAACATGCTGATCCTAAAGTAAAATTGTCTTTCACCCATACCTAGTCTCTATAGCTTATTTTTTTTAATGTTTTTTTTAAGAGATGGGTCTCACTGTTACCCAGGCTGACCTTGAACTTCCACTTTATCTTCCACTTGATCTTCCCACTTTAGCCTCTAAAGCAGCTGGGACTACAGGCAAACACCACTGCACCTGGCTATATATCTTGTCATGATTGTTTCAGCCACATTTTCTTCATTTTCTCCCTCATTTCTTTTTTTTCTTAATACTCTTTATTTTTTCAAAGTATGCATAATATGTGTTAAATTTAGTGAATATTGTAGCAACTATATTTTTATGTTTCTAAATGTAATAATTTAGGGAAGATTCAATCTGTGATCTTATTCTCAACTAAAATAATGCCCACACAATAATGAATAGTGTGAAAATCTAGAAATCTTAGCATTTTTAATTTGCTGGTCAAGTTTAAAATAAAAGATGTTAAATATTATTTACCTATGTATTTTTTTTTTATTTCTAGGGTCCAGTGTATAAAGTGACATGGAATCCATTTTGTCATGATGTATTTTTAAGCTGTTCTGCAGATTGGGGTGTTATTATATGGCAACAGGAGAATGTCAAGCCATCTTTGAGTTTTTATCCAGCTACTTCTGTTGTTTACGACGTTGCCTGGTCTCCAAAATCATCCTATATATTTGCAGCTGCAAATGAGAACAGGGTGGAGATTTGGGACCTTCATATCAGCACGTAAGTTACTATTTTTCTTGCATAAATTTTAGTAGAAGCAGTTCAAACTAAGTGATACCTGATAGTTTTGACACCAGTTAGAGGGTATTGTAGTTACTTTAAAAGAAGTAATAGTTTATGAGAGTCCTTTATGAATAAAGATAATGCCAGGATGCTATATTAATGTCAATTATTTATACCATATGTGGTTTTAAAAGTATTTGAATGAAAGTAGTTTACCTTGGCTGGGCGCAGTGGCTCACACCTGTAATCCTGGT